>NC_000004.12:158315320-158618350 GCF_000001405.40 Homo sapiens | reverse complement strand
TTTATTATTGCTTGTGCATAATACTGCACACAGTTGCTTCTGTCTAAATGCACACATTTTAATTGCTAATTATGTAAATATTGTTCAATTGTGTTTAATTACTAAGTTGGGATTACAGAGGCTGTAATAGATGCTAATGTATTCATTTGAACCAAAATTCAATTTTAATGAGGGATGTTGAACTTAATTTGCCCTTTCCTTTATGGCTTTAGCTTGTTTTCAATGTACAGTACAGTATTATACTGTCATACCAAAATGCCTACTGGACTTAGTAACTTTTCAGAATGTTTGTTTTTTTCTGAGAGGTTGCAGATTAGTACAGTTTGAATTACTGTCATTGCTTTTTATAGCATTTCTCACTTATGCTTTTTTATCAAGTTGATAGTTGTTACTTCTGACTACAATCAATGCTTCTGACTCTAACTTTTCCTCTTCCTTTTAATTTGACATTTGTAATCTGCTATGAGCTTAGAAATCAAACAACCAACTTCTGAGAATTTCTTATAAAATAAGAGACAGAGGGAGTTTTCATATGATACAGCATATGGCAGTTTGTTGATTGAACTTGTTAGTAGTTATTTTGGTTATTTCTTTCTTTTATTTTTCACTTGTGTTCTAAATAGGCAAATTTACTGGATGGTTGAGTTCTAAATGGTGGAGTGATACTTATTACTACAAGCAAAGCTACTTTGTAAAATATTCCATGGAACATATTTTATCATGATTAGTTTTTGAAAAATAAATGCTAAATATCATATTCTTATTATTCAGAATTCTAGAGTGAAATTAAAACAACTTAGTCTTTCTGTACCAAATTAGTAGGTGAGTATACCAGCAGGGAAAGGGGGAGATGTTACATAGATGTGGTGACATTCCTTCTGTGTTTCTTCTTCCTGGCTCCAGTATATATATATATATATATATTTTTTTTGAGATGTTTTATTTTGCTGAGAGTTTAGAGATGTTAGTTTAGATAATGTAGATGTTTAACATAAAAATCATGTTAAAGCAGTTTGAGGAAATGTGATATGATACTAAAACCCTTATCATTTTTAAGAAAAACTAAAACAATCTTATATCTGGAATGAATTAGGTAAAAACAGAAAATTTAGTTGAGTTCTTTAAAAAAAGACAGAATCGCTTACAGCCAATGTAGTCTTGGCATGTGTTGACAGAGAGGTTTATCAGGTAAACGGGTGAGGACGTTATTCATCAGGACTCTGAAAAAGGAAAAGACAAACAAGTCACATTTTTCTGGTTCTCTTCTCATCTTGGGTCAAACATGGTATTATTATTATTCTTATGAAACCCACAAATCCACTAAATTAGTTGTTTTTTCCTTCTAATTTTTTTTTTTTTTTTGAGATGGAGGCACTCAGGCTGGAGTGGTGTGACACGATCTCAGCTCATGGAAACCTCTGCCTCCCAGGTTCAAGTGATTTTCCTGCCTCGGCCCTCCGAGCAGCTGGGGTTACAGGCATGTGCCACCATACCCAGCTAATTTTTGTATTTTTAGTAGAGGCGGGGTTTCACCATGTTAGCCAGGCTGGTCTCAAACTCTTGACCTCAAATGATCCACCCACCTCGGACTCCCAAAGTGCTGGGATTGCAGGCGTGAGCCACCATGCCCAGCCTTCCCTCTAATTTTATTTAAATTATAATTTAATTATAATCTAACTATATTTAATTATAATCTAATTATATGTAAATACTTGATAGTAATAAAATTTTAACAAATATAAGTTATTATATGGAGGAAAGCAGTAATGTTAGTAACTAAAAAAAAAAAAAAAAAAATAGCCTAAACCCGTCAACAACAAATGGTGGAAAGGAGATGATTTAAAGGCATTTTTTTTCTTTACCAAGATTAATGTAGGCACACCTTGTTTTATTTTTATTTATTTATTTATTTATTTCGTTTGAGACAGAGTCTTGCTCTGTCTGCCCAGGCTGGAGTGCAGTGGTGCAATCTTGGCTCACTGCAACCTCTGCTTCCCAGGTTCAAGCAATTCTCCTGCCTCAGCCTCCTGAGTAGCTGGGATTACAGACGCCTGCCACGATGCCCGGCTATTTTTTTCTTTTTATATTTTTAGTGGAGATGGGGTTTCACCATGTTGGCCAGGCTAGTCTTGAACTCCTGACCTCAGGTGATCTGCCCACCTCGGCCTCCCAAAGTGCTGTGATTACAGGTGTGAGCCACTGCACCTGGCCCACCTTGTTTTATTGTGTTTTGCTTTATTGCACTTTGCAGATAGTGCATTTTTTAAAATTGAAGGTTTGTGGCAACCTTGCATTGAGCAAGTCTATGAATGCCATTTCTCCAATAGCATGTGCCCACTTAGTGTGTCTGTGTCATATTTTGGTAATTCTCAGAGTATTTCAAACTTTTTCCTTTTTTTGAGTCAGGGTCTTGCCTTGTTGTCCAGGCTGAAGTGCAGTGGTGCGACCATGGTGCACTGCAGCCTCAAACTCCTGAGCTCAGGTGATTCTCCTGTCTCAGCCCCCTGAGTAGCTGGGACTACAGGCATGTGTCGCCATGCTCTGCTAACTAAAAACAATTTTTTTTTTTGGTAGAGATGGGGTCTTGCTATATTGCCCAGGCTGGTCTCAAACTCCTGGCTGCAAGCTATCCTCTCTCCTCAATCTCCCAAAGCATGAGATTACAGACGTGAGCCACCCTGCCCAGCCATCAAACTTTTTATTATTATATTGTTTGTGGTGATCTGTGATCAGTGATCTTTGATGTTACTATCGCAGTAGTTTTGTGGTGTCACAAACCATGCCCATAGAAGACAGCAATCTTTTTTTTTTTTTGAGACAAAGTTTCACTCTTGTTGCCCAGGCTGGAGTGCAATGGTGCAATCTCGGCTCACTGCAACCTCCACCTCCCAGGTTCAAGCGATTCTCCTGCCTCAGCTTCCCAAGTACCTGGGGATATAGGCATGTGCCACCACACCCAGCTAATTTTCTATTTTTAGTAGAGATGGAGTTTCAGCATGTTGGTCAGGCTGGTCTTGAACTCCTGACCTCAGATGATCTGCCCGCCTTGGCATCCCAAAGTGCTAGGATTACAGGCATGAGCCACCCCACCCAGCCAAGACAGCTATCTTAATCAATAAATGTTGTGTGTGTTCTGACTACTCCACCAACCAGCCATTCCCCCATATCTCTCTCCTCAGGCCTTTTTATTCCCTGAAACACAACAATATTGAAATTAAGCCAATTAATGACCTTACAATGGCTTCTAAGTGTTCAAATGAAAGGAAGAGTCCCACAAGAATTATGGGCCCTCAAGAATTATGTTAAATCTACTCTGCCTGTGCTCTACAATGGAACAACAAAGTCTGAATGACAGCACATCTGTTTACAGCATGGTTAACTAAATATTTTAAACCCACTCTTGAGACCTACTTCTCAGAAAAAAAAAGGTTTTCTTTCAAGATATACTGCTCGCATACCTCCTCACCTTAAATCAAAAGCTAGAAATGATTAAACATAGTAAGGAAGGCATTTTGAAAGCTGAGATAAGTCAAAAAACCAGGCCTCATGCACCAGTTAGCCGAATTGTGAATGCTAAGGACAATTCTTGAAGGAAATTAGAAGTGCTACTCCAATGAACACACAAATGATAGGAAAGTAAGACAGCCTTATTGCTGATGGAAAAAGTTTTAGTGGTCTGGATAGAAGATTAAACCAGCCACATCATTCCTTTAAGCCAAAGCCTAATCCAGAGCAAGGCCTAACTCTGCTTCATTCTATGAAGGCTGAGAGAGGTGAAGGAGCTGCAGAATAAAAGTTTAAAGCTAGCAGATGTTGATTCATAAGGAAAGGAAAGAAGCTGTCTCTATAACAGAAAATTACAAAGTGAAGCAGGAAGTACTAATAGAGAAGCTGCGGCAAGTTATCCAGAAGATCTAGCTAAGATCATTCATGAAGGTGGTTCCACTAAACAACAGATTTTCAATGTAGATGAAACAACCTTCTATTGAAAAAATATTCCATACAAGACTTTCATAGCTAGAGAGGAGAAGTCAATACCTGGCTTCAAAGCTTCAAAGGACAAGCTGACTGTCTTGTTGGAGGCAAATGCAGCTGGTGACTTTAAGTGGAAGTCAACGCTCATTTACTGTTCCAAAAATCCTAGGGCCCTCAAGAATTACGCTAAATCTACTCTGCCTGTGCTCCATCAATGGAACAACAAAGCCTGGGTGACAGCACATCTGTTTACAGCATGGTTTACTAAACATTTTAAGCCCACTCTTGGGACCTACTGCTCAGAAAAAAAAGATTTCCTTTCAAGATACACTGCTCACTGGCAATGCACCTGGTCACCCAAGAGATCCAGTGGAGATCTACAAGGAGATTCATGTTGTTTTCATGCCTGCTAACACGACATCCATTCTACAGCCCATGGATCAAAAGCTAATTTTAACTTTCAAGTCTTATTATTTAAGATGTACATTTTGTAAGGCTACTGATGCCACAGATAGTGATTCCTCTGACGATTTGGGCAAAGTCAATTAAAAACCTTCTAGAAAGCATTCACCATTCTAGATGCCATTAAGAACATTTGTGATTCATGAAAACAAGGTCAAAATATTCACATTAACAGGAGTTTGGAAGAAGTTGACTCCAACCCTCATGGGTGACTTTGAAGGGTTCAAGACTTCAGTGGAAGAAGTAACTGTAGAAGAAGTAGAAATAGCAAGAGAACTAGAATTAGAAGTGGAGCCTGAAGAGGTGACTGAATTGCTGCAATCTCATGATAAAACTTGAACAGATGAGGAGTTGCTTCTTATGGATGAACAAAGAAAGTGGCTTCTTGAGATGGAATCTACTCCTGGTAAAGATGCTGTAAACACTGTTGAAATGACAACAAAGTATTTAGAATATTACATAAACTTATTTGATAAAGCATTGGGAGGATTTGAGAGTATTGACTTCAATTTTGAAAGAAATTCTCTTGTGGGTAAAATGCTAGCAAATAGCATTGCATACCATAGAGAAATCTTTCATGAAATTAAAAGTCAATCAATGTAGCAAACCTCATTGTTATCTTATTTTAAGAAATTGCCACAGCCACCCCAGGCTTCAGCAACCACTACTGTGGTTAGTCAGCAGCTGTCAACATTGACATGAGACCCTTCACCAGCAAAAAGATTATGACTCGCTGAAAACTCAGATGATTGTTAGCTCTTTTTAGCAATAAAGAGTTTTAAAATTAAGGTATGCACATTTTTAAACATAATGTTATTGCACACTTAATTGAATATAGTATAGTGTAAACATAACTTTATTATGTGCACTGGGAAACCAAAAAAATTTGTGTGACTTGCTTTATTGTGACATTTGCTTTATTACAGTGGTCTGGAACAACACCCACAATATCACTGAGGTCTGCCTGTATAGACAGTAACGATGTGCTTAAGAATATTGTGATAAAGGCTGGGCGTGGTGGCTCACGCCTTAATCCCAGCACTTTGGGAGGCCAAGATGGGTGGATCATGAAGTCAGGAGTTCCAGACCAGCCTGGCCAACATGGTGAAACCCCGTCTCTACTCAAAATACAAAAGTTAGCTGGGCGTGATGGCACACACCTGTAATCCCAGCTACTTGGGAGGCTGAGCCAGGAGAATGGCTTGAACCCAGGAGGCGGGGGTTGTGGTGAGCCAAGGTCACGCCACTGCACTCCAGCCTGGGCGATACAGTGAGACTCCATGTCAAAAAAAAAAAAAAAAGAATATTGTGATAAAATATGAGTGAGAATGTATTCAGTTTTTATGGGCTGATATTCTAGAAGACAGAAAATCTTTTAAAATTGTTGGAACTATAAATAGCCTTATAGAATATGATTAAGAAAAGGTTTTTCATTGAAAAGGCCTCTTTGGGGTTTTAACAAATCCAAATTTAATGGTATTAAATTTAAGCATTAATTTTTATTCATGTCTTTGCCTTTGATTGAAATATTTGCTTTAGTTTAGTACTTACAAGAGAATAAGAGAATTTAGTCCATAAAATGTTGGTGGGGAAATTCGACTGAGGTGATTATCTTCAATTATCCTGACAGCCAGAAGAAAAAAATTAATTCATTTATATATCTCTAGAATCTAAAAACTAGTGCAATAAAATGCCACATAAATTAAACATACAGCCATTCTAGTCTGTGAAGATCTTCAAAAACACCCGGCTTCAGGAAGGTTATTCTGTTATGACTGAGATACCTGGAAAAGGAGAAATAACTACAATAAATTTGTATATTTTTGATGTCTTACAATAAGAAAAGTAAAAACAATAATCATCCATCTTAAATTTTTTACATAGCATTCTCATCATGCCACTTCCCTGCCTTTGAATCTCTAAGAATTGCTACCACTTACCTTATCATACCTAGTTTTAAATTTCCCCATAATTAATTAATCAATCTATTCATTCATCTATTCATGTATTCATTAACCTATTTTGAATACTTACCCCATGGCACTGTGCTAAGCATGCCATCCCTTTCTTTAAGGGGCTTTGAGTCTGGAGAGGCCACAGCATGTGAACAGATTACTTTGTAATGTCAGGGAAGCAGAGGGAAGTATATAATGCATGGTTGCTCTGCCATTGCAGAGGAGAAAGCACCCAGCTTTGCTAGGGGTAGGGACTGCAGAGTGTGGAGGAATGAGGAGCCAGGAGAAGGCTTTACTAAACAGAGGCACAATTGAGAAGAGTCTTGGATGAAGACATGCAATTCACAAAGCAAAGAACAGGCAGGAGCTATTCTAGGCAGAGGAAATAGCTTATGCAAAAGCAAGAGGTATGAGAGTCTGACAAGTTAAGAAATCACCAGGTAATTCAATGGGGCCTCACCATGAAGGGGCTATAAGGAGAGACAGGAGATAAACCTAGGAGGCAGGCAGGGGCCTGTTATGGACAAAAGGGCATTGCATCCCTTGCTAAAGGGTTTGACTCTGCCTTACCCATCTTTACATCCCACTCCTCTGCAAAGTGAAATAACTCTTTGTTCTATTGTGTTGATCTCCTCTTCTTGCCATGTTCACTCATGTCTCAATCTCTCTAGTGTAGCAATTCACTGCACTAAATCTGCTATCGAACAGTTTGATTCCTGACTCCTCTACTTATTAACAGTGACTTTGAGCAAGCAGTGAATTCCTGTAAGCCTCAGCTTCCCCAACTCTAAAATGGGGATAGTATCAGGATCTACTTCCTATGGTTTAATAGAGGCAATGCATGCCATAAACATTCAGTACATATTATGTTTTATAGCAGTGTCTCTGCTCACGCCTCTTACTCCAGTTTCTTCCCTCTTTCCTTTTTCTTTCTGCTTATGATTCATATGCAAGTAAGAGTTCAAGTTTCACTTCCACTAATACAAGATTCACACTGATTTCTCTCTCTTCTTCAGTCTTTCATATCTTGAGTAAACATCCTGTAGAATTTCTCCTGCCAGGAATCTGTTCTCCCTTGCTGGGTTTGACTTTTGCTCAGGGCTAGTGAGCAATGGCACCCCATGATAGAGCCTCTTCCTTCCCTCCTTTGCAAACCTGGAGCCCAGGTGGGCACAGTAAGGGGTAAGAAATGACTTACAACCTCAGGGTGTTCTCTTATACAAAAACCCTCCAGGTAAAAGACATTTGATCCACTATTGCTCCCTATGCTCACCTGTTTTGCCCAGTCCTCTTCATTTTTCAGAGCCATCCTTTACTGCTCTGGACCTGAGATAATCACTCCTTTCAGTGAACCATAATAGCAATTTTGGTTTCAGCAACACAGGTTTGGAACTTAAGTACTTTTAAAAAATGGTTCTCTAATGTTTTATATATGTTGGCATTGTTTTCCCATCTTAGATCATAAACTTCTAGAGAACAGGAGTCCTGCCTCTCCCCAGTGATAGCTCAGTGCTCTACCTGAAACGCTAAGGTATAACTACTTAAAGGGAGCCAGCCTGAGTTATCTTTCTATGCCCTCATGGTATCTAACTAAAATATGTGCACTCTGTGAGGGTTAATGAATACTTATGGATCTAATCATTGTTTAGATCCATAAATCATCAGGTATCTAATGATTATTATTATCATTTTTTGAGATGGAGTCTCACTCTGATGCCCAGGCTGGAGTGCAGTGGCGCGATCTCGGCTCACTGCAACCTCCGCCCCCCAGGTTCAAGCGATTCTCTTGCCTCACCCTCCTGAGTAGCTGGGACTACAGGCGTGTGCCACCATGCCCGGCTAATTTTTTGTATTTTTAGTAGAGACAGGGTTTCACTGTGTTAGCCAGGATGGTCTCCATCTCCTGACCTCGTGATCCTTCCACCTCAGCCTCCCAAAGTGCTGGGACTAATGATTATTTAACTAGAAATATGTGGCATCTTTAACACTCAACAACACTCCAGCACTATAGAAAAGCTATGAAAAGAGAGGGAGGACACTTTTAAGTTTACTCTCCAGTTCTGTACTGCCTTTCAAGAGCTTCCTCCACATTCACTGAACATTAAACCAAACAGATAGTGTTTAGTAAATTTTGCAAAGATATATGGAAAGAAGACAGTCAGGAGCCTGAAGAGTGAGTCCAATATTGATTCTGGGTACTTTGCTAAGACATAAAAGAGCAGAGATGGGGTAGAAGGGGAGAGGACATGGCTAAAGTGGTTACTGTTAAGGCTTCGAGTCTCCTGCAGTCTTCTTCCATTTTGCTAGTAAATTACTAGGTGCTCTTCTCGACTCAATCCCAAACTCTGATACCACAAGCCAAAAATCTGACTGGAATGGGTTTCTTGCGTTAGGATACAGAACAGTATAGGTGGAAAACAAGGGGACATAAATGGAAATACAGGGAGTTATGTATTCATGTGATTTTTGGTTATACTTCTTTCCAGTTACTTCTAGAATGCTGCATGGCAGAACTCAATAAAACGGAACATTGAGAAAGCCTTTTTTTTTAAAAGAAGCACAATGAGATACCATTCACACCCATTAGGATAGTTATTGTCAAAACAAACAAATGAAACGAGAACACAAACGTTGGTGAGGATGTGGAGAAATCGGAACTCTTGTGCAACACTAGTTGGAAAGTAAAATGGTACAGTTGCTGTGGAAAATAGTATGGCAGTCCCTTAAAAAATCAAAATCAAATCAAATGACAGTCCCTCAAAAATCAAAGAATTACCATCTGATTTAGCAATTCCAATTCTTGGTATATACCCAGAAGAAGTGAAAGTGAAAGTGGGGACCCAAACAGATATTTGTATCCCTGTGTTGATGGCAACATTATTCACAACAGCCAAAAGGTGGAAACAACCCAAATGTCCACTGACAGATAAACAGTTAAACAAAATGTGGTACATAAATACAATGGACTATTATTCAGCCCTAAAAAAGGAAATTCTGACACATGCTACAACACGTGAACATTAAAGACATTGTGCTAAGTGAAATAAACCAGACACAAAAAACTACATATTTTATGATTCTCCTTATATGAGGTACTTAAAGTAGCCAATTAATAAATACAGAAAGTAGAATGATGGTTGCCAGGGGCTGGGGAGAGGGGGAAATTGGGAGAGACAGATATGAGGAATTATTATTCAACAAATATGGAGTTTCAGTTGGGGAAGATGAAAAAGTTTTGGAGGTGGATGGTGATGATGGTTCCATAACAATGTCAATGTACTTAATGCCACTGAATGGTTTACTTAAAAACAGTTAAATGGTGAATTTTAGCTTATGTATATTTTACCACAAAAAGCTTTATTTCTTTAACCTTACAGTATTTCATGCATTTGTAAAAGTGGGATTAGTGAAGAAAGAGTAATTGAATAACTGGGGAAGTCTTTGGGTTTTTTCTTCTTCATCACAAATATCATCATCAGGCTTTTTTTTTTTCTTTGTCAGAGACAGGGTCTTGGTCTATGGCTCATGCTGGATGCTGGAGCTATTCGGGAGGCTGAGGCAGAGAATTGCTTGAACCTGGAAGGCGGAGGCTGCAGTGAGCTGAGATTGCGCCACTGCACTGCAGTCTGGGTGACAGAGAGACTCTGTCTCAAAAAAAAAAAAAAAAAAAAAAAAAAAAGAAAGGAATACAAATTGCTCAAGATCACACACCTAGTAAGTAAGGCAATCAGGACTTGGACTGAAGCCTGTCTAACTCACAATCCTATGCTCTTAGCCACGGTGCTCTACTGCCCCTTCAGCATCACTTGCATGGCTCCTTGGTACTGTCATGGACAGGGAGGCTGGTCTGGATTGGAATAGTCTAGGCTGTCAGACTACCATGGAATGGGCAAATTAATTCACACTGGTACTTACAGTTTAGTAAGGCTATTCAGTCCTCTGAAAGCATAGATGGAGATGGATGTAATCTTATTGTTTTGCAGGTACCTGTGAAAATGATTATTAAAAAGAAAAAAAAATGAAGCAGAGTTTCACTTTTGCAAGACAAAAAGAATTCTGTGGATGGATGATGGTGATGGTAGCATAGCAATATGAATGTGCTTAATGCCTCTGAAGGTAGACTTAAAAATGGTTAAGATGCCACATTTTATGTTATGTGTATTTGATGACGATTAAACATTTTAAAAATTGAAAAAGGTAAACATTACAAAATAATTTAGTGAAGCCAGATATCATGTCACTTCATGTTTCTGTTAAATTTATGTACAATTAGGCTGGTTTGTATTTAGAAATTCTAGTTATAAAGATGAATGAATAACAGCCAAAGCTTACTATTTGAATTTTCTAGAAATAAAATGTTAACACATAGTAAAGCCCTCATAAATCAGAAGTCTAGAAGCCAGACTTTTAATACGGGTCTTGTTATAATTCTTTAAACTTGTTAAGTGCTCAACACAGTGCTAGCCAACCTAAAAGTGTATGATGTTTTTAATGTCCCAAACCATATTCTATGTTAATCACAAATCTGTCAACCAAATCAATTTTGATCTCATTAATTTGACATCCAAACCTTGTTCCAAAGACTGTTTGGAGGAAATTTATAAGGAGTAAAAGTGGCAAAAGAAAAAAAACATAAAAATAATCAGGACTAGAAGAATATAAATTAGATTGGAATGTCAAGACAAGAATGCAGGCTTACATAGTTAACTAAAGTAATACTGAAAATACGACCTTGAGTTAACTGGAGGTCAAAGGAAATGGGTACCAGAGTATACGCTATTGCATCATTGCACCCACACAAAGTTTTGCACTTCTATGTGTACTTGCCCCAGATTGCGGGAATGATAAAGTAAGGATTTCAAGGCTGCCTTCATGTTCTGAGTGCAGGTCACCATTGTTCTTTAGAGTGTCCTGAAAGTTTATATGCAATTTGTTATAACTTTTAGGAGCAATAAGAAAGAAATCAATATGAGCGAACATTCAGTTAAATTATAAATTTTGACTGAAAAGTACCCTATTTCTCCAACATGCAAGAAAACCTAACTTTGATTGTGAAATGTTATTATAAAATTTATTATAGGCTGGGTGAAGTGGGTTATGCCCATAATTGCAGAGCTTTGGGAGGCCAAGGCAGGAGGATCATTTGAAACAGACCAGCCAGGCAGGGCAACATAGTGAGATCCTATCTCTCTAAAAAAAAAAAAAAAAGGAGCCAGGTGTGGTGGCACATGCCTGTAGTCCTAGCTACCTGGGAGTCTGAGGTGGGAGGATCACTTAAGTCCAGGAGTTTGAGGGTGCAATGAACTATGATCATACTACTGCACTCCAGCATGAGTGACAGAGTGAGACCCTGTCTCTTAAAAAAAAATTATTATGCACCTGAACCGGACATGCTGTGGGCCCAATCATGTAGTAGGTAATGAATGGTTCTCATTTATCATGCATTTGTTTGTTTATTTCTAGTGTTATAATGATCTACTAAGGAATAGGCTGCATTGCCTGGAGGTCTAAAGGTATAGACTTTTAATAACCAATTAGAAATTTTTAAATAATTAGGCTATTTTGATCATTTTGTTATATGGAACAAATTGGTCATTCAGGAATTAATTCATCCACATTAGTATGGTGGTTAGTTCAAAAAAGAGAATTAATTCAATGTTTATTGTGCAAAAATGCTAAGCCACTGCATTATATAAACCTGAATTTTGATATTTAGATTTGTAGTCTAGCTCCTTTAAATAAGTGGACACAAGGTGATGCTACAGAAAAATTCTTCAGTCTCCAGAAATCAGAAAATAGAATAAGTCAGTGTACTCTTGAAGTTTTGTCAGGCCTAATTGTGAAAAGTTCTTCTCTTTTGACTGATAAATGTTCAGAATGAAATTTTGAAAAGTTATTTTCATTAGAATTTCTATTTTCAAATATGAAATAGATACTTCTGCAGACTATCTGGGTTTTTAGAACATTTCACTGAAGGAAGTGGGTTAATTCTTCTTCTGATTCCACTCAATTTCCATCTGTTATCTTTAAAAATGTACAGATATATATTAATTTATCAGGTTTCCCTATTGTAAAACCAAAATAAGAACCAATCTATATTGGTATAAAAATGAAACAATGAATCCTGAGATATTTCTTAGTTAGTGTGATTTAGGTACAGACTATCTAAACCCAGCAATTCACCATATGACAACATAATTTAGTCACAAAGTAGACCTAAATAACAGGTAAACATCCCGTGGGCCAGTATGGATTTTGAGAGTTCTGAAGGGAAGCTAGCATGTCAGATACTACTCAAGGCCAAAATAAAACGCAACTCACAAGGCAGATGTGAAAATGGAATCAAGTCTCCAAGACAACATGCTCAGAGGTTTCAACCCACAGTGACTTGCTATTTTAGGTGGATAATGAATTTGAAAACACATGGAAGAAAATTCTTCACTTTCTTCATCGTGAATCTGACAAAAGAGCGTAACATTTTTCTCTAAGATGAGCATTGAGGTATTCCATGCTAGAATAACGCAGAGGATAAAAGCTTCTAAGTATCTCCGTTTTGGGGGATTGTGGTAGGAGGATTCACAGCACACATGTTCCAGTTCCTTTGGAAATATGTGTCTGAGGTTTTTCTAGAATGGTTTCTAAAATTACTCAGAAAAAATAAGTGTTACCTGGAAGTCTTCAGTTAACAGCTAAATATTTCCCTGAATAGGGATTAGACACAAGCAGCGGAATAGTGTTGGTGTTCACAGAAGTAGGAAGAAAAAGACATGGCCAAAAATGCTAGTTAATTGTAATACCAGGAATTAAGTATTTTCTTACAGCTTCTGAAGATCATGATAATTCTTGAAGCAATCAGGAGGAAGCTTTCTTATTAAGTTCCACTGAAGTGACCTGAAATAAATGTAAATTTTGATTCTTAAAGTTGTTTTTCCTTTACTTTTAAATTACAACAATAGGGATAATTACAAACTATTTACTTTAGTACTAGCTTTCAGGAAACATTTTGCTTCATAATGTCTCTCTCATATTTATCATATCACTTGAACTAGGTCTAGCTGTTAGTTTTGCACTATTAAAGCTATTCATTTTTTTAAAATTTTGGTTATGACTGTAATTCTGACAAAAAATGTTAAAAAATAAAATTGAAAAAATTGATTTTCAGTTATGTTTTTCTTTCCTATTTGTATTTAACAAACATTAGAAGGCATCTCAGTTTCTAAGTGACAATAAAAACAGTATTTTCTGTTTAAAAACACTCAAGAAATTAAATATTGTATTTCTCAATATTTCATTGCTCACATTCCACCACCTTAAAATTAGTTATGAAGGAAAACATCAATTGGTACCTATAATTGGATCATCTTTATTCAATAAGTGATTCCATTTCAACTTCTAAGAAGTTGTACAGGAAGATTTTCTTTTGTATCACAATTTAATAAGCAGTTTGACACAGACCAGATCCACATAATTTTGGTTGTACTGGAAAGGTCCCAAGTCCTTAATTTTTTGTTTTAGAACAGCAATGTAATGTAGTAAAAGCAAAATAAATGAAACAATAAAAAAACCAAAACCAGTGTAGCTGGGGATCCTTGCATGAATCACACACAACCTCTCCAAGTCAGTCTCTTTAACAGTGAAAGGAGGGATTTGGATTAGATGGTATCTAATAATATGATATTATTAGTACTATCATTATATAGTACCACGGAGCGGATACTTATAAGTGAGCAACAGACCGCATTGTCTGGAGGTTAACTTAACTCAGGTTAAGACAGTTTTATACAATAAGCACTAACAATGTTTAGGTTTTGAAGTGGTGTTGCTTAAACTTGGTGATGAATCCTTCTTAAAAAAAACTTTCTTGGACTCTTTGGAACACATTTTTGGAATCTAATTTGAGAAACACTGTTCTAGAGTCTAGAAGTCCATGCACTCTCAATGAAGGTGAGAATTGGTTCTTAAGAAAAAAAAAATCTTACTTTTTAAATGTATAATGCAGATATACACAAGAACATATATAGTATATCTGTATTATTATTATTATTATTATTATTATTATTATTATTATTGAGATGGAGTCTTACTCTGTGGCCCAGGCAGGAGTGCAGTGACATGATCTCGGCTCACTGCAACCTCTGCCTCCTGGGTTCAAGCGATTCTCCTGCCTCAGCCTCCTGAGTAGCTGGGATTACAGGCGTGCGCCACCACGCTTGGCTAATTTTTAAATTTTGAGTACAGATGGGGTTTCACCATGTTGGTCAGGCTGGTCTCGAACTCCTGACCTTGTGATCCACCTGCCTCGGCCTCCGAAAGTGCTGGGATTACAGGCGTGAGCCACTGCGCCTGTCCGTATATCTGTAGTATTAAAATTTCACAGGAGGGGACAAATAGAAAAAAAAAAGTCTAAAAAGTCTCCCTGGGGGAAGGGAAACAATAATGAAAGAAAAAAAGTTAAAAATCACTTTTCTAGACTACACATATCAGACACTTAATGGCTTTTTACATAAATAATACCAAAGGCTGATTAACAAGTAATTCCCTTTTGAAACTACTCTCAGTTGCTGGCTGTCACCAAATATTATTTCCTTGTATATATTAACTAATTGAGGAGCTCTTTTCTGCTAATGATTCTGACTTGACTTAGATTCTAAATTCTGCTTATATCCTGTTTAAATGTTTATATTGTGTCAAGATAAATTGTTAAATATTTGGATTTGGCTGGGTGCAGTGGATCACACCTATAATTCCAGTACTTTGGGAGACCAAGGTGTGAGGATCACTTGAGCCCAGGAGTTCAAGACCAGCTTGGCAACATAGTGAGACTGCCCCCCCACCGCCATCTCTACAAACAATTAAAAAAATTAGCTGGGCATGGTGGTGCATGCCAGTAGTCTCAACTACTTGGGAGGCTAAGGCAGGAGGATCACCTGAGCCTCAGAGGTCAAGGCTGCAGTGAGCTGTGATTGCACCACTGCACTCCAGCCTGGGGGGCACAGTGAGACCCTGTCTGTTTACAAAAAACAAACAAACAAAAAAACCTGAGTTTGATTTAAGGATATAGATGAAAGTTTAGTGTGTCCTTAAAAATGTGTTCTGAGAATCGCTTGAACCTGGGAGACAGAGGTTGCAGTGAGCCAAGATCGCGCCACTGCGCTCTAGCCTGGGCGACAGAGTGAGACTCTGTCTCAAAAAAAAAAAATTGTTCATTCATTCATTCATTATCTCAAAAAATGTGTTGAATGCCTGCCATTTGCACATGTTGGATACCTGCCTTTAAGAAGTTTATACTCTATTTGCACAAATTATACTTTATCTATAAATAGAGAATTTTCTTTGAATAATAACTTCAGTCTTAACAGCCCGGGGCTAATGAGGCAACCAACTTCTTTTTTTTTTTGTATTTATTTATAAATTCATTTCAATAACATTTATTTAGGGATTATTAGACTCTATTAGGAACTTTGGAGGATATATAGGCCATGGCATTTTCCTTTTTCAGGTAGATAACAGGACCTGAATCACTATAGCACAAGCAAGAATGTTTAGTATACATAAAAGAGACACAAGTGAGGTTCTACGAGAGAACCCAAGAGGAAGAGGTTAACTGCACTTGAAGGAGGAGAGTTACTATAGAGGAAAGTGAGGCTCATTGAAAGACCTCTAAGTAATGTTACTTAAAAAGTTGGGTTTTTATTAATAGTGTCTAGGATTTATAGGTTACTTCTTTCTAAATGACATAAAATATTTTGACAAATAACATTCTCTACATTTCACAATATCCTATTGGGATAGAAAGAGGTAGATGCTGTTATTCTCATTGAATAGAACAACCCAAAATATAATATAACAAATCCTTATATTTTAAAATTTGACAGTCCAACTTTGATTGTTCACAGAGTCAAAGAGGGTTTGTGTTTGTATGTGTGTGAGAGAGAAATGGCCTAGTTTAATCATTATTGTCAAAGCTAGCTCTAGTTTTTATAAAGAAAGTTCTTAGTATTAGATCATATAGTTCTAGTGATTAAATTCCAGGATCTTAAAGCCAAGTCTCAAATAGTCAAAATCAGTGTTTATCAAGCTAGAAAAAAGTAAAAATAATCATATCTATCTATGTTTGCCTGTTTTGTTCATTAGCATTTATGCGAAATGTCTTAAAAAAATCCCAACTTCAATAAACATTACTTGGAGTATTAGCTTCTTTGATACTTACATATGGTTCAGTCCTCTTCTGACATTTCCCTGTAATAGTTCCAACTCAAAGTCTGGAAAGAACTGACTAATGAAATTTGATGTTTACTTTTTAATGTATGTGCTATAAAGCATAGAGTTCTTTTTCTGTATGGAACTGAACAGACTGGGACTACGTATGAGTCTAAGCCAGTGTTCTGCAGAGAAAAGTATAAATGGACAACTGGAATCAAGTGGCTCAACCTAAAGCAC
Source organism: Homo sapiens (assembly GCF_000001405.40). Lineage (NCBI taxonomy): Eukaryota > Metazoa > Chordata > Mammalia > Primates > Hominidae > Homo > Homo sapiens. The sequence continues at coordinate 158,601,518 of NC_000004.12, read as the reverse complement.
AAGATAATGCTATTTTTTGAACAAAAAATAAAAAATACCGTAGACATAAACTCCTGAGCTTTATTCCTATATCTCCAAATGCCTGTTGAAGATTTCCACTGAGTGACCTGTTAATCTCACATTGGAAAAAACATCTAACATCAGAGTCCCCATCTTCCTCAGTTACTGCCACCAAGTCTCCTCATTCTCCGATCATACTGTTGCTTAGAAGGGAAACCTTGGAGTCATCTCTGACTCCTTCTTTCTTGCCTTCTTGCAGACAATCATTTACAAGGACCTGGTCCCAGTTTTTTTGTTTATACCAGGGGTTGAAAACTGGTAGGTCACAGCTTTCTGCCCACATCTCTTTATGTACGTATGTATGTGTATACTAGATCATGACAATTTTTAAAATTGAATGGGAATTAATTCAATGATTCAACCTTTGTGTGGGGCATGCCCTCTCTAGTTAGCCATTGCCTTATTCCCCTCCATTCCCCCAGCTTTCTCTCTCTGTTCTTTATTTTACAAATGTTGGTTGAATTGTTAAAGAATGGATTCAAATCTTACTCGTGGGAAAATGAAAAATGAAATTGGCTGCATCAGAATATCCTTTGATTTGGATTTTCTAGTAATTTGATACAAGCAGTGGAGAAGGATTATGATTTTTTTCTCTGAAAATAGAATGAAATCATAAATTCTTTTTTTTTTTTGAGGCAGGGTCTCACTTTGTCATCCAGGCTGGAGTGCAGTGGCTTGATCATAGCTCACTGCAGCCTTGACCTCCCAGGCTCAAGTGATCCCCTTGCCTCAGCCTCCAAGTAGCTGAGACTACAGGTGTGGGCCATCATACCTGGCTAATTTTTATTTTTTTTTGTAGTGATGGGCTCTCTCTGTGTTGCCCAGACTATTCATAAATTCTTATACTCAGAATTTCCAGTTAGAATTTAAATCAGAGAAGTGCTCCATAGGACCTCAGGTTCTTTTGGGGAATTATTACTTTTTTCTAGCAGGACTAATTGCTATGAGAAAGAGCCATGGTAAGGCAAGAAGAGGATAGAATGCTGAAGAGCTCTTCTTTTCCTTAGTTCAAGTGGAAATGTTCCCTCTTTTGGAAAACTCTGCTGATATTTTCAGTTCATATTCCCTGGCCACCACAAATTGGGTAAACTTCTCAGATCTGTGAATTCAATGGAACCACTATGCACAGGAACTCTGAGTTGTAGCTCTTACCTCATATACCAAGTATTTCAATTGCTGTATTATGTGGTTTGGTTTGAAAACGGTAACACTTGTCAATATGCATAAACTCAAGAATTACTCTTATTTTGTCCTCATATACCCAAAAGTGAGAGCCACAAGGCACTAAGGTATCTAAATGAAAAAAGAAACTCAGCAAAAATATTGGATTAAAATAGCTGTCCTCCACTAATTTCTTTTAAAAAAGTTTCAGTCAAATGTATATGTTTGTGTTGCTGAAGTTCATTGAATTCAAATTAGTACTGGAAACTAACATTACGGGTACTAGAAATCAACAAACCACTTATGGTGATAATTTTTTTACATATGTAAGTTTGAATTCCTTAAGAAAATAACAACATTAACATCTATGACTCAAAATGTGATTCAGAACAGATTTTAAATATGACGTTTTGGGAGGAATATCTTATCCAATTTACCTTATTTTCTTTTTTAACTTACACATCAGATTATATTAAAATTTGGGTCCAATAAATTCTAACAGAGTTCTTTCAATAAATGTCAAGTGAAAATTCTATATAATAGGAAAGCTCTATGTAATAGTTTAATTAGAAGCCATTTTTTCTTAGTAGCACATGCAATTGATGACTTTTTTTGTTTAGATAAAATATGGTGACACTCCATACCTTGCAGGATTATTATGAGGGGTTAATATAAAGAATAATTTAAGGTGGGGTCTAGCATTTAATAAATGCAAAATAAATATCAGTAATTATTATACCTGACCCAGGAAAAATGACATCATCTTTGAATAAAAATATATTATGAATAATCACATGGTCTTAATTATAATACAATTTTACAGGTGCTACCCAGCTGTCAGGATGAAGTAATTCTTTTCTACTTACATTGCAGTCACATTTGAAGAAACCGATGGAACAGCTCGTAAATTGGTTTCATCACAGTCAAGCTCCAGACCTTGGCAAAGACATTGCACTGGCACAGAACCGACCACTGAATCAAGGGGAAGTGGTAAGGCATGATGACAGTGAGGGACCAGGAAGAGGAGGGTAATGAAAAGAAAGAAATGAAAAGCTATGAGAAAATCATTTAGTACAAAAGCATATCATGTGCTACGTAGGCAATTTAGGCAATGCTTTAAATTAAGGCTCCAAAGTTTGCTTTTAATTTAACCTTAAAATGATGGTAGAGCATCAACATTTGGAAACACACACTAGCTCATGTATTTTTTTAAAAAAAGCAGACTGTTCTCCATTCATTGCAAAATGAATGAAATAATCTGCTCTTATTTCATTCATTTTGCAATGAATGGAGAACAGTCTGCTAAGGATTGACACGATAGTGTGTGATGAGGCTTAATGTTCATACTACAACTGCCACTTAAAAATAAAGTATTTAGTATAATCAAAACCTTTAAAGGAGGAATAAATCACTTTTAACTAGCAAGAACGAGGAGAACTAAAGGCAAATGATAGTGTCTATAGTTTTTTTTTTAAAATCAGGAGTTCTTCAAATAATTTTTTAAAAAATCTTTTGGCTTAAATAGGGGTAAAGGATGAATAAAAGTTTATTTATGGGAGTGAATGTTTTTTCTGCATAGGATTCTATTTTCACTGGTGTTTGGTGTTGGAAAGAGAGGGAGAATGAGGTGTATGACCTTGGCCATCTTGTGGAGCTGTAGCGATAGTGTTAGGATGTGAGTCAATACATCTAAAGTCTATTAGAGATTTGCAATGATGTATTCATATAGCTAAACAGAATAATGAGATTATTATTTAGGATAATAAATATAGTTTGATTCCTGCTCTGATGGGGAATGGCGAATTCCTGAGAGCAATGAGAAACGTTTTCTCCCCATATTGACTTCTGGAGCCCTAACCTATACAGCAGGGGTTACAGACTCCAGTGTCTCCAGCGGTCAGGCAATGTCACTGTAGACTGTGTCCAGATGTCCAAGTGCAACAGCTTCTCTCATCTGTTGCCATATTAGAATAGGAACATGTGTAGCTACATCTACCAACTTCCTCAAAGAAGCCATAAATACAATGTTTTATATATAACTATCTATTTAAAAACTGATATTAGCTAACTGAAAACATTTAAAAATATTATTGGACAAACAAAACCGTCTATGAGAGTTTTCTGCTTGTAGGCTTCCAGTTTCTGACCTTTATGGTGAAACTTGCAGAGAGCAAGCAAGTGTCTCAGTGGCTAAGCAGAGACCTCTGTGAATGACTGTTCATGAGGAGCTTTTTGGCTCAGATATGGGGTGACATGTGTTCTTCCTCTCCTCCCAAATATCTCCAGAGACGTCTTCACAGGGTTACAAGAGATCAGGACCATAACCTAGATTTAGTGTTTAATATAAACAGAGTATCTGCCAAGAACTTTACAACAGTTTTATAGTTGCAAGTACCCACTTTGGTTGTGGATGTCTGAAAACTGATGCTGTCTCTTTAAGTTACAATCATATCTCATATGTGAGTCTGTGTGTATGCTGTGGGGATGGGATGGAAAAGGTTGGGAAGGAAGAAAGGTCCTGAGAATGAAGTAGGAAGGGCAGAAACGGAGGGCAGTGAAATTAGCGTTAATCCCAGTGTGTTTTTTTCATATACAGAGACTAAATTAAGATAATTCATATATGTTGATTACAGGGTTATCTGCAATAGGGAAAAATGAAAAAACAACACATAAATATCCAACAGCCAAGGAATGATTAAGGAAATTATGTCACTTACAAAATATACTATTACATGGAATATTTTAAAAGATGTTGTAGTAATATGGATACCTGATTATGCCGAAATGCTAATTGAAAATTTGATAAAAATGGTTTGTATAGGAAATTTCAACTATGTTAAAATAAAAAAAGACGAGTAATGCAGTAGCAAGTTAATGCTGGTAGCTTCTGAATGGTCAAATTATGGTTAAGTAAGTAATTCTTTCCAAATCTCTGTACTTTTCAAATCCTTTAAACTTAAATTTTGTTAATTTATTGGCTCATGATAGATATTATATTTTCCATTATATTGCCCTTGAGAGATGACTTTAATAATGTGAATTCCTCACATTATTCTAGTCAAAAATGATTATAAGCTTTGCTCAGTTTAATTTCCAATAAATCCCTATAATAATCTGCTTTAAATAAGGTGGGACACTAGGAACCTTAACTTAAATTTTAACCCCAAGTTTTACACTACACTTGCCATTCTATTTTTACACTGTTTTCAAGTTTGAAACATATATTTAGTCGTTAGCTGCACTACCCCCCACAAATTGTCTTTAACTCTCAATGATATATTTGTTTTTGTTAAGTACTGATGAAAAAAATTACTTTTTTTTAATACAGCATTTATTACATAGCCTCATTCCTTTTATGTAATTATACTTGTGACAAATGTCTTCCAGGGTGCAGGATCACGCAAAAATATATTTCTCTTGCTGACTTACCTGGTTTTTCCCCATTTGTTTGTTTTGCTTTACAAACTATGAAAGTTATGTAACCCATTATTTTCTCTCTTGGACTTGACAGCTATGAAATTCATAACTAGGCTTCGGATGAAGTCACTGAACTTTTCTCAGGAAGGATTTTCTTAATTTTTCTTTGTCATTCGCTTTCCACTCACCACTGAACTTTTGTCTTTTATATCATGTGAATGGTTTAAGGCTTTTAGTAGCTGTATTTTAATTGTAAGTTGCTGAAAATCCTTTTGGGAATAAGGTGAGGTATTAAAAGATTCAATTAAAATTTAAGAAATAGACCAGGCGCAGTGGCTCATGCCTGTAATCCCAGCACTTCGGGAGGCTGAGGCGGGTGGATCACCTGAGGTTGGGAGTTCAAGACCAGCCTGACCAACGTGGAGAAATCTCGTTTCTACTAAAAATACATAATTAGCCAGGCGTGGTGGCACATGTCTGTAATCCAAACTCGGGAGGCTGAGGCAGAAGAATCACTTGAACCTGGGAGGCAGAGGTTGCAGTGAGCCAAGATTGCGCCATTGCACTCCAGTCTGGGCAACAAGAGTGAAATTCCATCTCAAAAAAAAAAAAAAATTAAGAAATAAAAAGAAAACAATATATGATAAAAGAAAAAAACTGTTTTGAGACAACATGGCTTAATTCATTATTTTAAACATTATATTATCAGTTAAATTATATCTATTAACGTTTTCCTTTCCCAAAAACTTTTAGCTGTTTTTTTTTCTGCCTCTGAGAGAGGGTTTTGTTCTGTTGCCTAGGCTGGAGCACAGTGGCTCAATCACAGCTCACTGCAGCTTCAATCTCCTGGGCTCCTGAGTAGCACAGCTAAGTTTTAATTTTTTTTTTTTTTTTGGAGAGATTGGGTTCTCACTATGTTGCCCAGGCTGGTCTTGAACTCCTGGTCTCAAGTGAGATCTTCCTACCTCAGCCTCGCAAAGTGCTGGGATTATAAGTGTGAGCCACTGTGCCCAGCCAATTTTTAGCTTTTTAATGGACAAATTATTTGGTCTCCCTCTAAATAATGGCATGATGCTGAGACAGATTGCTGAGTACCCTGTGAATCTCACAAGAGTGACGTCTATCCCCTTAAACTGGAGATTGTTAGTGGTATTTGATTAACCTCATTTGAGTAGTGAAGATAAAAAATATTAAAAATTTAAAAAGCTAGACTTTACAATTTATGGTAGAACATGAAGAAAAAAATATAGCAAAGGATTTCTTCCTCTATGCCTTGCTTTTTTAAAAATAATTTTTGCAAGAGAAAAAACTTTATATTTGCAACAGATAGGCAATCCTTACATTTTAATATTTCATATTTTGTTGATCTACTAATTCATAACACTAGTATTTAATATGTGGCCATTACCTATTCATCTTAAATGGTTTTACGAAAAGGATATGACCAGGAAGGCACTATATAGGAAAAAAAGAACAGAGGAGGAGCTGGCATTGCCAGGTGACATGAAGAAACTAAATATATGATATAAAATTTGTCTAAAATAAACTCTTAGTCACCTCTCCACCATTTTGTAGTGAATAGCCATTGATTGCTCATTCATGACTGTTTTCCATTCAAAGCTGCCCAGATAATGTTTTGGGAAGGTGGGAGTGATATAAGTTGTACAAAACGGAGAGAATAGAAAACGTGATGATGAGTAAGAGAATTGAATAATTAGCATTTACTAGGACTAGCAAAAGGTAAACTGTGGCTCTATGTATAAACATGTATTTTCTAGAACTCATAGTGTAAAATTTTACTCTTTTAAATAATTGAACTCTACAATAGTTAAATCATTGCCTACATAATACATTGTGCTTATATCTACGACTAAAGACATAATTTAGGATAATGCAACCTTAGAAAAATAATGTTATAAAATAACCACCTAAGCATTTGTTATTAAAATGTAGTTATTATTATATAACATTTACATAAATAAAGCCTCAATTATTCAGACATATTGTTAATCTGGCATGCTTCAGAATCAAAAAAGGATAAAAATAAACCATGAATTAAAAACCCAGCAAAGAATTCTGTGAATGTTTTTATTGTTAGCTAAAAAACTAAAAGTTTTAGCTATAAGAAAAATTATTATAAAAAATACATGTTTAAAATATACTTATTCAACTGGGCTTAAAAAAATTCAACTGGGTTTTACTGTAACCATAATTAACCCATTAAATATGTATGTTTCTGGGCAGATACAAAGATGAAAAATAAAACAAAACATCCTATCTATAGCCTCCTATATAGACTTCAACAATAATTTATTGAGTGCTCACTATGTGCAAAGCACTATTTATTTTAGGCACTAGAAGATCAGCAAAAAAAAAAAAGTCAAACAAAGTACCTATTGTCATAGTCATTGTCATAGTGCTTAGGATCTGATGAGATAATTCATACACCACCACAACCAGCACCACTACCACCAGCAATTATGATAGTGCCACCCCAGAAAATAACACAGAGTAAGCTCATAGAGTAATGAGGGTAGGGCTGAGGACGCGGCTGTTTTATACAGCGTTATCACTGCAGTCTTCTTTGATTTGAACAGGGCCCTGAATAAGCTGAGGGTCACCAACTAAGCAGATACATGGGAGAAAGTTTCTCAAAGAACAGTCTGTATAGAGGCTGTGATATGGAACCATGTCTGGAATGTCAGAGGAATAGCAAATATGCCTTGCTTTTAAACCAAGGTTTTGAAAAGCTAGGGTCAAAATGACAGCTCCAAGATACAGATTTACATTTGCATAATGTATTAGAACTGACAAAATTTATTTAAGAGGAGTTATTTTCATATATCTTTCTGATCTAAAATATTATAGTTAATCCTCAGGTTTATACCTTCCATACCCCTCCAGTGTTTTTGTAAGTTTTCAGTGTATGACTGAACATAGTGGGTTATAATGAATAAGGGTTTTGCAGCTCAGAAGAATTTTTTCTAGCAAACATTAAAATCCAAACAGCTTTTCTGCCCTCTCTACTTTCTCTGTTTTCTTTACATCACACTTTATAGTGATTGTGAAAAGAGAAGTCATATAAAATAACATCCTTGACTGACATTGATTCTGTTCATAACAATATCTGACACCATTTATTACTTCTACACTTAAGATCCCTGAGTCTTTTTTGAAATAAATTTTCCTAGTTAAAGTTGTATATTTAATAGAATTTGCAATTAGAAAACTATAATTGACCTCTTACGAATTTTTAAGTTTCTTTAATTAAAACTGATTTCCAGATTGAGATGCAATCTTTTTTTAAAATGTTGAATCAAACTTTTAAAAATGGTGTCTTATGAACTCATGGAAAAGAAAATAACTGCTCTGATTACTTACAACATTCAGGTGTTTCTGCCTCAAAAGGATATTGGGAAGTCATTTTGTAGTAACTGGCAAAATATTTGTCAAATTGCAGAGACCATCCATTGTTGTCTCCTAAAATAAAAATCAGAGAACAAAAAAGTTCAAGGAACAGAGATATTCTGGTATATTGTGGGGAGACAGGTCCTCTCTTTAAAACAGTCCAGTGGTTTCTCCAAATGTAGCGAGATAAACATTATCTGGAAACTTGCTATAAACGTGAATTTATGGACCCCCACCTGGAGATTCTCATTTTATAGTCTGAGATGGGCTCCCTAGTCACCATTTTAAATTTAATTTAATTATTTCGATTAAAAACATTTTGGGGGAGTGAATTATGAAAAAACCATTCTCCAGTTTTTTTTGTTTGTTTTTGTTTTTTTTTTTTTGAGACAGAGTCTCGCCTGGTCGCCCAGGTGGAGTGCTGTGGCACGATCTCAGCTCACTGCAACCTCCACCTCCCTTGTTCAAGTGATTCTCCTGCCTCAGCCTCCCAAGTAGCTGGGACTACGGGAACTTGACACCACATCTGGTTAATTTTTTTTTTTTTAGTAGAGATGGGGTTTCACTATGTTGGCCAGGCTGGTCTCTAACTCCTGGCTTCAAATCTGTCCGCCTCGGCCCCCCAAAGTGTTGGGATTACAGGCGTGCGCCACCATGCCCTGACTATTCTCTGTTTTTAACAAGCACTATAGGTGTTCCTGAAGTAAGTAATATTTTGACGTTTTAAGAAGCAGTATTTTAGACATATCCAAATATGGCACACTGTTCTTAGTATTTTACAATAATTATGTTTCCCTACATCTTCTTCAATCTCTAAAACTGATGTTGGAGATGTATAAACATGGCTAGACAGCCATGATTATTAACTTTTTTTATGTTACTTTATTTATTTATTTTTGAGATGGAGTTTTGCTCCCGTAGCCCAGGCTGGAGGGCAATGGCACTATCTTGGCTCACTGCAACCTCTGTGTCCTAGGCTCAAGTGATTCTCCTGCCTCAGCCTCCCGAGTAGCTAGGATTCCAGGCACCCGCCACCACGCCTAGCAAATTTTTGTATTTCTAGTAGAGACGGGGTTTCACCATGTTGGCCAGGCTGGTCTGGAACTCCTGACCTCAGGTGATCCACCAGCCTCGGCCCCCCAGAGTGCTGGGATTACAGGTGTAAGCCACCATGCCTGGCCGATTAACTTTTAAGAAAGAAAGAAAACATGACTGGCATGATCTAATTTCTTTTCTCTTTTTCTTTTTTGAAAGGCACCATGGTATCTAAAGTGATTATTCTCTGAGTGCTTATATATATATTTCTATATTTTCTTATTTCTATTTTAAACCCCTATGTCACTTTTAAAAAAATAGAAGATTTTATTTGTGGGATAAAAGGAAGAAGCTTTTCTCACAAAATTCCTAATGATCTTTTAGTTACTTTGAAACATAAGAGACAGTGCAGTCAAGCAAGTGATAGAGTGGACTAGTGAACAGGGATGAAGAAGCAGTTTCTCTGGGGATCTCTGCACATGGTACAAGCCTTCATTCTCTTGGTAGGGGTTGGTATGTGATCTTCTCTAGACCTTCTAAATTTTTTCCTGAATGCTACCAGGACTCCCTAAGGATGCCCAAACATATGAACAGAGAGTGAAGTTATAAAAGTTTGTCCTATTTCTGTAAGTTAGTATTAAGTCTAGCATTGATTTCTTTTAAAATTTTTAAAATTAAAAAAGTTTTTTGAGACAGCGTCTTGCTCTGTCACTGAGGCTGGAATGCAGTGGTGCAATCTCAGCTCACTGCAACCTCTCCCTCTTGGGCTCAAGTGATCCTCCTCCCTCAGGCTCCTGAGTAGCTGGGATTATAGGGGTGCACCACCACGACTAATTTTTTTTTTTTTTTTTTGTAGAGATGGGGTTTTGCTATGTTGCCCAGGCTGGTCTTGAACTTCTCGGGTGAGGTGATCTACCTGCTTTGGCCTCGAAAAGTGCTGGGATTATTAGGCGTGAGCCACTGCAGACTTCTGTATGGGACTCTAGAAGGCCATCAGTAACTTCGTGGACAAGGGACAGTGCCCCAGAAACCAGCAAATACCAGCCCCTGAACACCCAGGAACAAGTTCAAGGTGCCTGCCCAACTCTTAACACATGCATCAGTTGATATGTTAGGCAGAGAAACAGGAGTAGGAGAAGGAAATTTGAAAGAGTCGGCATATATAGCCAAATAGAGACTAAAACTTCCTGAGACTGTGGTGGCTTTTGTGAATGTTTGCTCCTCTTTTATTCTACCCCCACTTTAGAATGCTTTCGTATTCTTCAGAAGTTGGTAACTTAAATATATGTTTTCCAGACCCTAAGTAGCCAGGATTCTTGTTATAGATAAGCTTCTACCAATTGGACGCACTCTTGTGAGACCTGAGGTTTATACACACCAGCCTCATGGATATCTAGTGGCAGTTAGGGCAGTTACTGCAGCCAGCCTCAGGGTCCCAGTTTCATGGATGTAGAGATGATTAGCAGTAGCAGTTGTGACAGAAGCAAATGCTTCTTGATCTTGGGCTTGCAACTATACAGTGGTGTATTCCCTACCTCTGACTCCTTCCGCAGCCTTTAAAATGATTCTACAAACACATTTTTCCTGTATAAAATATATTTTTTTCTTAAGCTTCTCTTTCCCAAAAATATCTAGAGTGGTTTCTGTTTCCTCCTTCCAGAAGGGGTTACAGATAACAGACTCTCAGACATCTCAAGGATGGAAACATCGGATGGGTTATCTATTCCGATTCTTCTTACAGATAACGGCAATCATGTTATTATTAGAACTTGGGACTCTCATAATTAATGGTACACAGTGACAAAAAGAAGTCACTTAAATTATTGCTATGGCTTCCTGGAATGATGTGTCTGTTAGAAGGCTAGACTCTGGCAAAGTTCTTGCTACGATAAATCATTAGAATGAGAATGAGAAATTTCAAGGGTTGTGAAGTGGGATTGCTAAAGAAATAGCTCTGGAGAGATTAAAGAAAGGAAACAGCTGGGCACGGTGGCTCATGCTTGGAATCCCCACACTTTGGGAGGCCGAAGCAGGCAGATCACTTGAGGTCAGGATTTTGAGACCAGTCTGGCCAAGGTGGAGAAACCCCCATTAGAAATACAAAAATTACCCAGCCATGGTGATACATGCCTGTAGTCCCAGCTACTCGGGAGGCTGAGGCGTGAGAATCGCTTGAACTTGTGGGGCAGAGGTTGCAGTGAGCCGAGATTGCACACTGCACTCCAGCCTGGGTGATAGAACTACCCTCAGATAATCTTTTATTTCTTGTGGCCTTAGCTTAGGACTGATGTATCCCTACATTATATAGAATCTGATCCTATGGGTTGTTAAGTTACAGTATAAGTTGAATTCATATTTTGTCATATCATTAAAAAAATTTTTTTTTGAGACAGGGTCTCACTCTGTTGCCTAGGTTAGAGTGCAGTGGTGTGATCATAGCTTACTGCAGCCCCAAACTCCTGGGCTCAAGGGATCCTCTCACCTCAGCCTCCTGAGTAGCTGGGACTATAGATGCATACCACTATGCCCAGCTAATTTTTTATTTTTGTAGAGATGGGGGTCTCTCTGTGTTGCTAAGGCTGGTCTGAAACTCCTGGCCTCAAGTGATCCTCCCACCTTGGCCTCCTAAAGTGCTGAGATTATAGGTGTGGGCCACTGTGCTCCGTCTGTCATATCTTTTAAGTGAACATTAGAACACTGATTGGCAAGACAGACCTTGTGAATTGCACTGGGACATTTGTGTGTGTTCAGTCAAATATGACCACTCTAAATCCCCTTCCCACAAAACCTCCCTTGCAAGCAAAAGCAGCTCCCCTTTCCTGTCTGATGAGGTTAGTTGTAGTTTGTTTGAAGACACATGAGTTACTTTACTTGAGGTAAATAAGTTGCCAACTCTCCTCAGGCCCTTTCATTACCAGGCTTCTTTGCTTCTCAACCTATTATAACTGGAGCCAGAGCCCAGCATGCTGCAGAACACAAATTGGACTTAGAGAAGACTGACATACCAAAAGATTTTGCTATTTTATAAAAGCAGAAACCCAAGGAATTTGCATGAGAATGGTTTCTGCAAGCATTAGACCAGGAAGTAGAAATATAGCTTTAGGTTAGGCAAAGCTAATCGATATGGGTATCTGATATGGTTTGGCTGTGTCCTCCCACTCAAATCTCACCTTGAATTGTAATAATACCCACTTGTTAAGGGTGGGACCAGGTGGAGATAATTGAATCATGGGGGCGTGTTCCCCCATGCTGTTCTCCTGCTAGTGAGTGAGTTTTCATGAGATCTGATGGTTTTATAAGGGGCTTCTCCCTTTGTTTGGCACTCATTCTCTCTCCTGCTGCTCTGTGAAGAGGTGCCTTTGGTCACGATTGTAAGTTTCCTGAGTCCTCCCAAGCCATGTGGAATTGTGAGTCAATTAAACCTCTTTTCCTTATAAATCACTCAGTCTCGTGTATTTCTTCATAGCAGCGTGAGAGCGGACTAATACAGTGACCTCCTGGAGTTTCTGGATTCCATGTGTTAGCTCAAGCAGTAGTTTTGCTAGATTGTTGACTGAAATCTGAACCCAATGCTGGCCTAGGCGAAAAGCAATTGAGGAGCAAATGCATACAAATGTTGAGTCACCAATGGAACAGATCATGAGGAACAGCCATTGTATTGTACAACTGCAAGGAACCTGTCATGGAATATGCTGTAGATTGACCCAACTTCATTGGTGTTTTCCTGTGCAGCAGAGACTGAAAAACTTCAGACAACATTTCACACCTCCTGTAGAGCCAGGATTTGGGATCCACTCACATGTATCTTGGTTAGAAGAGAGGTATAAGGTCATTTGTTTGCTGCTCTGTCTAAAACAGAAACATAGGAGCAATTGTGGAAGGGGATTTCAGGTACTACCAGCCTTGTGGGTGTCAAGAGAGGCAGCTGTGTTGGGGGCGGGAGCAGCAGCTGTCTCCGTTGTCAGTCGCAGCCATGATGGATCCAACAGCATGGATGTCAACTTTGTTTACACCCACTCTTCCAGCCCTTCTGAGAAGATTCTGCTTACCTAATTTCTGTCTAATATACCTAGAGTAGTTTCCGGTTTTTTCCATTTAACAATGACAGATGTGGGGAGGCTGACTGAATCATTGGATTAAAGTACGGCGGAACAATGATTAGACATTTAGTTAATTTGGGGAGCTCAAGTGGAATCTCATGAGGGTGAAAAAGCAGTGCATTTTTTCTGAACCCATAAATTTAGTGTAGTTTAATTTTGTGGTTGCCTAAAAAAAAGAGTCACGTGGGTTCTGGGGATGGGATCAGGAGCCTTACAAAATGTTCTGTTCTACTGGGCTCCGGAATCACCATATATTTCCTTGGCTGTCAGGTTTTGAGATTTTGGAAATTTATGGCATTGGACTGTCTTCCTTTCCTAGTTTTGCAGAGTTTTTTGACCTTTTGGCAAGTTTACTTTTGTAAACTTGTTTCATATCTTTAGATAAGGAGAATTCTTTGAGAGACTTTCATTCACCCCTTTTAAGAGAGGCTGAATGCTAGCATTTAGCCCTGAAAGAAGTCATATTTAGCAAGTACCCATCATGTTGTGCTAGGTGCTCCATTTTATCCTCATAACTACATTTGGTCATTATCATCATCTCCACTTACAGATATATATAAGCAGAAACCCAGATAGAAGAATGGATACTGCAGATAGAAAAATTGATACTGAAGAAGGTTAGGTGACCTGACTAAGAAACAGATTTATTAAAAATAACTAAACAATTAAAATCATAAATTATTATTGTATTTCTTTTCTAGGCCAAAGAATTTATGTAATGTTTACATTCTATCTATAGAATTTCACCTTTTGTGGGACATCAGCTTTAAGTATTTAGCTATTACTATTTGCTGCTTATTTTTCTGTTGTCTGTTTCACTTCTGTTATTGAGGCTCTTACATCAGTATTGTGTGAATTATAAAAAAGTTTATTTAAATAACAACCAGAAGTTGTTATTAACTGGAATTTAAATTCACATTATTTTTCTTTATGAAATCAATGAAAGTATTGCAAATCAAGGTATTACTAAAAACAATTTACCAAAAACATAGTAGTGTTATGAGTGGTTATATGTTTATCGATGTTACAAATAAAGCATGTAAGTAGGTAGGCCAGAGTATGTTGAGGCTTTGAGTATTCATATAAACAGTCTTCATGCATATCTGCAGAAGGTGAGTGAGAAATGGGCTTGTGAAGGTTTGAAGGCTTCGACCTTGCAGCCTACCAGGGCCTCGCTTCACTCTGTGCACCACGTTCATGTTCCTGTTACTGCCACATCCACCTACCTCAGGATCAGTGATGGAAATTAGGTGAAGTGACAGCATCCCAGAACACAGGGCTGTTTTGTGGGTAATGTTTCACTGCTGCTAGGAAATTCATGAGAGGTGGCTGGGTGACTGCCATAGATGCTGATTTTCTTTCACTCGGCTTCTTTAGCAGATCCTGTATTTAACTGAGCTTTTACAAATAGACAATTTCAATTTGCTGATTTTCTTTTTTTTTTTTACCATTAATAGATAATGCCATGCTTAAAACCATGGGCTATGTGCAATTTCCTAATCCTTTGTCCTCACCATTGTGTTCATTAAATAGCAACATCATCAAACAAACAAGCCTTTTAGTAATAAGCTTTTACTTTTCTTTCTGCCTTTCCAAAGTATTTTCCTCTTTCTACCCATTACTTCCTCCCACCAGAAGGCAGAAAGCAGAAATATAGAACATGGGAAATGTTGCCAAAATTGCAAAGTTGGAGAGTTAGCATTTTAAAGAAAACAGCTTTTGGTATATGTGTTTCTATATTTTAAATCCTGTGTCCTTCATATTTTAAGGATGTATAGGGCAGTGATCAAAATGGTTTTTCATACTTCAGTAATGATCCTGATGAAATTTATTCTCTGATTTATCTCGAGGCAGTCTAGGGTAGTGGAACAAGCACCGCACAGAAGAGAATATTGGGTTAGGGGATATGGTTTCCAGTATATATGGGTAGTGTTGTAAAAATGGCACCAATAAAACAAATATTTTTACTAAAAAAGAGCTTTTCAGCTAAAAATGATATAGTCATGCTATAAATAAAGTCTAAAAACATAGATTAAGAAAAATCTGATCTTGCATGCTGCATGAGCTTACTAAATATTTGTTGATTGAATGAATGAATGATTGGATTTCTGTCCTTAAAGACACTTCAGAGAAAGCTCAGTCTCTCTTATGCTAAAATAAAAACTGAGAGCTGGGGCATTTATCCAAAACACAAATTTACAGGCTTCTCCACTGGAGACTCTCATTTATTTGGTCAGCATGGAGTCTGGGAAATCTATATTTTTCATAAGTGGCCTAGGTTAGTCTTAAAGCAAGTTTTGGAAGAACTGCATTATGGGATTTGCCATAGTCAACTAGGGTCCTTCTCACATTGCATTGGAGGACAGCTAGAATTTAGTCACAGAAAAATCCTGTGACTCGGAGTGTATTGCTTTTAAGCAAAGTTGCTAGATGTCGACCATCAAGTAGTTTAAGACACTCAAATAAGATTAATGTGGGTGGTCCCCAACTTAAGGACATTTTGCTTATAACGGTCTTATTATACTTACTGTAATCTGCTTCATGCTATGCTTATTGATGTATATATTTTATCTCTTTATGAGAGTATAGTAGAAAATCTTTTTTACCTATGTATTTTTGTATACCTCAGTGACTACTAAGGTACTTTTATCTTTTTTTTTCTTTTATCATCCAGCTCAAAATGTCATAAGGTACTTTTAATATCATTGAAATCTAGCTCTTACTAGTCCTCATAAAGTGTTTAAAGTACATAAAATGCATGAACATTATTTCATTTGTACCAAGTATTAGTTATAATTTAGTTTTATGGAAAAGTGGGTGAGGCATACCAATTTGAATTCTGGAGAAGGCATCTCTCTCCCCCCATGTTGTTAGATTCCCCTGGCACTGGCACTGGGGGATGAGGACAAAGGATGAGATTTGATTGGGGACAGGAAACTTCCAAGTTTCTTGGATGCATTAACTTGTCACAGTGCTTTATCAGGCTTTTCTGAAATAGTTTCTCAGGAATATCCTTGAGAAGAGAGTTCTATGGTAACATATGTTTGGGAAATGCTGCATCCTCTATCCCCACTTGGAATTAATAATGCATGCTGGTATGATGAAATGAGAACTCAGGCAATAAAGAAATAGCTTTAATTTTGTTTAACTCTTTCCATATGACACCTATTAGTACATTTTGAAAATGTTTGCTTTTGCATTTGCACAAGAAGACTGTCTAGATCGTCTAGATCAGTGGTTTTCAAAAGTGTATATCTGGGACCAGCAGCAGCATCACCTGGGAACTTGAAAGAAAAGCAAATTCTTGGGCCTTACTTCAGATGCACCGAATTAGAAACTCTGCAACCTGAGAGCCCAGCAATCTATGTTTTAACGAGCCTTCCAAGTGATTAGATGTCTGCCAACGTTAAAAACTTCTGATTTAGACTAATCATTTTCTAGGTGTTATGAATTGGATAATAAAATTGTCTCCATTGGCATATGAATTATTTCAAAACTTAAACTGGTTTGATAGTCATCTGTGGTATTTGTTAAAAAAATGCAGATTCCTGGGCTTTACTCCTACTTATTAGATTAGCATTTCTGGGGTGGGGGGTTAGGACTCAGCATCTTTCACAGCCCCCCAGGTGGCTCAGATGCAGGTAGTCCTCAGAAACATTCCTGTCGATTTGCAGGGTCACTCCTGGGCTCCCTTGATGTTTGGTTGAGGGACTTATGTCTCTGTCAGAGCAGAGGCCAGAACAGAGTGTGTGATGATGTCATGTTAAATGGTATGATCATTTATGAAAATGAAAGGCTAAATGTGATAGTTTAATAAGTGTACATGCTTATTGATTAATAAATAAGTGGTTAATTTATAAGGCTTGTATTTATGCAAAGTGGAGCCTTTCTTTTTTTTTTTTTGGAGACAGAGTCTCACCCTGTTGCCCAGGCTGGAGTGCAGTGGCATGATCTTGGCTCACTGCAACCTCCACCTCCCAGGTTCAAGCAATTCTCCTGCCTCTGCCTCCTGAGTAGCTGGGATTACAGGGATGCACCACCATGCCTAGCTAATTTTTTGTATCTTTAGTAGAGACGGGGTTTCACCATGTTGGCCAGGCTGGTCTCGAACTCCTGACCTTGTGATCCACCCACCTCGGCCTCCCAAAGTGCTCGGATTACAGGCATGAGCCACCATGTCTGGCCCTAAAGTGGAGCATTTCTGATTCTCACGTATTTAGTCAACTTTCAGTACTCATTCTTCGAACACAGTGGAACATCTTTTGCTCATAAAGTAAAATGAGGTTATTACCCACAAGAGCAGAGGTGCCCTAGGCCACCAGAGTAAACGCTGGAATGCAGGCTGGCCAGGCAGAGCAATTCATCAAACTGTGTGGAGTTTCTTTGAATTTAATGACAACAGCAGTTTGAGGGACAGAATACATATACCTCTTTCTGGGGTCTTAATACCTTTTGGAGGCAACTGTTTATGGAAATCAAAGGATGTGACATTATCCTGGGCATCCTTTAAAGGAAATTGAGGCCACTAACAAATTACCTTTTCTGTGCCATATAGAAGGAAGTGTTCTGAGAGGAAAATCTTTGTGGTGGTAAGCCATACATAGTTTAAGTATCATAAAACACAAATAAACAAATTTGAGGTTAAAGCTAGGTCTGTATTTTCAGAAAAGCCTAGGGTTCAGCTACTTAGGTATTTGCAATGTTATTTTGAGAATAATAAATAGAAAACCAGAAAATTTTGAAAATACAATGCATGATTGTGCATTAATACACATATTTATGACACATCACTTTTCCTCCTGTGTTTTATTTACATTTTTAATTTTTATGGGTACATGGTCAGTCTATATGTTTATGGGGCATATAAGATATTTTGATACAGGCATGTGATGTGTATCCTTCTGTGTTTTTAACTTGAAAACAAGACAAACCACCAACTTTAGTGGAATATTCTAAAATGAGAACCGCTAATGTCTCCATCAAACCACCTGGCATTGCCATCATTCTGATAGCTGTATAGTAAGTTGTACTTGGGAAATAATGGAATAATTAATGTTCCAGAATTTTAAACACAGGACCAATTGAAAATTTTAAAACTGCTTGACATACTTCAAACATTCTTGTAATCTGATTTGAAAATATGTATCATCACCATCACACCCATAAATAAGTACTGCTTATCTAATTCTCATGGATTAGTAAGTGCCAAGCCAGTGACAGGAAAAATACTTTGGGGCATTAACAAAGTTTTCCTTCTCTTAAATTCCTTGCACTTTCTGCTCCTTTTCCTATCCTAGGCAGCTAGAATTAACCACTTTCATTGCCTGAAAGGGATGAGACAGAAGTTTACAGATAATAAGGTAGTCAAATTTCTTGGTATTTGATTTTTAAATGCTTAAATTTGATTACTGACAATAGATATGGAAGACCAAAAAAGAGAAGAGCTGAGCTTTGCTTTTCCCAGACTTAACAAGAGACTTGCACCAGAGAGAGTGGAGGGGTCTTTCTTCCTTCCCTCCTCCTTGGGCTGAATCTAGGGGAAACCACACATTTCCCATATTGGTTTCTGGGCTCTGGGTACAGGGGTAGCCTGGTGTCCTTTGCTAAGTAGAGGCCATATGTATGGCAGGACCCACAGAATTATTGCACACTCTGGCTTGACACAGGAATAGTAGAGGAGAAATGGCCATAAGGGCCTAGGCAGATGGACCTAAATATGAGCATGAAAATTCTCCTGGGCTCAGCCTGGCTCAGGTGTACTAAATGTTTCCTGTGAGCCCCAGAGTGCTGCAGATGTAGGCAGGAGAGGCACTGGATGTGAAAGAGCCTAAGACAGGCAGGAGATGACAGAGTGGTGACTTACGGCAGAGGACCAGATGGATTTATGCACATCTGAGGGGATGCTGCCATCATCAGCTGACAACAGGCAACCAGAACCCCCACACAATGTCCTGGCACCACAGAGACTGCTGAGCTCAACTGCAATGCCAGGTGAAGGGAAATGAATCAGACCTTTAACTGCCTTGGTTTAGACTTCTACCACTTGGAAGAATGGACCCTTGTAGCAGAAATTACCTTTGGCCATAGAAAAATGAAGATTTACATTTCTCACTCACTTGAGAACTTGAAATGATTGTCATGTCTACTGCTATAGTTTGGCTGTTTGTTCCCACCCAACCCCATGCTGAAATGTAATCCCCAATGTGGTAGTATTAGGAGTATTGGGAGGTGGGTCCTAGTTTGGATCATGAATGTGGGTCACTCATGAATAGATTAATGCTGTCCCTTGAGGGTGAACGACTTCTCTTTCACTCTATTGGCTCAAAAGAGAGCTAGCTTAAAAAGAGCCTGGTACCTCCCCTCCTCTCTCTTGCTTCCTCTCTCGCTATGTAATCTTTGCACACACTGGCTCCCCTCTGCCTTCTGCCATGAGTGGAAGCAGCCTGAGCCCTCATCAGAAGCTGAGCAGATGCTGGTACCCTGCTTTTTGGAAAGTCTGCAGAACCATGAGCCAAATAAACCTCTTTTCTTCATAAATTACCCAGCCACAACTATTCCTTTATAACAAGGCAAAACAGACATCCATGACTTGGATGAAATTGATGCAGTGCATCAATGTCTCCATCTTTAAAGGGAACAAAAACAGTCCCTTTCTCCTGGGTTGTCATGAGGATTAAATGAGGTAAAATGTATAAAGCACTCAAAATGGAAACTGCTATAAAAATACTACTCATTATTCATACTATTATACTTGCAATTTTAGGTTTGGAAGTTCATCTAATCTCTTATATATTTTAAAAAGAAAGTTAAAAATAATTTACCTTTTTAAAACCAAAATCCTTAAAGGGAAGACTTCATAGAATTCAAATTTTATCAATAAGAGATTTGTTTGAAGGCCCTACTACACAATGATTAACATCATAAGCATGTTCTTTCCTCCCAAACAAAAACAAAACAGAACAAGCCAAGCATTTGGTATGAATTCTGAGCAAACCATGATGTCAGAAGAGTTATGTAACCTCTCTGTACTTCCATTTTCCTTCCCTGTGTAATGGAAATAGTCTATCATATCTAATTTATAGTGAGGAGGAATGAGAGAATGTGCTTAAAGGATTAGGACTATGTCTGAAACATAATAAATACTAAAAAAATATAAGACACTATTAATTTTATTATTACAACTCTTATTAGACAAAACCAAATATTCCTAGGAGGGTTAGAATATAGTGTCACAAATAGTCATGCACAGGCTGGGTATGGTGGCTCATGCCTGCAATCCCAGCACTTTGGGAGGCCAAGGTGGGTAGATCACTTGAGGTCAGGAGTTCGAGAGCAGCCTGGACCACATGGTGAAACCCTGTCTCTATTAAAAATTAGCCAGGTGTGGTGGCAGGTGCCTGTAATACCAGCTACTCAGAAGACTGAGGCAGGAGAATCACTTGAACCTGGGAGGCGGAGGTTGCAGTGAGCTGAGATCGCGCCATTGCACTCCAGTCTGGGTGATAGAGCAAGACTCAGTCTCAAAAATAATAATAAAAAAAGTAGTCATGCATAGACAAACCTAGAACATAAGATGTCTTTTCAAACCTAAAATATTCAGTGAATGGCAAAATTGCAAAGTAAACTATTACTAACAGACAACAAAGTCCGCCGCAGTGGGGAGGGAAGGCAAAGCATTTAAGATCACATTGGGAAGGAGCTGAAATAGAAAACTTTACGTGGGAAAATGTTCATACTTTCAAGGAGCTTCCCAGAGAAGCATTCATAGGCAGAGGGCAGTTTTTGCTACATGGTAAAGGTGACTCTCTACTTACTGTTGTTTGTTGCCGCAACTTTCTGTGTACATTTGAGAAGTGGGAGGCAGGGAGGGAAGTGCTGGCAAAGTTGAACTCAAGAAAGACTTGGTATATTGTACATTTAAACATTTTTTCTGTATATTATGATATTTAACATCTTTTAAAAAACCTTTCTAGGCTAGTAAGAGATTGTCTTTCCCAGGGCTTGTCAGTTCTTAGAGAGCAAAGGGTGCTCAGAGCATGCCTTTGATATGCAAACTAACCAATCCAGACCTAGAGCTCCTCTGATTAGCCCACACACCCCGGAGGCAATAGTCCTCCTCCTCATTATCCTAGGGCCAGGTAGCTGGGAAGTAAGGACCACTGCTAATGTTTAGAGCCCTCCAAAATTATTCAAACCAGCACATCTTAAGCTGCTCACCCTGCACTGCCTTGTGTTTCCCTCAGAAACCCCAATAAAGGCTCTGGCCTGATGCCTCCCCTCTCACCCGTCTTCTGCCTCCTGACCATCCTGGTGTCTTTCCCATCTAGCCCTGTATGGTATGCCCTGCCTCCTGTCTCTAGAACCTGTGGGAATAATAAACTTTTGTGTTTCTGAGCCTCCCTGGTGTCTCTTGTAGCCATACCTGACTCACCATAACATAAAAGAGTACAAAACACCCGGTAAAAACCATGTGGTTCAAGTTTAGCACAACCCAGAACTGCAAGTGAACAGTGAAGCAAAATCATCTTTAGGAGGTTTTATACCACATACAATTATGCGTAAGAACAGCTCATTGGAAATTCTGTCTAAAATCCACTAAGACTAAATTCTAAGGCTTGCTTTAATCTGGACCAGAACTTTATGTCGACCTTAATAATGTCTCTTTAGGCCCACAGAAGATGGCCCTTCTCCACAAACTGTCCTAACATGCATTGTTCCCCAGGGCTGCTGTAACAAATTCCCACAAACTTGGTGACTTAAAACAAGAGAAGTTGGGCAGGCTGCGGTGGCTCACGCCTGTAATCCCAGCACTTTGGGAGGCCGAGGTGGGCGGATCACGAGGTCAAGAGATCGAGACCATCCTCGCCAACACGGTGAAACCCCATCTCTATTAAATACAAAAATTAGCTGGGGGTGGTGGCATGCGCCTGTAGTTCCTGTACTCAGGAGGCTGAGGCAGGAGAATTGCTTGAACCCGGTAGGCAGAGGTTGCAGTGAGCCGAGATTGTGCTACTGCACTCCAGCCTGGGCTACAGAGTGAGACTCTGTCTCAAAACAAAAAAACAAGAACAAGAGAAGTTTGTTCTCTCACAGTTCTGGAGGCCAGACGTCTGCAACCAAGGTGTCAGTGGGGCCACAGCGTCTCAGAAGGTTTAGGGGGAGAATCTTTCCTTGCCTCTTTCAGCTTCTGATGGCTCCTGGTGTTCCTTGGCTTGTGGCAGCATCGCTCCAGTCTCTGCCTCTGTCTTCACACAGCCCTCTTCTCTCCAGCATCTCTGTATGCCATTTCCTGTCTCTTGCGAGGACACTGTCATTGGATCTAGGGCCCACCCTGATCTAGTATGATGTCACTCTTTACCTGCATTATATTTGCAAAGACCCTATTTCCAAATAAGGTCACATTATTTGCACGTTAATTTTTGGCAGATACTAACACACTACACGACCCAAAATGTATTAGAAGAGGTTTTCCATTTCCCCTATGGGTTATAGAATTGGTAATATGTAAACAGACTGACAAAGGCCTTTATCCTTTTCCTGTAGACAAGGCTGCTAAAGTGCTAAAGAACAAGAGTACAGTAGGGAGGCACCAGAAAGCCAGTCTTCCCAGTTACAGTAATTCAACCTGTCTCTCAGATAAGGTTGGGTTAGTGTAACCATGAGGGGGAGCCCTTATTTAGCACAGCCTTCTGTTTATAACACAGAAGGAATGCTAGAGCAAATTCTAATCTAGAAACGTAAAGAGTTTCTTTTAAATACAAATCTAGAGGAAGTGAACTAATTTAACAGCATCTGAGAATTTGATGTTCCTTTAACATTTTTACTACTGAGCTTGCACTCATTTGAAAATGAACACAGATGATTCCTAAAGAAGAACCCTCAACTTTTTGTTATCAGGTTCCTTTGTTATTTACCCAGATGTATTCTCTCAGGTATCATAGTTCTAGCTGAAAAACTGAAAGGTCCCTCCTTTTGGGTTTGTCATTGTCACATCAAACACTGCTCTGATGACTTAAAAAAATTTTTTTGGTCCTTATGCTGTTTGATTGTGTCTGTGACAGTTCTGAGCAGAGATGAAGAATGGTTTAGTGACACATGGCAAAAAAACAAATGGAATTATATGGGAATGATATAAAATTGCATAACTCAGGAAACATCTATACATTTCTATACTGAAGTTCACCAGTAAGGATCAAAGTTATTATAAAAATAGTGTAATCAGTTTTTGATATATGTATGTCTGTATACATGTAAATTCCATATTGTGTAAATATTTTAGAAAAAAGGATTCATATGAATTCAACTGAAAAATTTTAAATCTATTGATTTTGCTTGCATTGTGTTCACAAAAAATCTTCACTGAGTTAATGTCATGCTCTTTGTGCTGAAATATTTTATTTTTTATACTTAATAAAGTGTTTAATTACAGGGAAATTAATTATTTATGGGTTTTCTGAGAAAACTGGGACCTTAATATGTACTAAATAAGAGTACTTGTTTAAAGTGCCTGCGATAACACAAAAGTGACAGTTCTTTCTAAATATAATTAGTTCATGTATTAGTTCAAATATAGAGACTCAGTTTAATTCATTTGGTGTTTCATTTTTTTCAGCGATATCCCTAAATTTTATTTCTACAATTTCCATTTGACTTATTTTTCCATTTTAATAATTATTATTAGTGTCAAGGTTTAAATAGCTTGACAGAATAAGGGAGAGGTTTTTGGAGTTTAAGATATACCTTAAAAGGTCTAATTAAGAAAAAACTCTTTCATTAAAAGAAGGTATTTTATTTGACAATATACTATTAAGTTGTAAGTTATTACTCTAAAAATGATTTTTAATTATGGGGTTTTCTTATATTTGTATGTTAAGATATTGTATTTTACATGACGGAAAATATGCATGAGGTTTACATATTCTGAAAAGAAGCAACTTTCTGACTTAATTTAATTAGTATTAAACAGAATTTACATATGGATGTTTTAAAAATGAACAGCCGATCAGGTGCGGTGGGCTCATGCCTGTAATCCCAGCACTTTAGGAGGCCGAGGCTGGTGGATCATGAGGTCTGGAGATTGAGACCATCCTGGCTAACATGGTGAAACCCCATCAATACTAAAAATGCAAAAAATTAGCTGAGCATGGTAACACACACCTGTAGCCCCAGCTCTTGGGAGGCTGAAGCAGGAGAATCACTTGAATCCTGGAGGCAGAGGTTGCAGTGAGCTGAGATCACGCCACTGCACTCCAGCCTGGGTGACAGAATGAGACTGTCTCAAAAGAGAAAAAGAAGAAAGAAGAAGAAGAAGAAGAAGAAGAAGAAAAGAACAGCCTTGGGAGCATAAATGATCCAGATACTATAAAATGAAGGAAAAAACCACTCAGTTTGCAAGGGAAATTAAAGCAATTAGAGACAAACAGAAATAACTGCATCTCATAATTTTTCCATCACCTGGACTCTAAAGATGGTGATGAAATTCTGCCATCCTTCCTGGAAAGTTCCAGTCTATTTTTGCATGGACAGCAGCAGCATGCCAACTGGGCATCTTTGAGGTTTTGAACGGAATTAATTTTTTTTTTCTATTTCTAGATGACTGCCACTACTAGCATACCGGTTTTCCTAGAGGAGCTAAAAATTGTAGATAATTGATAATAATGGAGTTTGTGAGCAAGTTAGAATGCTTGTGTACCATATTGAAAACTTGATTCTAATGTATCTCTGCTGTTGCTACCATTTTGCATGCATTCCTGATTTTCTGCTCATTGGGTTTAGGTTCATGGTTCTCAAAACTTAGCGTGTATTAGAATGACACGAGGCTCATATTAAAACAGAGCTTTTGATTCAATAGGTCTGGGATGGAGCCTGAGAATTTTCATTTCTTTTTTTAAATTTTTATATAAATATTTTAAAATAATTATTTTTTCTTTTTTAAAAAATATTGAGACAGGTTTTTGCCATGTTGCCTAGGCTGATCTCCAACTCCTGGACTCAAGCAATCCTCCCACTTTGGCCTCTCAAAGTGCTGGGATTACAGGTGTGAGTCACTGGGCCTGGCCAAAATGTGTATTTCTAACAACTTCTTGGGTAATGTTGATGAATTTGGTCTCAGGACTACTTTTGGAGATCCAGTGGTCTAGGTGAATTTCAAGAAAGTTATGTGATTCTGGCATAAGAAGATCAGTAACAAATTGAAATAGTTATTTTTTACATAGACATGTCTTTATAAGAGTGAATTATGATCTTTCCCAGATATCCAAAACTGGACTTGAGAGGTTTCAAACGTTGGCAATGGTGAATTAAGGACACAGACAAGGTCCCAGGCATCATGGCATAGCTGATCCACAGATGACTGCAGGTGCTTGAGAAAATCCAGCTGAGACCAGAACTGCCTAGCTGATCTCAGTGGAGTCCATCCAAAATTGCTGACCCCAAGAATCATAAGCTAAATAAATGGTTACGTTTTAGGCCACTATGTTTGTAATATAATTACAGCTAACTGATAACACTAGGTAACATTTATTGAGTGCTAATTTCATGTCCTATTGTCTTAGGTCAAGTTACTATAACTAAGTATCATAGATTGGGTGGCTTAAACATAAACATTTATTTTTCATAGTTCTGGAGACTGGGAGGTCCAAGATCAAGGTGCTGGTGGAGTCATGTCTAGTGATGGCCCACTTTCTGGTTCACAGACAGCAGTATTCTTGCTGTTTCCTTACATGGTGGAGAGATGAAGCAAGCTCCCTTAGGACTCATAAGGATGCTAATCCACTCTTATGACCTCACGTATTCCTAATTACATCCCCCAAATCCCATCTCCAAATCCTATCACACTGGGGGATAGGGCTTCAACATATAAACTTTATGGGGGACACAAGCATTCAGTCCAAAGCACCTGTACTCTGCTAAGCATCTCGGATACATTATCTCATGGAATCCTGTTAACAACCCATGAACATGGATACTCTTATTATTCCTGTTTTATAGAAAAGAAAACAAGCCATTTTTTGCCTCCCTTTATAGCTAGAGTTTAACTCTGATTTCTAAACTTCTCTCTGAAACCCCAATGCCCTATTGCCTCTGTCTAAATGTGCTTTTTGGTGAATCCTGAGAAACTTGCATGATTTTAAGGATTATTACTGTAAGGATTGCTACTTTTGCTACTTGGCCTCTTTAAACTTAGCACTAAAGCTAGAGTTCCCAAGCTTTTTTTCCACTGAGAAGCTACATTTGCTGGTAAATTTGCTACTCCCACCACGTTCCTTTCCTGCTTCCAGCTGCCATTTTAATTGGAGTGAAGTTTTCCTGTTGCTCTGTCTAGAACTCTCTATTTGAACTGCCAGCAGGTCGACGGGGAACTGACTAGCAGTGGGCAAAACACTGTTTCATCTAATTAAAAAATTATGTAATATTAATTTATTTTAACAAGACGTTGTTTTTTTTAAATAAATGAAAACGTATTTATAGCCATCCAAATCAAATACAATTGCAGCTTAAGCTCACTAGTTTAGATAGTGTGGTTATACTTGAGTTACTGCCATCACATAGAAATAGTGTTTCAAACTAAGAAGTGGCAAAAATAAAATCAGATCAAGTTATAAAAATTTAAAAGTTTATTATCATACAGTAAGAGAAAGTACAGCTCGATATCAGGGAGATTTCAGCCCAGGCAGTAAGAAAGCTCAGAGGCATGTATTATAGGATTGCTCATAAAGTGAAAATGAGGAATTTCTTCAACCTTTTCCATGACTGGTTATTACAACGGGGTTTCCAGGTGATAGCGGACTGGTTAAAAGTGATTTACCTTATACCACTTTAGAAAGACAATTTAAGTTTTGTTTGTGATTATCAGAGGCATTTACAAGAAACAACCTAAGTTTCAGTTACATTCAAGAAATTAGCTCAGTTAAGGTCTGCTTGTGTGACCTAGCTGATTTTTTTCAAGTAGGAGGATTTTCAAGCCAGGTGTTCATCTTATTTTATGTTAACGGAAACTTAATTCCTTCAAGGTGGTTTCTTAAAAAGCCTGAAATACTTGGGGGAGTGATCACAGCAAGGCCTCATTAGCATATATTATTTATGTGACACTTTGCATAATAGCATTGTTATGCATCTTTTAGTCCTCCCAAAATAGTACCTTATTTCTTGACAGGTGAGAAATCTTACTACTTTACATTATTAACCGAAGTTTATTTTCCCAGTGACTCAGATCCAAACAATTCAGGTTCTAACTTTGTATTTTCAAGGCTTCAGAAGTTTGAACAAAATTCTAACTGAAAGCTATTTTCCCATATTCAAATTGGCCAGAAGCCCTACTTACTGGCTTTATAAATCCAGAGGTATGGTTGTTGGTTAAGTAGGAAGTAAGTTGTATTTACATATTGTTTGTTTTGTCTCTTTTAGAAGAACTCACTTTTCGTCCCAAAAGATAAGAAAGGGCAACAGCATCCAACACCTGGACAGCACCTCCTAGATGTCCAGTACTCTTCTAATTCTGTACCCTTAATCTTCCTGAATTCTTAGAGTATAGGCACAATTACCATGCCCTTTTATGAAATGAGGAAACTGAGGTACAGAGAGGCTAGGAAATGTTCTCAAGCTTACATAATTGCTTATCGTCATACCCAGGTTCAAACTTGGGCAGTCTGGCTCCAGAGCCCGTATTCTCAATTTCAACCGTATTCTGCCTCTAACACCTTACTTGGGCAGGTTTGTTGGGTTAAAACAAGGGTGTCCAGTCTTTGGGCTTCCCTGGACCACATTGGAAGAAGAGTTGTCTTGGGCCACACATAAAATACACTTACATTAATGATAGCTGATGAGCTTAAAAAAAAAATCACAAAAAAAATCTAATGCTTTCAAAATCCTTATGAATTTGTGTTGGGCTGCGTTCAAAGCCATCCCGGGCCGCATGCAGCCTGCAGGCTGCGGGTTGGACAATCTTGGTTAAAACTTACTCTGTGAGCAACCACCACTCGCCTGGAATATTGGCTGTGATACCATTACATGGAAACGAGTGGATATTAAGGGTGGGCACGGTGGCTCATGCCTGTAATCCCGGCACTATGGGAGGAAGAGGTGGGTGGATCACGAGGTTAGGAGATTGAGACCATCCTGGCTAACACGGTGAAACCCTGTCTTTACTAAAAATACAAAAAATTAGCCGGGCGTGATGGTGGGCACCTGTAGTCCCAGCTACTCGGGAGGCTGAGGCAGGAGAATCACTTGAACCCAGGAGGCAGAGGTTGCAGTGAGCCGAGATCACGCCACTGCACTCCAGACTGGCAACAGAGCGAGACTCCGTCTCAAAAAAAAACAAAAACAAGAAAAGAAAAGAGTGGATATTTTAAGCTACTGAAATAAGTGTAAGATTTCCTTAAGCAACATATGTTTTGTATTTCAATTTAGTTTTGTCTTTTTGTTGAGAGAAGTCTCAGCGACTTCACCTTCAGTCCTTTCTGCTCCTTTCTCTCACCGTGACTGCAGGGGCTTCACTCACCACAGTTGTCCTCATCGGCCTGATTCCCGCAGTCGTCCACACCGTTACAGTGCAGGAGCTGAGGCAAGCACTTTGTGATGTTCCCACAGGGGAAATAGCCAAGGGAGCACTTGACATCCTGTCCACCCCCATGAGAAACTGAGGAAAAGGGGAGAAGACACAAAGTTTGAAGGTGGTTAATACAAAGGCGTGGCAAAGAGCAGTTTCTCCCTGATATTTTATAATCATTTGTCTTTCTCATCATGGTTTCTACATACAACCCTGATGCCAGTTATTTTCTAGGAACCTTCACCTCTTAGGACGTTCTTTCCATGATTCCAGAAGATGCCAACATTTTCCTCTTTGCCTTTGTTCATGCTGTTTCCCACCCGGAGTGCCTCTCCATTCCTCTCTTCTATGAAACGTCTGCCCATACTTCACAGTTCAATCCAATTACCGTCTTCTACAAACAATTTTCAGCCAATAATTTTAAAAACAGGAATTTGTTGTATTCTTACTATGGGCTCAGAATCAAGGCTGGTCTGGTATTGAAACGACTTCATTGTCTGTGGAAAACCTGTGGTTCATTGTCTCACCCTGAGATGATTAAGTACACGGGCACACACGTGGAGTAGGTTAAGGAGAGGAAAGTTTAATAGACAAAAAAGAAGAGAGAAAAAGTTTCCTCATGATGAGAAAGCCGGTGGCCCAAGAGAGGGTTTCCGGGTTTTGGGGCAGAACACGATTGATTTTGTACAGAGGCTTGAGGAGGCGGTGATTGATTTACATAGAGCCCAGGGGATTGGTTTCACCAGGTGTGTCATTTACATAGCCTGCAAAAAGACCTAAAAGACTGGCCCTCCCACCCTAATCTTTTATTATGCAAATGTGGCTTCTACCTGGCTGTCACCCTGACACCTGCACACATGGCTTTACCTGGCCAGTGCTGTGATACCCACACACATGGTGATAAGGAAAAGGGAGCGGGAATCGCCACATTGAATGTATCTGGCTTCCAGGTACAGCTGCTGACATTTACATACGAAAGCTTCCAGCTTGCATATCTGTGCTTGCAGCTTGACTTTTCAGGCTGCTTCTGTTAGAAAAGAAATGGTTTGGGGCTGCTTTTTATTAAAGGAAAATTCCACCGAGGACTGTTTTACCATTTCTTATTTTTTTTTCTTTTTTCTTTTTGAGACAGAGTTTCACTCTTGTCGCCCAGGCTGGAGTGCCACGGCACAATCTTGGCTCACTGCAACCTCCGCCTCCCAGGTTCAAGTGATTCTTCTGCCTCAGCCTCCTGAGTAGCTGAGATTACAGGCATGCACCACCACGCCTAATTTTATATTTTCAGTAGAGACGAGGTTTTACCATGTTGGTCAGGCTGGTCTTGAACTCCTGACCTCAGGTGATCCGCCCATCTCGGCCTCCCAAAGTGCTGGGATTACAAGTGTGAGCCACCGCGCCCAGCCTCTTTTACCCTAACTGCCTAAAATAATTTCTTAATAACTCCTGTATTAGTATTGGAGAAACAAGAAGACATAGAGGATAACAGGAAAGCAGGTGCCATGTGATCATTTCTATATTGGATAGTTGCTAAGTGTAAGGCCCTGTGCAAGATTTTATGCATGCATCATTGAATGAAACAGAGTTCCTGCCCTAGGGGAGGTTACCATCTCCCAGGGAGGATACATTGAACAAGTTAATAAATATTTACAATTTATGGAGAGGTCCAAAAAGAAAGAAAACAGGTGATGTAATGGAAAATAACTGTGTGCTGGTGCTTTGTACAAGGGGTAGTTAGAGGGAGGCCGCTGTAAAATGGTGTCATTTAAGCTGAGATCTGGAGGAAGAAAAGGAAATCACCCATGAGAGTAGGGGAGGTAGGAGTGGGGAAGTGGTGGTGGTAGTTAAAGTGGTGAGGAAGAGGCTTCAGGCTGAGGATTACGGAACTCTGGGAGGGTTGTGGTGATGGAGCCCAGTGAGCAGGGACAAGTGACATGAGCTGAGGTTGATGAGGTAGAGAAGTATCCTTGGGCAAAGGGAAGAAGTTTGGGTTTTATTTAAAATGCAAAGGGGAATCAATGAAGAATTTGAAGCCAAGGGGCCAATTAGGAAACAGGTATGTTTTGGTCATATAATTCTGGCTACTGGGATGGAGTGCCATTGGGTAGGAGACTTGAGGGGAGGGTAGGAGGGAAAGCTGGGCTGCTGATTAGGAAACTTTGCAGTGCTCCAGGTAATAGACAAATGAGGCTTAGTCTAGAATGGCGCCAGTGGAGAGGAGAGAAGTGAACATATTTGACATGTAATTTAGGGGTAGAATGGAAATGGACAGAATGTTCTGAATTGGCTTGACCAGCTGGAAGCATGGCAGTGCCACCACTGAGACTCTCTGGGGGAAAGGTAGGGTGCAAGAATAAAGATAGCTCATTTGCCTTCATTTCCATCCTTACCCAAGAGCTTCACCATGTGAGTTTTCTAACTCAGCTCAATACTTTCTCACTCACTTCAACACTTTCAAACTCCATCTTCAATCCAGAAGTCCCATTCTGGTTTTTTATACCTTCCCCGATTCCTGGAACTCCTTCTCCATCACTACCATTCCCCCTCGTCACTATCACTTCCTCCTGAAATTTGGGCTCCAGCCTTGTTGGAATTCCTGACTCAGACTTTATTGGCTTGCATCTAGGTGAGATTCTAATCCTATTAGATAAATATTCTTTTACTTCCTTTTTTGAAGAAAAATTAGTCATTATTTGCAATTGCGTTTCTAGGAAAGAATGTTTGAGTGTCCAAGCTAATTTAAATATTAAAGTTTTGAAATATTATCTGATTTGCTATATTTATACCCCTACAAATAAACATTTAATAGAATGAAGAGCACTATAAGAACTTTAAAACTATCAATACTTCAAAAAGCAGTCCACTTTAACCTCTTTGCACCAGACACACTCATCTACACTAACAATCAATTAATTAAATTTCATCACATATTGGTTGTCCAATTGTTTCGAATGCTTTAATCTTATCCCCACCCCCCACCAACAAAAAAGAACACTCATTGTAAACAAAGCCCTTGTCGTTATTTGTTTGTATCTCTGGTTAGGGATGCTGAAAATTACTTGTTGAATAGTAAAATTAGAGGAGACAAACTTAAGGAGTAAAAATTGTTCCATAAACAATTGAAAGGTATGAATATTTGATAACGTTTCACATAACCATCCTATTCTGACTTTGAAGGGCAACAATGCCATTTTAAAAAGTAGACCTTATTTTTTATAGCTATTAGGTTCACAGCAAAATAGAGCAAAAGGTACAGAGAGTGCCCATATAGTCCCTGCCTCCTCCACCATCAACACTCTCCCCAGTCCAGAGTGGTGCATTTGTTGCAGTTGATGAACCTACACTGACACATCATTGTCAGTCAAAGTCCGTAGTTTACATTGGAGTTCACTGTTGATGTTATACATTCTATGGGTTTGGACAAATGTATAATGACACGTATCCACCATTATAGTATAATACAGAGTAGTTTCACTGCCCTAAAAGTCCTCTGGTAACCACTGAACATTTTACTATCTCCATAGTTCTTCTTTTTCCAGAATGTTATGTCATTGGAATCATGCAGTAGGTAGCCTTTTCAAACTGGCTTCTCACACTTACTAATATATATTTATCCACTCACTTACTGAAAGACATCTTGGTTGCTTCTAAGTTTTGGCAATTACGAACAAGCTGCTATAAACACCTGTGTGCAGGTTTTTGTGTTGGCCACATATTAACTATAACACTTTAAAATCTGAGATTCATATAATTTCAAAGATATCTGTAGACTCCCAGTACAGTTATGCTCCCATTATCCTTACCAAGTTTGTAAATCTTTGGAACTTTCTAGAATACTTATAATTATGAAGAAATAAGAACAGAATAGTTTGAATAATCATTAAAAGCTTATTATGTAAAAATGTATTTGGGGTCAATGATCAAAGCATGAAAAAATAAAAGTGACTACTTCCTTTGTGAAGTATAGCGGGACTTCTTAATAACAGGGCAATTAACATTCTCATAGAGAGAAGCAATCCATGTATGAAAGGCTTTGTACGTAGTCATTTCAGAGCACATAGTTTGATGAAGGACATAGTCAAATGTATATAATAATGAGCTGTGCTACAAATAATGTTCTCACTTGTGAAATTATTCAAAATTAATCTTTTTTCAACCAATTGTTTAAAACAAAGTAAAAAAAAAGGCCATCACTGGCAGAACATCACGTATTTCAGAGATCTCAAGCATACAAATAAACCAATCTGTGTTGAGACTAACTTTTTATATCTTTATT
Organism: Homo sapiens; assembly: GCF_000001405.40. Taxonomy (NCBI): domain Eukaryota; kingdom Metazoa; phylum Chordata; class Mammalia; order Primates; family Hominidae; genus Homo; species Homo sapiens. The sequence continues at coordinate 158,568,514 of NC_000004.12, read as the reverse complement.
AATTTTTTAAGAACACTTTAAACACCAAGATTTTAAGAAAAATTCTTTAATGAATTAGCCTCCAGCTACAGCTACTTTGAAGATGTTTTAACTGGCCATACCTGCCTGTGTTTTCATGCAGCTCTTTTGAATATTCTTCTCCACATAACTTTTCTGAATATTATCTTTTTATGTCCAGTCTTTAAAATTTATATTTAGTGGCAGATATAGCTCCTCAATGATTGTATTGTGTCCGGAATTGGTGGGTTCTTGGTCTCACTGACTTCAACAATGAAGCCGCAGACCCTCGCGTTGAGTGTTAACAGTTCTTAGAAGCAGCGAGTCTAGAGTTCTGATGTTCGGATTTGTTTGGAGTTTCTTCCTTCTGGTGGGTTCGTGGTCTCACTGGCTCAGGAGTGAAGCTGAAGGCCTTTGTGGTGAGTATTACAGCTCATAAAGGCAGTGTGTTCGGAGTTGTTCATTCCTCCCAGTGGGTTCGTGGTCTTGATGGCTTCAGGAGTGAAGCTTTATACCTTAGAGGTGAGTGTTACATCTCATAAAAGCAGTGTGAATCCAAAGCGTGAGCAGCTGCAAGATTTATTGCAACGAGCAAAAGAACAAAGCCACCACAAGCTGGAAGGAGACCCGAGCGGGTTGCCACTGCTGACTTGGGCAGCCTGCTTTTATTCCCTTATCTGGCCCCACCCACATCCTGCTGATTGGTCCGTTTTACAGAGAGCCGATTGGTCTGTTTTACAGAGAGCTGATTGGTCTGTTTTGACAGGGTGCTGATTGGTGTGTTTACAATCCCTGAGCTAGACACAAAAGTTCTCCACGTCCCCACTAGATTAGCTAGATACAGAGTACCAATTGGTGTATTTACAAACCCTGAGCTAGACACAGAGTGCTGATTGGTGCATTCACAAACCTTGAGCTAGATACAGAGTGCCGATCGGTGCATTCACAATCCCTTAGCTAGACATAAAGGTTCTCCAAGTCCCCACCAGATTAACTAGATATGGAGTGCTGATTGGTGCATTCACAAACCCTGAGCTAGACACAGGGTGCTGATTGGTGTGTTTACAAACCTTGAGCTAGATACAGAGTGCTGATTGGTGTATTTACAATCCCTTAGCTAGACATAAAGATTCTCCAAGTGCCCACCAGACTCAGGAGCCCAGCTGGCTTCACTCAGTGGATCGCTCACAGGGGCTGCAGGTGGAGCTGCCTGCCAGTCCCGGCCGTGCGCCCACACTTCTCAACCCTAGGGCAGTCAATGGGACTGGGTGCCCTGGAGCAGGGGGCCATGGTCGTCGGGGAGGCTCCGGCTGTGCAGGAGCCCAAGGCGGGGTGAGAGGGAGGCTCAGGCATGGTAGGCTGCAGGTCCCGAGCCCTGCCAAGCGGGGAGGCAGCTAAGGCCCCACGAGAAATCCAGCACAGCAGCTGCTGGCCCAGGTGCTAAGCCCCTCACTACCCCTGACTGGCGGGCCGGCCGGCCACTCCGAGTGCTGGCCACAGAGCCCATGCCCACCCGGAACTGGCGCTGGCCTGCAAGCGCTGCACGCAGCCCTGGTTCCTGCCTGCCCCTCTCCCTCCACACCTCCCCGCAAGCTGAGGGAGCCGGCTCTGGCCTTGGCCAGCCCAGAAAGGGGCTCCCACAGTGCAGCGGTGGGCTGAAGGGCTCCTCAAGCCCGGCCAGAATGGGCGCCAAGGCGAGGGGGTGCCGAGAGCGAGCGAGGGCTGCAAGGGCTGCCAGCACGCTGTCACCTCTCGGTATCATGAAATTAGTTCTACATTTTCATAACATTATGATTCAACAGCTATATCAGGAATCTTAAATATTTTAAAGTGATATTTTAAAAGTAACTTTTGGGCCGGGTGTGGTGGCTTATGCCTGTAATCCCAGCACTTTGGGAGGTTGAGGTGGGCAGATATCTGAGGTCAGGAGTTGGAGACCAGCCTGGCCAACGTGGTGAAACCTCATCTCTACTAAAAATGCAAAAGGTTAGCTGGGTGTGATGGCGGGCGCCTGTAATCCCAGCTACTCGGGAGGCTGAGGCAGGAGAATCACTTGAACCCTGAAGGTGGAGGTTGCAGTGAGCCGAGATTGCACCACTGCACTCCAGCCTCGGCAACAAGAGCGAAACTCTCAAAAAAAAAATTTTGAGATAATTTTAAAATTTTGAGATAATCTCAAACTGAGAAGTTGCAAGTATTGGATAAAGAACATTTCCCCACCACCCCACCATTTGAAAGTAAGTTTTTGACCTGATGCTCTAGCACCCTTAAATACTTTAGTATTTCCTACAAACAAGAATATTTTCCTATGTAAATAGAACCATTAAAATCAGGAATTTAACATGGAGTTGTTACTACCACTTAAACCTCAGAACCCATTAAAGTTTATATATTGCCCCTGCAAAATGTCCTTTGTAGTAAAAGGATCTGGTTTGGAATCGCTCCTTGCATTTAATTGTCACATTTCTTTAGCCTCTTTTCATTTTCATGGCCTTGACCCTTGAAAAATGCAAGTCAATTATTTTGTAGAATGTTCCTGAATTTGGGTTGTCTGATGTCCATCATAATTAGATTCAGGTTATGCATCTTTGGCATAAAATTCACACAAGTGATGCTCATTTCAACCTGTCAGGTAGTACAAGATATTAATTTTTTCCATTAGTGGTTTCACCCAAATTCCTTTGTAATTAATACATATTTTGTAGAGGGGTACTTTGAAACTGCAAAAGTCCCTTTCCTCATCAAAGTGTTAATTTATTCATTTACTTATTTCTATCAGGTAGACTTATGGCTTCCTATTTTGTTCAATGGGTTACAATCTGTTGATTATTATTATGTATTCTGATGTGCAAGTTGTCTCAAATTGGACCAGTAGGAACTCTTTTAACCTAGCTTTGGTGTCTTTGTAATATTTATGCATCATTTTTTGAGCACTCTTCCTTGCTTTCTGGCACTACAAGATGTTTCAGGATCATCTTGCATTTTCCCTGCTATAGCCCTGTAACTAGCCATTTCTCTAAGGAGCTCTGGGTCCTCTCTGGGTAGAATGGTATTTAGAAGCCAAGATGTAGACACAAGGTAAGCTCACTGATAGTGGAGTATCACTGCCACCAGGTCTCTCAGTGGACAGACTAGGAAATATATGTATGGTTATTCATACATACACACATTTCCATCTGTATTAATTTCTCTGTATATTTCTAATACTGAAAACTATGAGTTCATCTCCAGTTCTTATCCAACACTACAGGCTCAGTCTAATTTTCTCCCTTTACATATCTGTTACTCCCTTTCCTGACAGTGAGAGAAGCTTGCTTTCTATTAACTTAATATATTTATTATCTTGACAGATCCTCTTTCCTGCATGGATGCTCTCCTCGCCTTACTCAGTGCAGACTCTCACTTACATGAGCACTCTCCCCACCCTGTTTAGGACCAGGCACCAGCCCCCTCTAAGGATGCCCTTCTCACCCCAGTGGAACTCCGAAATTCTTCTCTGGACCACTACTCTGTCACACTCAACACAGAAAAATACCTCCTTCTGATCCACCAAATGGCTTTAGAACTCAATTGTTTAGGAACAGAAGTAGAAAGGCAAGGGGCCAGTAAGTGATGTTTATAGGGAAACGTTGGGAAAGTAAAAAACAAAAAGCATTTCCTTTTTAGCATGGAACCATATCTTTAAGAACAGCAATAATTCACAGTGCAATAACACAAATCAATAGAAAAAATGATATTGAGTCCCTCTGGAAAAGTATGCCCAAAGAGTTACAGAAGTAATAGTTCCTAGAAGAGCAAGTAAACATGCTCTCGTTGTGTAACCCAGCTATCCATCTGCCCTGAATGCTGTTTTAGTCCTGAACCAGCCTAAATATTTCAGTGGTTCACAATTTTTTTTAAGTGGTTGACAATTTTGAGAGGGTGAGAGACAACAGAGTTTATATTTCAGTACAAATTATCTTAACTATCCTCTTTAGACTGACAGTTGTCATGGAGTCTCTCTGGCTTGGAGGATGAAAAGGATTCAGCTTTTCCAGCACTGAGTTTCCAGCCTCCCTGGCTGCCACTGTTCTCAAGGTTTGGATCTGCCCTCAGCTCCTGTATCTTTTATTTATTTCTCATGCAGAGTAATTTAGTCTTCTTCCAAATATTTGTATAACCACAGGTAGGTGTTTAGATCTGCTTATAAGACAGTAGGGATTGTATATAACAATTTAAAAATGTCCCCCACCCCTGTACCCTGGTAGCTTTTCCAAAATATCTCTACATGTGGAACTGTCAGGATATGGGGTAAAATATGAAAACATATTGTTATGGGAATGTGAACGATCACCAGTTGCATTGAATAGGGTCCTTCAGGTATGGCTGGAATGCCAACTTTTGAATAGTTTAGTGTTGGAATTGTCATATTTATGACTCCTAAAGGCTGTAAATTGGGTAGCCCAATAACAAAATTTCTAAGATCAGACCTTACATTAAGTTTTTTTTAAAGTAATTGTGCTTTTATAATGTTATAACAGTATATAATTATGTTTTATATATACATATGTTATATATTATAACATTTATATATAACATGTTATACATTATATATTATGTTATGTTATATATATAATATGTTATATAATATGTAACATTATATTATATATAACATTATATAATATAATGTTATAACATTATAATGTTATAATGGCTACAATGTCACTAGGTGATAGGAATTTTTTGGCTCCATTGTAATCTTATGGGATCGCTGTCATATACAGGGTCTGTTCCATTGCTAACTGAAATGTTTTATGAGTATATGTTACAACTCTGTAAGTTGTAGAATACTTATAGTAACGCAAATGATTTATTGTTGATAGAAATGCAGATTATATGTGACAGATAGATGCAGATTGTGAGATACATTGATTATTGCCCCATAGATTATTGGTCTCTTTTGCATGTGTTAATCAGATTTATTTCAGTATTCCTGTTGGGGTGTGTGTGTGTGTGTGTGTGTGTGTGTGTGTGTGTGTGTGCATTGAATTCTCCTTTGAATTATTTGTAACATCTTACTGGTTCCCTCATTAGTAAATGAATTAAAGTCTTTGAGGTCTTTGAGACATTTTTATTTTATATTTATATGAATATCATGATTTTACCTCATCTTCCTTCTCCTTTCACTTCTACTTCTTTTTAAATTATCTTTTAACAGGTGTGGGGACCCACTCAGAACCCCAGAGTTGGTACAAAGATCATTTTAAGGTGAAGACATTTGAGAATCAACAGATGCCAGATGCAGAAAGAAGCTTTCTCAGAGTTTCCCTTATCTGACTAAAATCTGAAACTTCTGGGAAATAATCCTTCCCTAAATTCCCTCTTTTGGGTGAGTCTACTCCCAGGAAAGAGACTGACAGTAAACCTGTCATAAATCCCTTCCCTGGGGAAACTCATATCCTTAAAGGATGGATAGGCTACATGCGCCTGCATAAAGAAACATCATCACAAACTTTATCTCCTGTTTTTTCTTCTAAAAATCCCCTTGTCCTTCCTAAAGAAATGATTTTCTTCCCATGGAAGGCTTTTCTTCCTCTCCCTTTCCCCTACTTAGGAATATTAGCCTCTAACTTTAACTGTTTGGCAAGCTAGCTATTACTTTAGTTAGCTGCCATATGCATACAAATCAGCCTCTTGTTGGTTTAATTTGCAGGTTCCCAGTCCTTGAGCATAAGGGCAAAGAAAAAGTGTTTCCTCTGGGAAACTTGAACACAGGGGATGTGTACTTTAAGATCAACTGCCCCGGATGGGTGTGCACTCGGGGTTCCTTTAACAAAAGCTTCAGGTGGAATCATCCCAGTTATAGGAAACTCAAGATATATATCCTGGTAAAAAAAATTGTTGGCTCAAAAGTAACCTCAGCTTGTTTGAGATGAAACTCTTGTTGATCTGTTATGATAAAATTCTCCCCTTAATAAATATGTGTATTTTTTTTTTTTTTTTTTTTTTTTTTTTGAGACGGAGTCTCGCTCTGTCGCCCAGGCTGGAGTGCAGTGGCGGGATCTCGGCTCACTGCAAGCTCCGCCTCCCGGGTTCACGCCATTCTCCTGCCTCAGCCTCCCAAGTAGCTGGGACTACAGGCGCCCGCCACTACGCCCGGCTAATTTTTTGTATTTTTAGTAGAGACGGGGTTTCACCGTTTTAGCCGGGATGGTCTCGATCTCCTGACCTCGTGATCCGCCCGCCTCGGCCTCCCAAAGTGAAATATGTGTATTTTAAACTGTGATAAATTTTAGAATATAGAGACAATAAAATTAATCAAATGTATAGTGTTGGCATTATATTTTAATGTGAGAATAACCCGTGTTTATTGGGGGGTTGGAGTGTTTTTTATGATTAAGAGAATTAGGCAATTAAGGAATAACAGATGAACCTACTAATTTCAACTTAAAACAGGCAATTAAGTTCAAACTTGTGATTTTACGTTGTAAGAGAATTTAAGTGTATAAGCAGCACTGGACTATTTAAGGTAACTTGACATTTACTATATTTAAAATACGTTTTATTGGATTTTCTAAAGTTTTTAAGCATGCATTTAAAATACAGGTTGAGGCCGGGTGCAGTGGCTCACACCTGTAATCCCAGCACTTTGGGAGGCCGATGTGGGCAGATCACTTGAGGTCAGGAGTTCTAGACCAGCCTGGCCAACATGGTGAAACCCTGTCCCTACTAATAATACAAAAATTAGCCGAGCATGGTAGCACACGCCTGTAATCCTGGCTACTCAGGAGACTGATGCACAAGAATCACTTGAACCCGGGAGGTGGAGGTTGCAGTCAGACGAGATCACACCACTGCACTCCAGCCTGGGTGACAGAGTGAGACTCTGTCTCAAAAAAAAAAAAAAAAAAAGAAAAAAAGAAAAAAATACAGATTGTGTATTTCTTATTCAAAATGCTTGGAAACATAAGAGTTTTAGATTTCAGATTTTTTCAGATTTTGGAATATTTGCAAATGCATTCTCAGATATTTTGGAAAATGAAATCCAAATCTAAACACAAAATTTATTTGTTTCATATATACTTTATACACATGGCCTGATAGTAAGTTTATACAATATTAAAATGATTTTATGCATGAAACAATTTTGACTGCATTTTGGCTGCAACCAATTACATTAGGTCAGGTGTGGAATTTTCCACTGTGGCATCTTGTGAGTGCTCAAGAAGTTTCAGAGTTTGAAACATTTCGGATTTCAAAATTTCAGATTAGGGATAATCCACTTGTATTTCAAATAAAATTAATCATTACATTTAAGATGCTGTTTAAAACAGTTCATTATTCTTTGTCTTGAATGAGACTGGTTAAGTTCAATTTTTTCAACTTGAGTTAAACATTTATAAACTAAAAAGTGAAGGAGATTGGTTTTATTTTACAAGATTTATAAGTAGAAAATAGGTTTGTAAATTGAAGTTAAAGGCTGAAGGCAAACACGGTTTTTGAATTTGTTACTATAATAAATGCATTATTAATTTTAAACCCAAGTATAATAAACACTGTTCGTTTGTTGATTCAACAGTGATTCCCAAAACCCTTCTCTCTTGCTGCCCTTCCGTTAAAGAAGTTGGAAAGCAAAATACTTTCTTTCCCAGCTGGCCGGCTTCTTGGTGTCTAAGGGGCACAGTTCCGACCAGTGAGACGTGGGCAGACATCTGCTGAGGAAGTCCTGGAGGTGCTAGCTTTCTTGACACAAGAGATGGATGGGGCTGTTGTCTTCCACTTTCTTTCTGCCTTGAACATGATGGGATGATCGTGTGAAACTGCAGCAACAGTTTTGCATCTATGAGGCAACACACGTGCTGGCAAGACCAAGGAAACCCACAGATACCTACAAAATGCCAACCCGGGAATCATCAGGCTACTCAGACTCCTCTTTAGGTGAGAAAAATAAACGCTTCTTTGTTTAGGCCATGCCGGGTCAGGTTTTCTTTTGTTGCAAGAAAGTGAATTCCTAACTGATACATCGAGAAACTCCGAAGTGTCCTTTCTGCAGAGTCATTCCAGACATGAAAAAGCTCATGTTGGCAATTTACTTGAAAGGGTGATTGAAGGAGTAAGTGAAAGACTGATGGGGCATGTAGGGACAGCAATAGAAGGAGTCCATGCTATCTGAGCCTCAGGTGTGAACTGCCATACAAATGCCTTCAGGCTTGGTGGGATGAGTGGTCCCTGTTGGGCTGATTGGGAAAAAAATCATCCCTGAGCTATCAAATCTTTCTCTGGGACTCAGTCTACTGGAAGCCCCAAGAGAAATGTCTGGGAAGTAAAAAGATGGCTTACGGTGTGGAGATATTGTTGGGACTGATATGTAGACAATACTTTATGTGATGTGCTCAGTGTAATAGGATGGTCTCAGGCAGCCTGCCAGCTTCATTACCTGCAGCTACCTGGGTTAGTCACATCCATGCAGCTGAAGGAGAAAAAGCCAGAGGAAAGCTTTCCATCCTTTTTCTTCCTGCAGACATTATGTAAACTTTCCTGGAATAGGAGAATAGAAGTTGTCTTTACTCTTTGGGAAAGAAGTCCTTACTGAGTAAAATAACTTGTAAACATTTTATAACTTGGTGTTACATGAATGTATATTCATAGTTCTGATGTTTCTCTGACCTAAGGTTAAATAGTTTGATTTCACCTATCAAGCTTATGGAAATTCACTAATATCAGTGCAACAGTCAGAAGTACTTAACAGAAAAATTATTGTAGAATTGTGTAAAGATACCAATTTGCCATTGAAAAGACAACTGCAATTCTATGAAGAATTTCTACCTTCCTAGTTTGCGTGATACCATCTTGTGCTTCACATTAAAGTAGAAAAAAGTGGCTTTTTTGTCGTAAATACATCAACCATAAAATTATAACTCACGGATGCTTGTCTTAATATTGGATAAGTAATAGGTATATGAAAAAATTTTTTAAATCACATCTATTCCTGGTATAGGGGAAAAAAGCTCAGTATTGGGAATCAATGCAGCGGGGCAGGGGGGTCTAGCCTTTATTTGTCACCTTTCTAGATCTGTGACCTTCAGTAAATTTTTTGAGCTTAAGTTTCATCATCTGGAAAATAAGTGGTTACATTCATCTAATGGTATTAAACATGGTTGAATAAAATTAGGGTTTCAGGAAGGTACATCAGTTTTTGCAAGTCTTTGACTAGAATTTTATTTTTATTTTTTTGGAGAAAGGGTCTTGCTGTTGCCCAGGCTGGAGTGCAGTGGCATGATCATAGCTCACTGCAGCCTCTAACTCCTGGCCTTAAGCAATCCTCCTGCCTTGTTCTCCCAAAGTGCTGGGACTACAGGCCCTAGCCACTGTGCCCAGCCAGAATTTTATTTTTCAAAATACATTTCAAACTAAAAATATGATAGTAAAGGCACATATAACTTTGTTAAATATGTAAAAATTTTAACACAGTGTAAGTGGTCAACATTTTAACTTATGCAACCAGATTAACCTTTTTTTGTAAACACAGATCTTGAATAAGCATCTTTCCAGCTTTGTTTAAATGAAGAGTGAGATTTCAAAATCTGTTGAGGCTAATATTACGACAGCTGTCACTTAAAATTTTTGTGTTCATATTTGGTTGTATTGTTGATTGATTCTATAATAAATATATTATTTGAATGTACTGAGTAGTTTTAAAAATACTGATCACTTAGCTTGCTTCTTCAATTACACTCTTTCATGTCTACAGCTTTTCTGTACCCAAAAGCTATTTTTTCTATACATGACCAGCAGCAGCCTCGTTTAGAATTTATATCAATTCAGGATTTCTCAGGCCTTCAAAATCTATGTTAAGTTTTGATTATCAAATGTATTTTATACAACTTCCCTAAGGTTTTGATATATTTCTCATAGGGGTGAATATATACCTTGCTTAAGACTATATATCTTTTGTGGCTCCCCACCAACCAAGAACATTTGGTTCAGCTTTATTTTTTTGTAGTTATTAAGGAAAGAATGAGGAATGGTTTTCCCAAACATATATTTATATTAAAATATTGAATATGCTATGCCAAACCACATGTGCCCTACTCTACCCATTGCTCAATTCCAATAGGCTACTCTCTACTGAGAATCTCTGTTTAGATGACTGTGTGTTGTTTGGCTATGAATAAGGAAGGCTCAATGATTTGCTGATATGAAGTTTAATTGGAGGAAGCAACTACCTGCCACTGTTTCTGTGTTCCTCCCGGCTGTGTGTGCATTTGCAAATGTATGCACCAAGCATTAGAGCACACAGAATGAGGACACCAATGAGGAAGGTGATGGCTTCATTTGAATAATTTTTCCTGCTTATTTAAAAAGTAAACTTATTTACTCCTAAAGGTGAGAACAAGTTCCTTCTCAGATCAAGAACAAACAGGTGAGATAGAAAAGTTTAACAAAATGGTATGTAATGCAGGTATTAGTAGGCTTACCTTGTAGGAAAAATGTGTGGCTTAGTAGATATATTTCTCAAGATGTTTTGAAGGCTTTCTGATCAAATCAATGAAATATTTAATATATCTGAATATATCTATGCACTAGGAGTTTCTAAGGCACTGGGAGCAGGACATTAATAATTTTAACAGAGATCGAGTAGCAAAAGAAACTCAGAATGGAATTGAAACACCTACTGGAGCTCCAGTGAAGCAGTGGAGTCAGTGAAGGTGACTCCATGACAATGATGAGGCATTTGGCTCTTTTAGCATGGATTAACTTAACACTTAATGTGGATATAAATGCATCTCGCTTTTAGTGATACTTAAAATTAGACTTTTTTTGAATTACAGTTTTTAATTTGAATATTCTCATCTTGTGTAAAAACCATTCATAGGTTGGGCGCAGTGGCTTACGCCTGTAAGCCCAGCTTTGGGAGTCTGAGGCTGGAGGATTCCTTGGAGCCCAGGAATTTGAGGCTGCAGTGAACTCTGATGGTCACAACTGCACTACTGCCCTCCAGCCTAGGTGACAGAGGAGACCCTGCCTCCAAACAAACAAATACACTCATACTTAAAGGAATTTATCAATTAATTAAAAAATTTTCTAACTGAAAAACTACTCCAACTTAGGTGACAGAAGAGACTCTGTCTCTAAACAAACAAACAAACTGATACTTTAAGGAATTTATCAATTAAAAAAATTTCCTAACTGAAAAACTACTCCAACACATACAAACCTAAATTATTAGTTAAAAATTTGAGAGCAACTTGGAAACATGCTTAAACATTTAAATCCCAACAGCAGAAATACTGAAAAATTATTTACTTTAAAAATTGATACATACATATTGTAATTATACATATTTTAAGGATACAATTTGATTTTTCCATATATATCTATGTTATACAATGATTCAATTAGGGTAGTTAGTGTATCCATCATCTCATGTATTTATCATTTCTTTGTGGTGAGAACATTCAAAAGCCTCTCTTCTGGCTATTTCATAATGTATAATAATTTACTGTTAACCATAGTCACTCTACTGTGTAATAGAACACTATAATTTATTCCTTCTATGTAATTGTAACTTTGTATCCTTTGACCAACTTCTCCCCATCCTTCTCTCTGCTCTGGTCACCACTGTTCTACTCTGTATCTATGATATTATGGTATCACCTTTTTAAAATATTTCACATATGAATGCGATCATGCAGAATTTGTCTTTCTGTGTCTGGCTTATTTTACTTATCATAATGTCCACTAGGTTCATCCATGTTGTCACAAATGATAAGATTTAATTCTTTTTTATGGCTGAATATATGTGTGGCTGAACTGTATATCTTTATATGCATATACCACATTTTCTTTTATCCATTATTCTGTTGTCTGAGACTTAGGTTGATTCCTCACCCTGGTTATTGCAAATGGTGCTGCAGTAAATATAAGAGTGCAGATATCTCTTCAACATACTGATTTTATTTCCTTTGAATATATACCCAGGAGTAGGATTGCTGGATCATATGGTAGTTTCATTTTTAATGTTTTGAGGAATCTCCATAGTTTTCCATAATGGCTGCACTAATTTCCTACCAGCAGTGTGTAAGGGTTCCCATTTCTCCACATCCTCGCCAATACTAGTTTTCTTCTGGTTTTTTGATAATAGCCATTCTAACTGGAGTGAGATGATATCTCATTGTGGTTTGATTTGCATTTCCCTGATAATTAGTGATGTTGAGTATTTTTTCATATATCTGTTGGCCATTTGTAGGTCTTTCTTTGAGAAACATCCATTAAGGTCTTTTGTCCATTTTTCAATTTTTTTTTTTTTTTTTGCTGTTAAGTTTCTTATGTATTTTGGATATCAACTCCTTGTCAAATGTACAGTTTGCAAATATTTTCTCCCTTTCTGTAGGTTGTCTTTTCACTCTGTTAATAGTTTCCTTTGCTGTGCAAAAACTTTTCAGTTTGATATAATCCATTTGTCTATTTTTGCTTTTGTTGCCTGTATTTAAGAGGTGTTATTTAAAAAATCTTTGCCAAGCCCAATGTGGTGAAGTATTCCCCTTATGTTTTCTTCTAGTAGTTTCATAGTTTTGCATCTTACATTTAAGTCTTGAATTCATTTTGAGTTGGTTTTTGTATATTGCAAGAGGGAGGGGTGTAATCTCATTCTTCTACATGTGGATATTTTATTTTCCCAGAACCATTTATTGAAAAGACTGTATTTTCTCCAATGTGTGGTCTTGGCACCTTTGTCAAAACTCAGAAATATTTGAAATGAAGCATTTAAATCTTCTTTTCCTTCTGGAAATCCTTTGAAATTAGGTAGATGGAAAAATAGAGGAACAGTCACGTATGCCAATTGCCAAGTGAGACACAAGTATTGAGTGGATATCAGTGGAATCTTTTTTCTAAGAATGAATCATTCTCCTATGACCATAAAATTGTGTGCATTGTATGCATTTCGTGGGGTCTGTGTGAGTGGTGCACAGAGAAGGAAAAAATGCTGTAACCTGTGTGCGGCTATTGCACCTTTCTCTTTGACATTATTTGGGTCCCAATGTAATTCAAAGACCAAAGCCAGAGAGCAAGTACAGGGAAATATTTTTATAATGTGCTTTTGAGTAAATTGCACCCTTTTCATACAGTAAGGTGACTATGCTACGGCTGGTTATCATTTTTGGGAGGAAACATAATTTTACCTGAGTTATATTCAAATCATGAATTCCTGTCTCAGAACTAAAACCTTAAGCGTTTCAATACACATTTCTTGGGAACTAAGTTCTTAGTGACTTATTGGAGTGGAATAAACTAAGTTTTTTACTCTCTTACAGATTTTTGACAGAAATGCAAAAATACTTACAATTTGTATCTAGGGAACTCATGTAAACAATAACTCAGTAAAATTATAACCCCCATTCTGTAACAACATTAAATGTTAATATGGAAAATTTTAATATCATTGCTCTGAAATCAATGCAGTCACTGCATTAAAGGTAGTTTTGTTTACTTAAATTTAAAATAAAGTAAGAGTGTAATTGATAAATTAATTAAAATATTTTCTGCCAAGCATCAGATTTACTTTATTTTTTTAAAGTATTGTGTTTATTTAAGCTTTACAACATGATATTATGAGATACATATAGCTAGTGACATGGTTACAATAGCGGAGCAGATTAAAATATCTATCATTTCTACTTAAAATGTTTATAATGTTTCCGCACAGCTATGACTTTTTCAAGCACTAAGAGTTTAATTATACTCTATGACTTATTTCCAGCATTTGAAGTCCTTTTACGATCCATGAAAAATATTCAATACACCTATTTTTTTTTTTTACATCATTGCCCCCAGTCTCAAAAGTGTGTAAATAATTTGCTAAAATGTCTGGTTAGGAAGTAAAATTAAACAACAAAACACAAAAGAAAACAAAAAAGGAAACCACACACAAACACAATTTGAAAACCAGTTAAACAATTTGAAAAAATGAAGTAGATCTATATCCACTGATATAATAAGTTGTTCAAGGCATATCATTAAGTTACAAAGTATGTTGAAAAATATATAGTTTGCTTTTATTTGTATAAGATAAAAGACATATATGCTTGTGTTTATAAAATTATGGTATGTTAACATGAAACTGCTAGCAGTGGTCGTCTTTGGGAATTTGGACCAAAAATGGCAGAAGAAAGTGGGGATTTTACTTTTCAGTTTATATACTTAGGAAAAATTTGACTTGCTTTTAAAGAGTGAGTATTCTTTTAATAATAAAAAAAAACTCTGACGTTATTTACAGATAATTCAAGAGTGTAAAAATACGGTTTCTTAGCTATAGAGAAAAAATCATTGAATTGTAATATTAGTTTTCTCTAGATATTTTGTAACAAGGTGGGACTAAGCTAGTGGTTCTTAATTGGGGATTATTTTGGACCCAGGGGACATTTGGCAATGTTTGGAGACATTTTTGATTGTCACAACTTGGGGGTTGCTACTGGCATCTAGTAGGTAGAGTGCAAGGATGCTGCTAAGAATTCTTCAATGCACAGGGCAGTTCCCCCAAACAAAGATTTATCTGTCCAAAAATGTCAGCGGTGCCCAGGATGAAAAACCCCGAACAAAGCATTGGCGAATAATCAGTAGGAAACCATTCAATGCCATTTTTCGGGCTTAGAAAGCGATATCCCAAAGTATGGCACTTTAGCATGCTGAGTACTTTGAACTGGAGGACATTAGAAGGGGCTCAGAAGTAAAGTCTCTCTCTGGCCTTCTCCTGCCCTTTTTTCTCCTGTTCCACTTCTTCCCCCAAGGCAGGCCATAGAAACTAGAATCCCTTTCCCCCTAAATCAGTCATAAAACCTAGAAATATGACTCTAACCTTCCCCTGCCTTTCTGTGTAAGAGCTAGCCATAAAGAAATCCTCTGACCTAACTTGTCTGAAAGTAGATAATAAGACATTCCAGAAGGTGGCCTACCCCGTACCTGCACAAATCCCCACAGTGCATCTCTCCACGGGTCACCCTCCTGTCTCTGCTTCCTTGCTGTTGTTATGGATGAGCTGTCTTTGCCTCTGTCCCGTGTCAGTCCTTCACCTGAGCTTCCAGTTCCATCCCCTCTCTCCTACTCAGGACACATTTTAGCAATTCTCCATTTCTCTCTTAAGCATCATCAATGTTTACCTCTTTTTCTGGCTTAGCCCCTGAAAACATGCTGTTGTGTATCCCTTCTTAAAACAGGACAAAATAAAACAAAAATATTTTATTGATTCAATTATCAATTATCCACTTATATCGCCATTTCTTATCTCTCCTTTTTAACAAAACTTGTCAAAAAATTTCCATACTGGTGTCTCTGATATTGTTATTTTTTAAGAGAAAGGATCTTGCTCTATTGTCCAGGCTGGAGTGCAGTGGCATGATCAGAGCTCACTGCAGCCTCAAACCCCTGGGCTCAGGTGATCCTCCCACCCCAGCCTCCCAAGCAGCTGGGACTTCAGCATCATTCCACCACTTATGGCTATTTTTTAATTTTTATTTTTGTAGAGGCAGGGTCTTGCTATGTTGTCTAGGCTGGTCTCAAACTCCTGGGTTCAAGTGATCCTCCTGCTTCAGCCTCCCAGTGTGCTGGGAATACAGATGTGAGCCATAGCACCTAGCCATCTGATATAATTTTTGTGTTTAGCTTTACTTTTGAAGTTTTGGAAATCTGTTGAACATAACATTAACCTCTAGTTGTAAACTGGGGTTCCCATATTGAACAATACGGTGATACCTGTAGGGCCCTTTGAGGGCATTTTTGTCCTAAAAATTTATCACAGACTCTTGCCAACTTTTTATAGTTTTCATTACAATTTTCTACCAGCTGTCACTTCTACTATCATTAATTTGTCTGCCTCTGTAGTCTCACTATTCTAATTCCCATTTCTATTTTGTAACTTGAACCTGCTGTGGCCAAAAACACGGCTACTTGGACATATTACATTTCTATGTGAAAGTAAGCAAATAAGCTCTGAATGAGGGCCTAAAACAAGACGAGATGTTTTTCTTTTTTTTAATGCCTAGGTTTTGAAGAATCAAAGTTTTTGAGGGTCTAGGATAAGTAATTCTCAGATGAGTGAGATGTCATAATCACGAGTTCACATTCAGTAAGCATTTATTGAATAAATGCACATATTTCCCAACACATAAAGTGGCTGAGGTTTCATATTTATACATTTCTAGCCACGGATTTTGTACTTATACATTTCTAGCATCTGTCTCAAATTATGACAAAACTCTTTTCTTGACTATCCAACTATCACATTTTATTCCTACTTACTGGTGTGGTAACAGTCAGTTTTATTGATTTATGCTGGTAGTGCAGCCAAGAAATAAAAATCCTAAATTAAGGGCAGTTGTATTTCTTCTTAACAGCATTTCCATTTCACACCTTATTTCCATTCCTACTGCCTCAACTGTGATTCTAATCTGTATTCACATCTAGATAACACATTTTTAATAACTTCCTTTGTGACACTTCAGCCTTATTGTCAAAGTGTCCCCAACTGGTCTCAATATACTTTTCTGTTTTTTGAGTGGGTCTTTATTTTTTAAAAATTTCTTTATTTTTATTTATTTTTGTAACAAGGTCTCACTGTGTCACCCAGGCTGGAGTAACCAGTGTGTGATCTCGGCTCACTGCAGCCTTGACCTCCTGGGCTCAAGCAATCCTCCTACCTCAGCCTCCTGAGTAGCTGGGACTACAGGCACATGCCACCATACCTGGATAAATTTTTATATTTTTTGTAGAGACAGGGTTTCACTATGTTGCCCAGGCTGGTCTCGAATTCCTGGGATCAAGCATACTTTCACCTCGGCCGCTCAAAGTGCTGGGATTACAGGCATGAGCCACAGTGCCCAGCCTATATTTATTTATTTATTTTTAATTGAGAAATAAAAGTTGTACATATTTATGGTGTACAATGTGGTTTTTTGATATATGTATACATTGTGAAATGATTAAATCAAACCAATTAACATAATCATCATCTTATATGCTAGCATTTTTTTGTGGTGAGAACATTTAAAATCTACTCTCTTAGCAATTTTTAAGTGTACAACACATTATTACTAACTATAGTCACCATGCTGTACGACAGATCTCTGGAACTGATTTTTTAATTCTTATTTGTTTCAGTCACTTGCTTGGTCCTTCAACAAAGAGAAGTGTAAGAAACCTCACATTTTTTGGCCAACATCTCTCCATTTTTCCCCAGACCCTGGTACTCCCCACTCGACTCTCTACTTCTATGAGTTTGGCTACTTCACATCCTACATATAAAAAGGATCTTGCAGTAGTTGTCTCTCTGTGCCTGGCTTATTTCACATAGCATAATGCTGTCTAGGTTCATCCATGTTGTCACAAATGCCAGAGTTTCTTTCCTTTAAAAGGCTGAATAATATCCCATTATGTATATATACCACATTTTCATTATCCATCATCTGTTGATGGACACTTAGGTCCACAACCCAGTTTTAAAACTTAATAGTCCGTTACATTGACTCCTTTCATGTTGGTCAGTAGTTGCTTTTTTTTTTCTTCATGTTTTAGAGCATTTAATATGTTTTAGGTACCAGGCTAAGCACTTTGCATGCCTTGTTTCACTTTATCTTCATAAAACTCCATTAAATAAGTTCTAATATTATCATGATTTTATAGTTTAGGAAGCTAAAGCATAGAGGAATAAATTGCTTGGATATCATGGAACCAGTAAGTGGTGGAAATGGGATTCAGATGCAGATCCGTCTGATTCCAGAACACGTGTTCTTAACCAATGTGCCTTTACTAATTCCCCATATAGACTAGCTTATGAGCCCTGAAAGGTTATTGATGTTTCTACCTCCCTTTTTTGGACTCATGGCAGTGTTCCTGAATATCTTCTTTTTCACCTATTTAGATCTTACCCTTTAAGATCAAGGTCAGGGGTGGAGCCAAGATGGCTGAATAGGAACAGCTCCGGTCTACAGCTCCCAGCCTGAGCAATGCAGAAGATGGGTGATTTCTGCATTTCCATCTGAGGTACCGGGTTCATCTCACTAGGGAGTGCCAGACAGTGGGTGCAGGTCACTGGGTGCAGCGCACCAGGTGTGAGCCGAAGCAGGGCGAGGCATTGCCTCACACGGGAAGTGCAAGGAGTCAGGGAGTTCCCTTTCCTAGTCAAAGAAAGCGGTGACAGACAGCACCTGGAAAATTGGATCACTTCTACCCTAATACTGTGCTTTTCCAACGGGCTTAAAAAATGGCACACCAGGAGATTATATCCCACACATGGCTCGGAGGGTCCTATGCCCACGGAGTCTCGCTGATTGCTAGCACAGCAGTCTGAGATCAAACTGCAAGGCAGCAGAGAGGCTGGGGGAGGGCCTCCTGCCATTGCCCAGGCTTGATTAGGTAAACAAAGCAGCTGGGAAGCTTGAACTGGGTGGAGCCCACCACAGCTCAAGGAGGCCTGCCTGCCTCTGTAGGCTCCACCTCTGGGGGCAGGGCACAGACAAACAAAAAGACAGCAGTAACCTCTGCAGGCTTAAATATCCCTGTCTGACAGCTTTGAAGAGAGTAGTGGTTCTCCCAGCATGCAGCTGGAGATCTGAGAATGGGCAGACTGCCTCCTCAAGTGGGTCCCTGACCCCCAAGCAGCCTAACTGGGAGGCACCCCCCCAGTAGGGGCAGACTGACACCTCACACGGCCGGGTACTCCTCTGAGACAAAACTTCCAGAGGAACAATCAGGCAGCAGCATTTGCAGTTCACCAAGATCCGCTGTTCTACAGCCACTGCTGCTGATACCCAGGCAAACAGGGTCTGGAGTGGACCTCTAGCAAACTCCAACAGACCTGCAGCTGAGGGTCCTGTCTGTTAGAAGGAAAACTAACAAACAGAAAGGACATCCACACCAAAAACCCTCTGTACATCACCATCATCAAAGACCAAAAGTAGATAAAACCACAAAGATGGGGAAAAAACAGAGCAGAAAAACTGGAAACTCTAAAAAGCAGAGCGCCTCTCCTCCTCCAAAGGAACGCAGCTCCTCACTAGCAACGGAACAAAGCCGGACGGAAAATGAGTTTGACGAGCTGAGAGAAGAAGGCTTCAGACGATCAGACTACTCCAAACTACAGGAGGAAATTCAAATCAATGGCAAAGAAGTTAAAAACTTTGAAAAAAAATTAGATGAATGGATAACTAGAATAACCAACACAGAGAAGTCCTTAAAGGAGCTGATTGAGCTGAAAGCCAAGGCTCGAGAACTACGTGAAGAATGCAGAAGCCTCAGGAGCCGATGCGATCAACTGGAAGAAAGGGTATCAGTGATGGAAGATGAAATGAATGAAATGAAGCGAGAAGGGAAGTTTAGAGAAAAAAGAATAAAAAGAAACGAACAAAGCCTCCAAGAAATATGGGACTATGTGAAAAGACCAAATCTACGTCTGATTGGTGTACCTGAAAGTGATGGGGAGAATGGAACCAAGTTGGAAAACACTCTGCAGGATATTATCCAGGAGAACTTCCCCAATCTAGCAAGGCAGGCCAACATTCAGATTCAGGAAATACAGAGAACGCCACAAAGATACTCCTCGAGAAGAGCAACTCCAAGACTCATAATTTTCAGATTCACCAAAGTTGAAATGAAGGAAAAAATGTTAAGGGCAGCCAGAGAGAAAGGTCGGGTTACCCACAAAGGGAAGCTCATGAGACTAACAGCTGATCTCTCGGCAGAAACTCTACAAGCCAGAAGAGAGTGGGGGCCAATCTTCAACATTCTTAGAGAAAAGAATTTTCAACCCAGAATTTCATATCCAGCTAAACTAAGCTTCAAAAGTGAAGGATAAATAAAATCCTTTACAGACAAGCAAATGTTGAGAGATTTTGTCACCACCAGGCCTGCCCTAAAAGAGCTCCTGAAGGAAGCACTAAACAAGGAAAGGAACAACCAGTACCAGCCACTGCAAAACCATGCCAAAATGTAAAGACCATCAAGGCTAGGAAGAAACTGCATCAACTAACGAGCAAAATAACCAGCTAACATCATAATGACAGGACCAAACACACACATAACAATATTAACTTTAAATGTAAATGGGCTAAATGCTCCAATTAAAAGACACAGACTGGCAAATTGGATAAAGAGTCCAGACCCATCAGTGTGCTGTATTCAGGAAACCCATCTCACATGCAGAGACACACATAGGCTCACAATAAAGGGATGGAGGAAGATCTACCAAGCAAATGGAAACCAAAAAAAGGCAGGGGTTGCAATCCTAGTCTCTGATAAAACAGACTTTAAACCAACAAAGATCAAAAGAGACAAAGAAGGCCATTACATAATGGTAAAGGGATCAATTCAACAATAAGAGCTAACTATCCTAAATATATGTGCACCCAATACAGGAGCACCCAGATTCATAAAGCAAGTCCTTAGTGACCTACAAAGAGACTTAGGCTCCCACATAATAATAATGGGAGACTTTAACACCCCACTGTCAACATTAGACAGATCAACGAGACAGAAAGTTAACAAGGATACCCAGGAATTGAACTCAGCTCTGCACCCAGCAGACCTAATAGATATCTACAGAACTTTCCACCCCAAATCAACAGAATATACATTTTTTTCAGCACCACACCACAGCTATTCCAAAATTGACCACATAGTTGGAAGTAAAGCACTCCTCAGCAATTGTAAAAGAACAGAAATTATAACAAACTGTCTCTCAGACCACAGTGCGATCAAACTAGAACTCAGGACTAAGAAACTCACTCAAAACTGCTCAACTACATGGAAACTGAACAACTTGCTCCTGAATGACTATTGGGTACATAATGAAATGAAGGCAGAAATAAAGATGTTCTTTGAAACCAACGAGAACAAAGACACAACATACCAGAATCTCTGGGATGCATTCAAAGCAGTGTGTAGAGGGAAATTTATAGCACTAAATGCCCACCAGAGAAAGCAGGAAAGATCCAAAATTGACACCCTAACGTCACAATTAAAATAACTAGAAAAGCAAGAGAAAACACATTCAAAAGCTAGCAGGAAGCAAGAAATAACTAAAGTCAGAGCAGAACTGAAGGAAATAGAGACACAAAAAACCCTTCAAAAATTTAATGAATCCAGGAGCTCGTTTTTTGAAAGGATCAACAAAATTGATAGACAGCTAGCAAGAGTAATAAAGAAGAAAAGACAGAAGAATCAAATAGATGCAATAAAAAATGATAAAGGGCATATCACCACCGATCCCACAGAAATACAAACTACCATCAGAGAATACTACAAACACCTCTACACAAATAAACTAGAAAATCTAGAAGAAATGGATAAATTCCTCAAAACATACACCCCCCCAAGACTAAACCAGGAAGAAGTTGAATCTCTAAATAGACCAATAACAGACTTTGAAATTGTGGCAATAATCAATAGCTTACCAACCAAAAAGAGTCCAGGACCAGATGGATTCACAGCCGAATTCTACCAGAGGTACAAGGAGGAACTGGTACCATTCCTTCTGAAACTATTCCAATCAATAGAAAAAGAGGGAATCCTCCCTAACTCATTTTATGAGGCCAGCATCATCCTGATACCAAAGCCGGGCAGAGACACAACCAAAAAAGAGAATTTTAGACCAACATCCTTGATGAACATTGATGCAAAAATCCTCAATAAAATACTGGCAAACCGAATCCAGCAGTACATCAAAAAGCTTATCCACCATGATCAAGTGGGCTTCATCCCTGGGATGCAAGGCTGGTTCAACATATGGAAATCAATAAACGTAATCCAGCATATAAACAGAACCAAAGACAAAAACCATGATTATCTCAATAGATGCAGAAAAGGCCTTTGACAAAATTCAACAACCCTTCATGCTAAAAACTCTCAATAAATTAGGTATCGATGGGATGTATCTCAAAATAATAAGAGCTATCTATGACAAACCCACAGCCAATATCATACTGAATAGACAAAAACTGGAAGCATTCCCTTTGAAAACTGGCACAAGACAGGGATGCCCTCTCTCACCATTCCTATTCAACATAGTGTTGGAAGTTCTGGCCAGGGCAATTAGGCAGGAGAAGGAAATAAAGGGCATTCAATTAGGAAAAGAGGAAGTCAAATTGTCCCTGTTTGCAGATGACATGATTATATACCTAGAAAACCCCATTGTCTCAGCCCAAAATCTCTTTAAGCTGATAAGCAACTTCAGAAAAGTCTCGGGATACAAAATCAATGTATGAAAATCCCAAGCATTCTTATACACCAATAACAGACAAACAGAGAGCCAAATCATGAATGAACTCCCATTCACAATTGCTTCAAAGAGAATAAAATACCTAGGAATCCAACTTACAAGGGATGTGAAGGACCTCTTCAAGGAGAACTACAAACCACTGCTCAATGAAATAAAAGAGGATACAAACAAATGGAAGAACATTCCATGCTCATGGATAGGAAGAATCAATATCGTGAAAATGGCCATACTGCCCAAGGTAATTTATAGATTCAATCCCATCCCCATCAAGCTACCAATGACTTTCTTCACAGAATTGGAAAAAACTACTTTAAAGTTCATATGGAACGAAAAAAGAGCCCACATTGCCAAGTCAATCCTAAGCCAAAAGAACAAAGCTGGAGGCATCACGCTACCTGACTTCAAACTATACTACAAGGCTACAGTAACCAAAACAGCATGGCACTGGTACCAAAACAGAGATATAGATCAATGGAACAGAACAGAGCCCTCAGAAATAATGCCGCATATCTACAGCCATCTGATCTTTGACAAACCTGACAAAAACAAGCAATGGGGAAAGGATTCCCTATTTAACAAATGGTGCTGGGAAAACTGGCTAGCCATATGTAGAAAGCTGAAACTGGATCCCTTCCTTACACCCTATACAAAAATTAATTCAAGATGAATTAAAGACTTACATGTTAGACCTAAAACCATAAAAGCCCTAGAAGAAAACCTAGGCAATACCATTCAGGACATAGGCATGGGCAAGGACTTCATGTCTAAAACACCAAAAACAATGGCAACAAAAGACAAAATTGACAAACAGGATATAATTAAACTAAAGAGCTTCTGCACAGCAAAAGAAACTACCATCAGAGTGAACAGACAACCTACAAAATGGGAGAAAATTTTAGCAACCTACCTATCTGACAAAGGGCTAATATCCAGAATCTACAATGAAGTCAAACAAATTTACAAGAAAAAAACAAACAACCCCATCAAAAAGTGGGCGAAGGATATGAACAGACACTTCTCAAAAGAAGACATTTATGCAGCCAAAAAAACACATGAAAAAATGCTCATCATCACTGGCCATCAGAGAAATGCAAATCAAAACCACAATGAGATACCATCTCACACCAGTTAGAATGGCAATCATTAAAAAGTCAGGAAACAACAGGTGCTGGAGAGGATGTGGAGAAATAGGAACACTTTTACACTGTTGGTGGGACTGTAAACTAGTTCAACCATTGTGGAAGTCAGTGTGGCGATTCCTCAGGGATCTAGAACTAGAAATACCATTTGACCCAGCCATCCCATTACTGGGTATATACCCAAAGGATTATAAATCATGCTGCTATGAAGACACATGCACATGTATGTTTATTGCGGCACTATTCACAATAGCAAGGACTTGGAATCAACCCAAATGTCCATCAATGATAGATTGGATTAAGAAAATGTGGCACATATACACCATGGAATACTATGCAGCCATAAAAAATGAAGAGTTCATGTCCTTTTTAGGGACATGGATGAAACTGGAAACCATCATTCTCAGCAAACTATTGCAAGGACAAAAAACCAAACACCTCATGTTCTCACTCATAGGTGGGAATTGAACAATAAGAACACTTGGACACAGGAAGGGGAACATCACACTCCAGGGACTGTTGGGGGGTAGGGGTAGGGGGAGGGATAGCATTAGGGTATATACCTAATGTAAATGACAAGTTAATGGGTGCAGCACACCAACATGGCACATGTATACATATGTAACAAACCTGCACATTGTGCACATGTACCCTAAAACTTAAAGTATAATAATAAAATAAAATTAAAAAAAAAAAGATGAAGGTCAATTATAGCTTCTAACTTACTTCCTCTATGACCATGTCCATTCTGGGTGATCTGTCCCTCTTTTGAAATCCTTCAGTGCAAGGATGAGATGCTGTCTCATCAGAGTGTTTTATGTTTTTGTTGCTCAGGGCATTCCAAGTTATTGTCCCACAAGGTCAGAAACAAACATGATGTATGTAAATAGACATATTTCTCAACAGACATATTGGAGATGGCAGCTTTATAAACTCAGACTTGCGGTTCATTTGGAACAATGATTTCCAATGAAGACAGTGGTTCTAGATTCTCCTTCATTTATATTTAGGAAGTAAATTAAAAAAATAAAAAGATGGTTCTCTTGTTAGTTCTTCTCTTTATAGACATTTCTAGAAATAAACAGCTGAATTGATCCGATCTCATGGGAATCTTTATATTTAAATGCCCAAGGTAGGGGCAAAATGGACGAAACATGGCAGAATGCAAAAATATGCACCAAGAATCCTCAGAGGCAGATACTACTATATCGATATTCAGTAGAGTTTTGCTTTATTCTTGAATGTGCCAATAAATTGATGGGCAAATTTGGCATGCCACTCTGTCTTACTGGATTTTAGGTTTTCTTCTGTGTCGAAGGAAGAGGCAGTACCAGCTGTTGTAATACTATTTGATTCTAGGTGGGAGATGGAGTGTTAATAAAAAAGTTTGAAAGTTCATTCTTCAGGAGGAAGTACTAGGGAGAGAAGATAAATGAAGAAAAACTGAGAAGAAATATGAAATGGAATAGAGAAGTGGGGAATAAATAAATATAAATACTGACTGGGAGGGCTCAGGGAAACTGTTGGTTGCTACCGATTCTCTATTTCCCATTTTCCTCTGTTAACACAATCCCCATCTTGTTTGTGGAGACACTGTGTTCTGCACCATTAGATGAGGTGACTGCCCCAAGCAATAAGGTGACTCCTGTTTCTGGCTTTCCCTGTTTCCTTGGCAGCGAGGTGGGACTGTGTGACCCAATTCTGACCATGAGACCTAAAAACTAGAAATCTTCTTGGGAAATTTTTGGAAAAGCCATTGCTTTCCTGGTAACTGGAGGAAAATCCAGCTTTACATCACTCTTCCCCTTCTTCCTGCTTTGAACATGAACTTGATGTCTGGAGTGACAGTAGCCATCTTTCCATCTATTAGGAGTCAATGTAACATAAAAACCAGTGCCTGAAGAATGGAGGAACAGGAAAGGTAGGAAGAACCTAGGAGCCTCAGGGCATGGCTGAATAGCTGCCGCAATGCCAGCAAGCACTTACTTCTGGAGTGTGTGCAGGTGTGTGTGTGTTAAACTTATTTTAGGTTCAGGGGTACATGTTCAGGTTTATTATATAAGTAAACTCATGTCATGGGGGTTTGTTTTCAGATTATTTTGTTACCCAGTTACTAAACCTAATACCCAATAGTTATTTTTTTCTGCTCCTCTCCCTCCTCCCACCCTCCACCCTCAAGTAGGCCCCAGTGTCTGTAGTTCCCCTCTTACTGTCCATATGGACTTTATGTGAAAAAAAGATTCTTAAGTTCTTATTTGTTTAAGTCACTGTTGCTTGGTCCTTCTGTTTGTTGCACCTATGATGCCTTTCTAACTGATACAGAAGGAACTGATGAAAATAGCAATACAGACTCTCTACTATGGAAAGGAGCAAAAGAACTGAAATTAAGTAAAGGAACTCTGCAATGATTGCCAAAAGGTGAAGGCAAGGTGTGGGGTTTAGGGTTATGGCTTTCGAAATGACTTGGAAAGTTAGTCAGGATAGATAAATGTGATGTTTTTGTTTGAAGACTGGCTGACAACAATTAGAGGAACAAGGCAGATACAAAAGCAGGAAGTCCTGTGAGTCATAATTTTAAAGAAAAATTGATGCAAATCTAAGGAGGCACTTTAACAGGAGACCAGTCCCTGAACATAACATGTAGCTTTCTTTCCTTGCTGTATTTTTATGGTAAGTTTTGTAACAGTCTTGGGTTTGCAAAAGGCCTACTGTAGGTATATACAAGTATGCTTGCATCAGACACACCTGAATTGAAGAATATTCTATGGAACAACTTGTCCATATTCTTCAAATCTCACAATGTCATTGTTTCCTGATAAAAGATTATACAGCTGCGGCCGCTGAATGCAATGTGTGATCCTGGATTGGAGCCTGGATTAGAAAAGCATCATTCTGGGCCAGGCGCAGTGATTCATGCCTGTAATCCCAGCACTTTGGGAGGCCGAGGCAGGCAAATCACGAGGTCAGGAGTTCGAGACCAGCCTGGTCAATGTGGTGAAACCCTGTCTCTACTAAAAAAAAAATATATATATATATATATATATATATATATAGCCATGGTGGCGCCTGCCTGTAGTCCCAGCTACTCGGGAGGCTGAGGCAGAAGAAT
Organism: Homo sapiens; assembly: GCF_000001405.40. NCBI lineage: Eukaryota > Metazoa > Chordata > Mammalia > Primates > Hominidae > Homo > Homo sapiens. The sequence continues at coordinate 158,542,023 of NC_000004.12, read as the reverse complement.
CGCTTGAACCCAGGAGGTGGAGGTTGCGGTGAGCTGAGCTCGCACCACTGCACTCCAGCCTGGGCGACAGAGTGAGATTCCATCTCAAAAAAACAAAAACAAAAAAGAAAAGCATCATTCCTCCCGGCCACCCCGCATAAAGGATGTAATTGAGACGATTGCTGAAATATAAATATAGACTTCATGTTAAATAATATGATTTTTCAATGTTAATTGTATTTAGTAATTGTATGGGGGCTAAGAGACTGTAACTCTTTGGAGATACATGCTCAAGTGCTTGCGAAGGGTCATAATGTCGTCAGTGAGTCTCAAATGATTCAGCAAGAAAAAATATATATGTATGTTTGGTGAAGGAGATAAAGTAAATGGGGAAAAGTGTTAACTATGAGTGAATCCAGGTGAAAGGTGTATGGGTATGATTATACTACTTTTGTAATTTTTGTGTATGTTTGAAATTTTTCAAAATAAAGTGTTTTTAAAAAATAAGTTTAGGAAATATTTTTATATTTTAAACTTGGAGCTGAAATAGTTTCCAAGTTTTAAAATTTCCACTATTTTTAGAATATATGACTCCCCCTCTACCTAGAATTTGGGCATATACTCATACAGTTTTTGAGTAAATATGAAATTACCCTGGACACTGTGTGTGTGTGTGTGTGTGTGTGTGTGTGTGCATGAAGCTCTCTGAGAATTCTGGGTATAAGTCACAAAGAATTTTAATTGCCAGTAATATTATTTATGAGATTTTAATTCCACTTCTCCTGTGTATTTATAACTTGGAATCTGTGATTTTTTCTTCCATCTTTAACCAAAAGGACAATTTCAAAGGCATTTAGAGACTTTGAGAGTTTGACAAGGTTTTTCTGGACATGATGCATAGCGGGGATCTAACCTTTTGTGGGAAAATAACAAAAAGCATGACTCTGAATGCCATCAAGGGCAGCCCAGGGCAGTGACTGTTGGCTGACTGCTGTCTACAGACTACAGAAAAGTGGCCACTGCTTCTTTTTTTTAGGATTGCCATGGTGGCTATTATATTGTTAATGACATCTACTTGCCGGTAAGTTTAATTTTAATGCATTTCCATACAACTACTTATTATTCAGCAAAATCAAAGAGGCTTATTTAAAGTTGAATAGTGTGTTTTCCTGCTTTTGCCTTTTTTTGGAATTGCCACAATGTCAGACAACAGCCATCCGTAGTGTGTGCTCCCCACACCTGTACGGCATGTTTACAGCACAGGCTAAGGTGTGGCTGCTGCGGGGCAGGGAGGGTCATTCTTAGACATTCCCAGATGTGCGCTGTGGGCTTTGTACAGCTTTCTTGAACTTCAGTTTCTTCTTCTGGAACATGAGAATTAGTAATGTCAGAGGCATTGGGGTTGGTAAAATAAGGTGGAGATCTAGTAGGCTGCATTCCCAGGAGGTTAGGCATTCTTAGTCACAGGATGAGATAGGAGGTTGGTACAAGATACAGGTCATAAAGACCTTGCTGATAAAACAGGTTGCGGTACAGAAGCCAGCCAAAACCTTCCAAAACCAAGATGGTGACAAGAGTGACCTCTGGCTTCTCACTGCTCATTATATGCTAATTATAATGTATTAGATTGCTAAAAGATATTCCCACCAGTGCATGACAGTTTACAGGCGCCATGGCAATGTCAGTTACCCTATATGGTCCCAAAAGGGGAAGAACTTCAGTTTTGGGAATTGCCTGCCCCTTTCCCAGAAAACTCATGAGTAATCCACCCTTTGTCTAGCATAGAATCAAGAAATAAGTATAAGCTGCTGAGCAGCCCATGCCGCTGCTCTGCCTACGGAGTAGCCATTCTTTCTTCCTTTGCTTTCTTAATAAACTTGCTTTCACTTTATGGACTTGCCCCAAATTCTTTCTTGCGTGAGATGCAAGAACCCTATATTGGGGTCTAGATCGGGACCCCTTTCTGCTAACAGTAACTACCCCCTGCCAGGTTGTTTGGTATGAGCAGATAAAATTAATGGATGTACAAAATCTCCTCATTGTTACCTTTCACAGAAGTCTCAGTATTAGATGACAATTTCCCTTTTTTCTAAACCCACTGCTCTTAACTTCCAGGTTAAGGTATTTCCAGATACTTCATTCCACTCCACCTGTGTGTTTATGACTTGAAATCTGTGATTTTTTTTCCATCTTTAGCCAAAAGGACAATTTCAAAGGCATTTAGAGGCTGTTAGAGTCTGAGACAAGGTTTTACTGGACACGGTTAGCTCTATTGTAACTAATGACTGTACTAAAAATATACTTCCTAGATTCCACACCATCCAATCAATCATCAATCCATGAAATTGTAAGCACCATGGGCCAAACACTATCTGAAATGCTAAGCAGCACATGTGGTCTAATTTGATGCTAAGACCTTCTCTGATATCAAGCAGGTATTACATATGCCTTTTTTCTTTTATTATAAATGTCTACCAGGAACTAGTTAATACTCTTCATCTTTTGTGGAGCACCCTCATCTCCAAACCTTTCCAGTTTGTCTTTTTTTTTTAAATTTTATTATTATTATACTTTAAGTTTTAGGGTACATGTGCACAACATGCAGGTTTGTTACATATGTATAAGTGTGCCATGTGGTGTGCTGCACCCATTAACTCGTCATTTAACATTAGGTATATCTCCTAATGCTATCCCTTCCCCCTCCCCCCACTCCACAATAGTCCCCGGTGTGTGATGTTCCCCTTCCTGTGTCCATGTGTTCTCATTGTTCAATTCCCACCTATGAGTGAGAACACGTGGTGTTTGGTTTTTTGTCCTTGCGATAGTTTGCTGAGAATGATGGTTTCCAGCTTCATTCCAGTTTATCTTTTAATGAACAGAGCAAGTAGTTTCTGTTGCCACTGCCTAACTTCCTCTTTCTGTCCACGATGCCATCTCAGTGTAATGCTTCCCATGATGGGAGGTGGTTGCTAATTCAGGTCACTGGGTTAAGTAGTGAGGAAGGACTCATTTTGTCCCTCTTCCATCATACTCTCTTATTGCTGTTGCCACCTGGGCGTGTTTTGAATGGCCCTTGCTCACCTGCCTATCTGTACTCATCTCATTAGAACAATACATGGGTTGGATGCACATCTGTGGAACGTGTAAGGAAGCACCCTTCTTTTAGAATTGAATTATTTCATAGAGAAGTCATAGATTATATGACCATTTTTGTACCTATTCTTTTTTTTTTTTTTTTTTGAGACGGCATTTCACTCTTGTTGCCCAGGCTGGAGTGCAATGGCGCGATCTCAGCTCACTGCAACCTCCGCCTCCCGAGTTCAAGTGCCTCAGCCTCCCCAGTAGCTGGGATTACAGGCATGTGCCAGGACGCCCAGCTAATTTTGTATTTTTAGCAGAAATGGGGTTTCTCCATGTTGGTCAGGCTGGTCTCGAACTCTTGACCTCAGGTGATCTGCCCGCCTTGGCTTCCTAAAGTGTTGGGATTACAGGCGTGAGCCACTGTGCCTGGCCCCTATTCTTTCTCCCCACAAAAAAAATGCCTTTGGCTTCTCTCTGACTCACAATTCATTTTGCATTCTCTCATCTTTTAGGAATAAAGAATTCTTTTCTCAGCCCATCACCTCCCACTTGCAATCCTTCAGCACTTGACTATCTGAAATGAGTCAACTTCTCATCTCTGCTTCTTTCCCCAGAGTGCGAGCCATCGTGTCTAATTGCAGCTGTCTCTCACTTGGACTTCCTGCTTCCACGCCTGCCTCTTTTCATCCTGTTCTCCACACAGCAGCCAGAGGGATCTTTCAAAATTAAAGTAGATCATTAATGTGTCCTCTTCTAAAACTTCTACTGACATGCCATTGTTCTTGGAATAAAATCCAAACTTTTAACCTTTACCTTTTACCTTACATAAATGGGCCAAACCTATTCACCAACTTGGTTTCTTTCCACATTTCTTCCCTCACTTAATTTGACCTACAAACACTGTTCTCTCTTGATGTGCTAGGTTTGGTCTGACTTTAGAGTCTTGAGTTGGCTGTTCCACCTATCTGAGTGCCTGCATTGTTCTTTCCTCAGATCATTACAAGCCTGGCTGTTCCTCATTCTTCAAGCCTCAGCATAAGTATCCCTCCCTCAGGAAGATTGCTTGGGATCCCTCTATCTATCCCTCTATCCCTTTAAATTCCTTGCTAGTTACTATCCTATTCCACTACATTTTCCTTCTTCACAATACTTACTACTCTTTGAGATAGCTTGTTTATTAGTTTACTTTTTGTTATTTAAATATCACCACCAGATTATAAATTCCCATAGGTGAGGGATCTTTCTGGAGTTGTCCATCATTTATTTCTGATGCCTGTATTGGTGCTTGGCATATTGTAGGAAGTAAAACAAAATTAGTTGAAGGAAAGGAAGAATGAATAATTGTCTGTGTGTCCGAAATACTTAGAAGAGTATTTTAAGATAATGGTGTCGTGAAGTTCTCTTTAATGCATACAGGAAGTAGTTCTTTTCTCCAGACTCTGTTGTCAGCTAGGTAAGACCCAATTTCTGTAACTATCCCCCAAGGGCACTTCGGGCCTGATGTTAACATAGTCTTCCACCAAGACCCTGTTTTCTCAAAGGACATAAGCCCTTTACCTACCTCATAGACACTCTAGGGACTACAGATTTTGTCTGTGAAACAACTAGATTAAGAAAATTTAGTTGTTTTTTGGGGGGACAAGGGAAGGAAAGGATGAAAGGAAGAGATAGTTAAGGAAAGAGAGATAAGAAGAGAAATATTTCAAATGAGGACTAGCTCACCAGTAAACACAGTGGTGGGGATAATGCTATATTCCCCACAGCTGTAGTTTGTCATCAAATATTGGTAAAAATCCTAAAGAGAGGTTGGATTTTAGATTTAGATTCTAGAGCATATATCTATGTTAATCAAATGAACAAACCTATTTTTCTAGTTTAGCTAGGTTTCTTTTAGGTTGGTGCAAAAGTAATTGCGTTGTCAAAAACCGCAATTACTTTTGCACCAAACCTAATATAAATTGACAAATTGGCATAGAAGTCACTTTTTTTGGAAACAGTAAACAAAACTTTGTGCATTCCATGAGTATGGAATTCTTTCAGCTCATAAGTGTAAACGCTATCTAGTACAACAATATTGCAACTCCAAAGTGTATATGATTTCCTGGCTATGTTATTTTGAAACAGTTAATATGAGTTTCCAAATATGCATCTAATTTATGCCAGAAAATAATTTATCCAGTGGAAGAATATGACTTTGTTCAGTTGAAGGCAAACCACTAATCTTTTCATATGTGTATTAAAACTATAATTTTCCATGACCTGTATTTATAATATTTCTAGTCATGTTAGAAGGCATTAGCAATGATTTGCTCATACTGTATACAGTATTTGCAAAAAGAGCCTATTTTAAGTCAGGTATCTCTTACAGTTCAATACTTGGGTTAATAATTACCTGCAAGAATGATTGAATGTATTCTTATTTTAAAGATGTTCTGAGCAAGCTATTTCTCTAGATAGCATGACTATGGTTCTGCAATTCTTAGGGAAATTAAAAGTCTGCTAAGGATATTGAAGTTATCTCTGATTGACGCATTTCCCATAATACACCTTAAACTTTCAGCACTGTTTCATCATACTCTTAAGGTGTCATTTATAAAGGAAAATACAAATGAGAAAAAGTAATGAATTTACACCCATGCATTAAACATATCATGGGTAGTACTATTGATTAAAATGTAAATATATTAAAATAGAGAGAGTAAAATTATATTCTTACAGGTATTAGGCCTCGGTCCTATAAACACAATATTTTAAATTATTTGTCTATGTGCTGTTTTCTACTGCTGTGAGGTTATAGTTGCTGAATAAAATCTCTTAAATCTGTTGATTGATACTTTCTGAGTAACAACCTTTGTGTTGCAAAGTTACTGATTGATTAAAGAGTACAGATTGTATGTACTTCCAGATAATGGGTTCATTCCATTTGATTCAAATAACCGTGTATAAGCACTTTGTCCATCTATTGTCCATTATAGTATGAGACTTTGTTAATGTTTTCTGTTATGTTTTATTTATTGCCTTATTTGTAAACTGGATCAGAGGGCTTTCCAGAGTTAAAGAAAATAGTGAGTTGGAAAATAACACAAGGGAAATAGGAAGTGTGGAAAACACAACGCAGACTAGATCAAACTCTTAAGAATGAGAAATAGAGATAATAGTTGGATATTTATGGAGTGCAATATCAAAAAGGCCGGTCCTATCACAGTCAGGGTATTCAACAAACATTCTGTAGTGTGTTCCACACATATTTTGTGTATTTTATAGATAGGAATAGGGAGAAAATATTTTAAAAATGTATTAAGGTCCCAGGAAAACAATGTGAAAACCAGTCTCTAATTTGACTTGGTCATAGCCTGTATCTTTCCAGTGACTCAAGTGCAATGGCCATGCCCTCTCTAAGGATTGCTTTCAGTTTCTCACATTTTAGTCCATTTTTGGTAATTTGCCTGAGTTACTTCCTTGTGAAAACCAGTAGCTGATTCGACTTGATCATAGCCTGTATCTTTCCAGTGACTCAAGTGCAATGGCCACGCCCTCTCTAAGGATTGCTTTCAGTTTCTCACATTTTAGTCCATTTTTGGTAATTTGCCTGGGTTACTTCCATTTTGTACAAAACCTCGATTTGAATTACTAATATATTACCATCCTAACTCTGGCACATGGCTTACAAAGACCTTCATGATCTGGTTCTGGTGATCCTCTCTAACTTCATCTCCAAGCATCTGCTTCAGCCCTCCTCTTAAACTACCCCAGACTTCTCATCATGTTCTGAGCCTGCCATGTCCTTTCCTGTCTCCATGACCTTGCGCATGCTGTACCTGTCCTTGCAGTGCCCTTCTCTCCTCTCCCTGGGAAATAAAACAGGGTAAATCTGCAACCAGTTCAACTTGCTTGGCTAGCTTGTTCACCTGTTAATGGGAATAGGAATTCTCGTTTTATAAAATGAGATATAATAAATGATAAAATATTATATAATTATAAATAATTTTATATTATCTATAATAGTAATATTTTTATGTAATATATTAATATAACAATATAAATTATTTTATTATATGTAATAAAAATTACTTATTATAGGTAATAATATAGGTAATAATATATAATAATAATAATAAAAATGAGAGAGGACATGATTTTGGTGTTTGTATGTGAGTGAAAAAACTCAGGCTTGGGAATCAGATAAGCTTGAGTTCGAGTTCTGGACTAAGCATTGATGTGCCCGTGACATTGACAAATTTCTAAATTTCTCTCTTCATTCTGGAAAGGTGAGAAAACATTACCTTTCAGGGTTCATGTGAGGATATAATCAGACAACATTTATGAGTGCTTATCATTTAACCAAAACATCAACAATTTAATGACTCTTACCTATAACTTTAGCAATGTAAATAATTCCTATTAATAATCAGAATAAGGCCGGGCGCGGTGGCTCATGCCTGTAATCCCAGCACTTTGGGAGGCCGAGGCGGGCGGATCACCTGAGGTCAGGAGTTCGAGACCAACCTGACCAACATGGAGAAACCCTGTCTCTAATAAAAATACAAAATTAGCTGGGTGTGGTGGTGCATGCCTGTAATCCCAGTTACTCGGGAGGCTGAGGCAGCAGAATCATTTGAACCCAGGAGGTGGAGGTTGCAATGAGCAGAGATTGCACCATTGCACTCCAGCCTGGGCAACAAGAGCGAAACTCTGTCTCAAAAAAAAAAAAAAAAAAATCAGAATATCATAACATTGATCTAGAACACTTTGTGTATCTAAGTACATGGAATAAAGCACATTATAATATACATTAAAAATCTGCCACAATTTCCCCAGAATAAATTTAAAAGTGGTGTAGGTCCCTGGGAGACTAATTAGAGAAGAACGTGATCGAGTAGTTTCTAGGGGGTAAGATTGTCATGTGAGACTATTCCTTACTCCTTCCAATTATTTATTACACATTCTATTGTTTTAGACATTGCATCAGAAAGAATTTGTGGGAGAAATTTAATAAATATGCCTAATGATTTGGGATTTTTCACGCTTTGAATAATATTTTTATACATTGATGTTTTCATCTATAATATTGTGATTAGTGTTGATTAAAGCAATAGGAAAAAAAGCATATAGAAAAGTGTAGGGAAAAGAGATTAAAAATAAAAGTTACATGAAAGGCAGGTGTAAGTGAAATATGAGGAACCATTGTGGGCAACAGAATAGAAAAATAGAAAAGTAGGGAAAATTGGTATCAGAAAGAGTACAGAATTTTGAGCCAAGATATTTGAGTTAGAATCCAAATAGGATAAGCACACTTTTTGTGTGTGACTTAAAAAATAAACGACCAAATGAAGATAGACTAACCCTATCTATCATTAGGCAAGTTTTGAAAATTCCAATTCTCCTATAGAAGTTTCTTGAGAGTAAGGGTAAATATGCATATTCACTTGTGTCTATTATACAGTGTTGGGAAATAGCTAAAAATTTGATATGATATGATTTGCAAATAAAAAGTGCATCTCTTACTAAGGTATTTCGTTATAATGATTATTTCTAATTACTGTGGCTTTGTGTTTATAATTACTGATTTTAGGGTAATGTCCATTTATGCTTCCTTCATGGTTATTCCTTTTTTACTCTTCCACCACTAAAACTAGAAATTTAGACTGTACTTTATTGCTCAGGGAAGGTAGAGCACAAAAAAACTTTCCTGAGTCCTCACCTTCTTGGCTTTAAATTCCAAAGCTTTAGAGTCATGGCTTTCAATGGCAAAAGACAGGTGCTTGAGAGAGATAATATTTTTTCTTTCTTTTTATTTACTTGTTAGATTCTACCATATTGGTCTTGAACATTAAGATCCAGTAACGAAGGACACAGAACATCCAGTCTTTCCACAACCTCTAGAGAGTTAAGGGTTAAGCATGTGTGATGCCCTCGAAGCAGTTTTCCTGAACCTGCTGAGAGTGAAATGTGAGAAGGAAGCACCCTGTCCCTTTGGTATTAAAACTCTGTAGGGGAAGGGAGAAGGTGGAAACTGCTAAGAGAATTTGGGGGACTGCCTAAGCAGAAGTGATTCTTGTCTCAAATCCTAATGTCCAGCTCAAAGAAAGGGCACATCTCTAGGAGAAGCAGGGTCTTGAAGTGAGGGAGGCGATGGTGAATGGGTGAGCTAGACACAGGGCCTTTGTCAGCCCCGAATCTGCCTGAGTTCCCAATAGGTGAGGAAGGACACTTGAGGGCTTCCTGTGCTCTCCTGAGAAGGCTATGAGCAGACGGTGGTGGTGGTCTTTGGTGAGAAGTGTGTGGATTAGCTGGAGGACAATGTGGAAAAGTGGTTGAATGCTTTGGTGGGTGCTGGTGTCACTCATCCGTGCCAGAGTGAGTTAACCCTCATGAGTAGCTGGCAAAGTGACTGGAGATGTTCACCTCTCTACCTGCCTCCTCAATTTTGATGTTTGCAAAACTGTCACCGAAATCACATGCTGTTGGTCAGAAGGGGAGAAGGGGAAAAGGGTAGCGCAGGTAAGATTTCTTAAGTGATTGAGATTGTATTTTATACACAGTTCTACCAAAAAGACACCTCCACTCATATATATGTTTATCACAGCACTATTCACAATAGCAAAGACATGGAATCCATCTAGATGCCCACCAATGGTAGATAAGATAAAGAAAATATGGTACCATGGAATACTACCCAGCCATAAAAAAATGAAATCCTGTCCTTTGCAGCAACAGGGATGCAGCTGGAGGCGATTATCCTAAGTAAATTCACTCAGAGACAGAAAAACAAACGCTACATGTTCTCACTTATAAGTGGGAGCTGAACACTGGGTGCATGGGTAAACACGCACAAAAGGATGGGGACAAGAGACACTGGGGATTCCAAAAGGGGAGGAGGGGGGGAAAATTCTGAAAAACTGCCTATCAGGCAGTATGTTCATTACTTGGGTGACGGGATCATTAGAAGCCTAAGCCTCAGCATCACACGATATACCCATGTAACAAACCTGCACATATACCCCCTAAATGTAAAACAAACAAACAAACAAACAAACAAACAAAATACCCAAACCAACAGAAAACCCAGATTGCATTTTAAAGAAAAAGTGCCTCATTTTAAAACCAAGCTACTTTGAATTAGCAAATTTAAATGTTGTATTATTTTATGTAGGAGTCATGAGCTCTGAATTTTAGTCATAGAAATATAAAATATAATTTTTACACATATGAGGTTTCTGGTCTGTAAACATGAAAATGTTTACACTATATATCGTACCTGGATTTGGTATGCTTAATGTTAATGATGGCATAAGATTTAAAGTGTGTGTGTGTAGTAGTAGTTTATAACATTTCCTTCCACCCTCAAACTTCATGTCAGAGAATGCTGGCATTACCTTTGTCAACATTCCCTGAAGCCCTCCACAACCCTGTGCTTTCTGAGGAAAAAAAGGACAAAAACCGAAGGGTGGATTCTCCTGAAAAAATTAGAATAGAAGTAAATTTTGTGTTCAAGATGACCCTGTGCAGTAGGGGAATATGTGTGTCAGGAGAGGATCAGGAGTGAGGGGCTGAGTGATTGGAGGAAACAGAGGGGCAGAGAGTGAGGCCAAGGGCCTTGGATCAAAGAGAGAGAAACAGTGAAGAGTCAAAGGCAGACCAGGTGCAGTGGCTCAATCCCAGTACTTCAGGAGGCTGAGGTAGGCAGATGGCTTGAGCCCAGGCGTTTAGGACCAGCCTGGGCAATGTAGTGTGTTCTCCTCTCTATAAATTTTTTTTTAAATAGGTAGGCATGGTGGCATGCACTTGGAGTCCCAGCAACTCGCGAGGCTTAGTTGGGAGGATTGCTTGAGCCAGGGGGCAGAGTTTGCAGTGAGCCAAGATTGCATCACTGCACTCAAGCCTGGGCCAGGAGAGCAAGACCCTGTCTCAAAAAAGACTCAAAGCCTCTAGGGGATTGAAGAACAGAAGAGGGCGTGGAGCTTTCAAATTGAACCTGCTAACGTTTACTAGCATAGAAACTTTGAAAAAAGGTGCCCAAGAGCCAGATGCGCTACAAAAAGCTTTGTACAGATTTTTTCCATTAAAATGGATTTGATAGACAAATGACTTGCCACATTATTTTGGATCACCACTGAAGACGAATGCTCAGTGGTTGAGAAAATATCAACAAAGAAAAACAATCCCTCTTTCCTTTCCAGGGAACTTAAACTGTTGTGCTGCAAGTTCACAGGATCAGGGGTAACGACTGCAATTAGAAGGGCAGAAATAAAAATCTAAATTTGACTTTGCTAAACTGGCCACCTCTCTTGATCTTAACACAAAAAAGGGAGGTTAAATGGAGGTTAAGAAGCTAACAGAAAGCATGACTGATGATGTCACTCTGTCTAAGTTTGAAATGTGTGAGAAAGTAGAAACATTTATAAACCATGAGGCAGTTCTGCAATTTCCAGCAAATCAGCCACAACTGAGAAAGTAAAAACGGCAAATCTTCTGGACCATTGAAAATGAATCAAACATTTCTAGCCTGCTCTGGGAAAAAACCATTAAAATATCAAAAGGCTAGGGTGAGCAACAGAGGGTGAGAGAAGAGGATAAAAAGAATCTGAGGTTTTATGAGTGAAGGTAATGGTAGAGTGGATTGTGCTGTATCTCAGAAGCCAATGCGTGATGCACCTGAGAAGAGTTATTTTCATTAACTTACACTTGCAATATGTGCCTGGATAAAAGCTTCCAAAAAAGCTTCCTAGGGCAGCTTATCTGATTTCTTTCACTAGGTCCAGGCACACACGCATATAAATTTTGTTCAAAATTTGTCATTTCCTATCTATTTGCATGTTCTATTTTATAATGTTTTAATTTAAACTCTGTAAAGTAAAATTTATCTGTTTAAATGGCTGCAACTACAGGAAACTGCAGGGTCATAACTTGCTTGTATTATGAGGATCAGGTGTTGGAACTAATTTACACAACACTGAAAAAAATCGGCCAAAAATGTCCATGAACCCAGGTAACTGCAAAATGAGGGAGGGGTGTAATCTGCAAGTAGTATGTTTAACAGGCAGCTGTTCTCTATGAAAGTCCTAATTAATGAGGAGGAAGTATTTATTAGGGAAATGAAATGAGTAGAAATCAGAATTAGGGTTGCAAGATTTGGGACCAAGACAGGAGAGTTTCTCTTTGTGGGTATTTTGTCAGAAGGTGTGGTGAGACTAAGGAATACAGAGAATCATTAAGATAGGAAGGAGAAATTAAGCGCTAAGGGAGAAAGAGGAACTGCTTAATTAGAACTGGAAGCCAGTATCTAGGTTGCTTAGCCAGGAAAGGGAAAGCTGCAGGGAGTCCATTTGGCACTAAATAGACAATCTGGGAAAGAAGCAAAGGAGGACAAACCCAAGCATGTAGCAGGATCAAAACTTGAAGGAGTTTGGGAGCAGTGGCTCACACCTGTAATCCCAGAGATTTGAGAGGCTGAGGTGGGCGGATGGCTTGAGCCCAGGAGTTCGAGACCAGTCTGGGCAACATGGTGAAACTCCCATCTCTACAAAAAATACAAAAATTAGCCGGGCGTGGTGGCATGCACCTGTGGTACCAGCTACTCAGGAGGCTGAGGTGGGAGGATCACTTGAGTCCAGGAGGTTGAGGCTGCAGTGAGCTGTGATCACACCACTGCACTCCAGCCTGGGCCACAGAGCAAAACCCTGTCTCATAAACAACAACAACAACAACAACAACAACAAAAAACAAGCAAGCAAAAAAAGAGATCAGACTTTCATGATAGCAGAGTTTATGACCAGTGTGGGATTTATGTTTTACCATATCAGGAATGAATATCTTGGGGTCGTTTAACATAACAGTGAGGATGCTCTGTGTTGCTCTGTGAGTGTCCTTTCAATCCCCACAAAGGTGAGGATTGAAACATGTTACTCTATCTCAGGAAACTGTGTGTGCTGGGGTGGGGAGAGGGAAGAAAACAGTAAGGTTAGGGATATTCGACTCCCTACGACCAGGGCCTCCACTGTCCGCCCTCTCTGGCACCTGCATAGGCAGAAAGACAGAACAGATGGCATTCTTTTTTGGTGGGAAAGAAGAGGTTATAGGAGCGGTGAAGCACACAGGTATTTGGTGCCTACATTATCTGGGGCACCCAGAAAAAAGAGAGGATTTCTCTGGACACTAGAAGTGTCTGAGAGATTCTGATAGTCTATAAATTACTCCTGAGAAGTTGGCAAAGTTTCTTCTGCTGTAGCAATGCTGTCTCATTTTTCAACCTGTGGCACATGAAGCCTCTCTCACCTTAGAGGGGTGACCCCAAGGGCCAGATTCATGATTTGCATGGCATGTGATGAAAAGGGCTGCATCTTTAGAGATGACTCTATTGTCTGGGGAATAGGATAGGAGCATGGACTGGAGAGGAGATATTAATAGTGAAGACATCCACTTGGTGTTGACTTACTCTGAGCTTTTTTTTTCTTTTTCTGACACAGGGTCTTGCTCTGTTGCCTAGGCTGGAGTGCAGTGCACCATCTTGGCTCACTGCAATCTCTGCCTCCCAGGCTCAAGCGATCCTCCCACCTCAGCTTCCCGAGTAGCTGGAACTACAGATACTTGCCACCACGACTGGCTAAATTTTGTATTTTTTGTAGAGATGGGGGGTCGCGCCATGTTGCCCCCCCAGGCTGGTCTTGAACTCCTAGGCTCAAGCAATCCACCTGCCTTGGTTTCCCAAAGTGCTGGGATTATAGGCATGAGACACTGCCCCCCGCCTTACTCTAAGCATTTTTAAAGTCCCTTTCATTAAAATTCCTCTGGGCCTGGCTGCAAACATGGTGATGTACAGGTGCAATGAGAACCTTTCTCTCCTTGGTTGTGAGAATGATTTAAATGTTTTTCCACAAGGTAGGTATGTGAAGAGGGATTATACTAGCTTAGTGTATTGGCAAAGTCTTAATCATTGATGCTAGGATTTTGGTAGATAATAAATTTATTTTAACAATTTCTGTCTAGGTTCTTTCTATTTTCAAGTGATATTTTACCCTTTTGATATTTCTTGCCCTTTTTGTCCTACATATGAAATTTGGAGACCCACTTTTAAAAGTGAGTTAAGAATAAGACAGCTGAAAACTAAAGGGAACACAGCTATATGGCCTTAGTTTCTTTCTATGTGAAAAATGAGGATGTTGTCCTTTATAGCTTTACCTTGCCTTCCAACTCAAAAAAGTCTGATTTTATGAAACTGAAATTAAAAATAGTACTTGAGCAACATTAAGTAGAAACTGTCTAAGTAATAGCAATTTACTTGAGGATCAGACTGTGGGAAGTGGAAAAAGAAACTTCATTTTTCCTTAAATGAATTAGATGAGAACCAAGGGAAAAGATTAGTAGGAGGCAACAGTATATATATACATATATATATATATTTTTTTTTTTTTGGAGCGGGGGAGATGGAGTCTCACTCTTGTCACCTAGTCTGGAGTGCAGTGGCATGATCTTGGCTGATTGCAACCTTTGCCTCCTGGGTTCAAGCGATTCTCCAGCCTCAGCCACCTGAGTAGCTGGGATTACAGACGCCCACCACCACGCCCGGCTAACTTCTGTATTTTTAGTAGAGACGGGGTTTCGCCATGTTGGCCAGGCTGGTCTTGAACTCCTGACCTCAAATGATCCTCCTGCCTCGGCCTCCCAAAGTGCTGGGATTACAGGCGTGAGCCACCATGCCTGGCCAACTATATGTTTTAATCAATGGAATAACTCATATAATTATATGGCCTCTTAGTTCAAGTGGATACTCAATCCTCTAACAAAAAAATTATTTAAAATCTCAACAGCTTTTTGTTTTTTTAAGTGTGAATCTTACTATTAAAGAATGTATCAGATTATCTGCTGTTTCATTTGTAGCTAATCATGTGGGTAACATTTTGGTTCAACTGAGCACCCTGTCTAAATGTAGACCTAGGACTGCATTTGGAAACAGGAGCTAAGGAGACAGAGCTGTGTCCATCTGCATAGGAACTCAATGAGAACTTGAGTTCCTGGAGCAACATGGGAGGAGGAGTTGAGGAAGAATGATGGGGAGAGAGAGGTGGAGAGAGTTGCTGGCACAATGGCCAGAGGCAAGGGCTCCAGGTGGCCTAGACCAGCTGGTGAAAAGTCCCAAGAGTACCGTTCCCAAAGATTAACTCTCAGAAATTTTTTGAAAACATTGATTTCCAAAAGGCATATTCATTATCATAAAATATTGAAGAAATAAGGAGACCCAGTTAATTTAGGTAGTATTGAAATAATTATAAAATGAATCTATTTAACAACAAATCTAATAATATCCAGGTTGCTATAAAATACAGTTATTTAGTAGGAAAATACCAAGTTCTAACATGAACAACATGATATCTCACTTTACACTGTCCTTTTTCCATTTGACATTTATTTTTGTTGTGATAGAGAACAAAACCTAAATTTGAAATATTCACAACTTGCCCCTGCTTATCTCCAAAGAAGGAAAGAGCTTTTGGTTTAGTGTTGGGTCCTTGTTGCTCTGATCACAGAAATAGATGAAGCTGTAGAATTTAAAAAGATGAAAGAGTATGGGATCACTACACATAGGCAGGAAATAGAGCTGTTGGGGTTGTGGGGCTAATAAAATATCCAGGAGGAGGGAGAGGTAAACTAATGTAGGAATTAAGTCAATATTTATTGGCACTTGCTGTATGTATAGCTAAGTTTCATGTGCTGCAAACAAAAGTGCTTTCTATATATTCAAATTATTTACATATACTAATTCATCAGTTGTTGGTGTACACTGAGGAATGTATACAAAGCAGATAGCACCAGCTCATTAGAGGAGATATATAAACGCCTAGCATGGATTTGTTAAACTTGCCTTGGATGGGGAGGCCCTCACCGTAGGTGGTGGAAGCCCTGGATTTACCAGCTCTGAGACCTTGGGCTGGCTAATATTTCTTTATGGATTAATATCTAAAATAGAGAAAGATCTAACTTGCTTGAAGGCCAGTGAGCTAGGTCAGGGGTCTGTTAAGGTCACTTTAAATTCTATATTATAATTTAAGAAAGTGTTAGAATTGAATCATGTTTAATAGCATAGGCTTTTTAAGGAGATAGACTTGGATTCAAATCTCCTTTGTAACATTACTAAGAAGTGGTGCCAGGAATGCTACCAAATATTTCTCATTCTCTGTTTCCTATTTTGTAAAGCAAGAATATCTCATAGGGTTATTATAGGAATAAAATAAGATCATGTTTGTAAAGCACTTACATTGTTCCTCATCCATGGAGACCTCTCAATAAATGGGAAATAGAAAAACAACTACACCCATAAATATAAGGATTGAAATCAAATGGTCTAAATGCTTACAGTTTTTCAGACAGAAAGTTAAACCTAACTAGAATACTCAACTCCAGGCATTTTAGTTTAACAAGTTTGTACTAATGTGTGAAATTGTACTTGAAAGACTATTTAGTTCATAAACATAATAATTTCCCTTTATGTAGATCAGGGTGCATTTGCACAGATTCATTAATTTTCCTTCCATTTGAAACTTAAAAATATGATTCAAAATATGTAGTAAAAACAACACAAAATTGTCAGCAGCCTCCACAATATAAGGTGGTGAGAAGTTATTTAATTGGTACCACGCATGTTACCCTAAAAGTCCTGACTTGACCACGATGCAATCTAGGCATGTACCAAATTGCACTCATGCCCCATAAATTTATACAAATTAAAAAAAAAACCCAACCCCCCCCCGCCAAAGTATAAGGTGGGACACAGTATACCTCTGTGGTCTGCATATTGGTATGTTTATTCTCCCATCTTTTGGAATTGGATAAATATGCGAACATTCTCTTTTTCCACGTACTAACCAAGCTAATGGTCTGTTCTGGAATTGTCTCTTCCTTTTCTCTTCTTCATAGTTACAGAAAAAATCTGTTACAAGTTATGCCAGTGCTGGGATCCAAAGCAAAGGCCAGGTAGCCTGGTAAGTGTCTCTAGGAGTCTGAAAGAGAAGACCTTACTAAGCTGGGCCGGTCCTTGGCAAAATACTAAAGTGGATCAAGCTTATGTTTGAACTCCTTCTATTTCCTATATCTTCACTTGTTTCCTGCCTATCTAAAACATTAAAAGAATTGTTTTGCTTAGTGATATCATTTAAGAAATAATACAGCATTTTCTGATAAGAACTTATAATACAAGTTGTCCTGGGGATTGTTTTTTAACCACGGATTTTGAAATATATACTTACAAGAAGTTGAAAAAATAGTATAGAGAGGTCCCATACACCTTTCACCCAGCTTTCCTTAATCTTACATAAATTTAGTACATTACAAAACTAAAAAATTAACATTGGCACAATACAATTAATTAGACTATGGACAGAAGGATTTTTAAAGAATGAAAAATTCTCAAGGCTAAAAGGAAATCTTTTCTAAGTCTTAATGTCACCTCTGTTTGTGTGGACCTCAATTTTTGCACTTGTCTTATTGAATTGAATTCTAGATCAACGTGCCGTCTTCTCCATCCTATCCCTTTAGAGCAGGGACCATGCTTACTTTAACAAGGTAGGTGAATAAAGCATGGTCACTGCTCTGGCATGCATAGGTATTTTTGGTTGAAAGGATGACTAATAGTTGCTTACGTCTGTAACGGGCTTTATAGTTTTCAAAGCCCATTTATACACATTATGGCTACTGAGAATTATCATGGTCTAGGGGAGAGAGCACGGGCTCTGAAAGCATTCCAATCTTGGCATTTATTAGCTGGAGTCTTGTGACAAGGCACTGAATGTCCTACCTCGTGTGCTTAATTGTATCCACATAATAGAGTTGTTGTGAAGATTCAGGAAGTAATTTTTGTAATAAAGAATGGAACACAGGGTTTCTGAAAGGTAGACAGGGTAAAGGATTTGATTGCCATTTCACATGCTCAGAAGAGGTAAATCATTTGCTGAAAACCACAGAACCGGTACATGGTAGTGCAGCTAAGCGTCTTAGGTTAGGTGTCTTCCATGATATCACATCGCCTTTCCCGTTACAGGAAAGTGGATATAAAAACAAAACAAAACAAAGAAAACACACAAAGAAACAACAACCATGGGGCATTTACAGAGGTTTAAGAATTTGTCCTTATGTGTGGCTGTTGATTTCCATTGCTATGTGCCCAGGAAATTCTCACTTAGGTGGGGCCTGGGTGAGGGGCTAAACTCAAGGTGAGCCACGGCTGTGGGTGCTATTTCAGGGCGTCCCTGACAAGTGTTCCCCCACCCTAACATGCAGTTAATACCATGTAGCGAGGAATTGCCTTGCCAAACTTTGCTGCAAATGTTTATGCCCTCATTTCCTGGGGAAGGCGTGGAAGGATGAGAACTTGGAGCTCTCAACTTACACTACACTCCCAAATTTTCTTTTGAATCAAAAGAGAAGTTAAATTTAAAGAGACAGAGGGTTTTGGCATCATCATCACCACCATCATTATTATTTTCTGCTCATGAAAATAATTTATTAACAAAAGGGTACAGGTAAACATGGAATTTTTTTCCTAACCTGAAATGACTGGTAACACAGTGGCCAAAGTTGCTTCCCAACCTGCCCTAAACACCTTTTATATACCCTTAAATTCTTCATACTAGAAAGACTATTTTGGAAATATTCCTCTGGCTTATTTAATCTATTCATTTCATTGAAATGGAATAGGGATGGTAAAATATGGCATTAATTTTTGAAGCTGTTGGCCACAAATGTCAAAAGCTCTGGTAGTTTAAACATGCAATTATAATTAGAAACATTACATTTTTTATGGTGGTTTGCAATTTATTGTTTTCCCTTCAGTTAAAAAATAGGACTGTCAGTAATCAAGATTAGAGATGGAGAAGGCTAGGACTAGAATATTTCCCCAGGATTCTGAATAGTTTCTGTGGTTTTGATGCTGTCCTTTAACTTTAGATGCGATGGAGCAGAGGGAAGGAGGAAAGAAGGAGGAAAAGGAAGATATAATCACTTTGACATATTACAATTGGGAGAGTCAGGATTGAAAGTTACCCTGAGACATTCCTTAATAGAAGAGCTCAGAGTTAACAAAACTTATGCAAACTTTTAAGAGACACAGGACTATAAAAAGGCTTGTTAATTTCTAAATTAGTAAAAGCCCACATTCCCGGAATCATAAAGTATTAAAGATACCCAGAAAGTTTTGTTCTTGGTTTGGCTTTGACTTTTTCATCATTTATTACCTAAGAAACAAAAACACTTTATTTCTGTCTACATACTATAATTCAAATGGAGCTTAACACACAACAACTGTTTCCCTTGAATTTAAAAAAGATTTTCTGAAAAATAAACCATAGCACACACAGAGAAAACAAAATTTGTCATTATAGTAAAAATAACATGCCCATTTGGAGCTTCTTTTGTGCCTATGTTTTTCATTGCTTTGTGCTTTCCCTTGTTTTTCTTTCAAGGAACAGTGATAAACCTTGCTAAATAAAAAGAGTTTTATGAATGCATCTCCCTGCCCAGAAGCACACCTATGATAGCAAATGACAAAGAATAAGGGCGACAGAGCATTACAACTATACAGAAACTGGCACAAATGTGAGAACTTTCCTAGGAGTTTTCAATGAATATATTCCTTGAATACAGTTTAAGAATTACTACTCTTTAAATATTATAATGTTGCTTAAAATATCAATTATATGAATTGGTTATTATGAAGCCTAGGTTTACACGGCACATCAGTCTCGCTTCACTATTGACTATGATAAGATATTATGGTCTTTAATACAAATACCAGACATATACTAAGAAGAACAATTCTGAAGTGAGATTACAATTTTATCAGCAAGTGCATTTTATCTTAAAAGCATAAATATAAGGAGTAAACATTTGTGCTTGTGGTTATTCCACAAAATACTAAGGTATACAAAATTAGATACTGAGCATACTTACAATATTTTCCAAAAATTAAGATGTAGAAGAAGACAGAACCAGATGTCATTTCCTTCTATCTGAGCAACTGATTAATGAAAGTGAGCAAAATTTGGTCTTGGTTTCTGAATCGCATACAGCTCACAGTGGTTGTGTGCTATTTCTGTCTGCAATCTTAGCAGTTACAAAGCAGTCCTCCCTCCTTCCACTCCCATTTCCTTTCTCTGTCTCTTTCCATTCCTCTTTTTTTCTTTCCTCCTTTCTATTCTCAGGATCTCTCCTCCCCGCCCTCCTTCTCTAAATGTCCTAATCTCCTTCTTTACACACACGCACGCGTGCGCGTGCACACACACACACAAAGCTGAAAAGCAATAAAAAGTTTCAGAGAACACATAACGCTATCTACAAACGAGGGCGTATACGAAGTCTGAGAAATGTCTGAACTGATCAAAGACACACTACCAGAAAGAAATTGAGCTAGAGATATCTCATAAGCAAAAACATATTTTTTCCCCTAATGACACAGGAATAGGAAAAGAATGGAATTACACAGGGCAAAATGCCTTTGTGGAATTAACTGTGGGACAGCGATTAAAGTCTAACTACAGCAATCGTTTATAAACTGTTTGAGTTTGGGAATTCGAACAATAGGATATTGTTGAAAGAAGAATACAAAGGAATAAAACAACTTAAAATCCTTTTGAACTTGTGAATTTTGCTACAATGGAGACCATGACATGTCAGTGGATGTCCTGGAGCAAAGCTGGCCTGGGTTTGAATTGTAGGTCCCCTGTGACTTTAGAGTTATGCAGGTGCTGACTCTTGGCTGAGCCTTGCTTTTCTGGAGCAAAATATGTATGCAGCAAGGTAGCTGTGATGGCCAGCACAGGGCATAGTGAGGGGTGTAGGTCCTACTGCATTATAGGTGATTACTAAGTGTCAGTCATTCATATGATGATTTTTATTATTGGACCAGTGGGGGGAAAAGTATGAAAATGCAATGAACATTTCTGTAGACTGCATTTTCTTTTAACCAGACTGGGTCATTCTTATTTTTCAACTTGCTAATGAATTTCTGGAACAAGTGAGTAGTAGCCCTTTGACATGAGGAATTTATTTTTGAGGTTAATGCTCCCTACTCGTAGATATACACGTAGAATCTGCTTGAATTACATATCTGTATATCATTGACTTCAATATAATAAGCCTATTTCTAAATGAGGGCTAAAAGGTTATACTAACACTGCTTCCTCCCTCCATAAATATAATTAATTCCATGAAAGAAGAATTTTAATATAGAAATCTTCACAAACCCTTATTCATTTAGTAGTAGATTTAGTGAAGACACTGTTCTTTTGATGGACATGCTTATGGTTAACTGAATTTAGTCCCATAAAATGTTCACTATTTTTAATAATACTTGAAGTATTTTAAGATTATTATGTGAGTGGTTCATGGATTTTTTTAAATTTATTTAGAAATAGTAGTTTTTTGGAAGGATGCTGTGGAACGTGTCAAGGGCAGTTTCAGAAGGGGGACCCATAAGAAGCTTCTTAATAGTAAAATTGAAGGACTTGCTTTGGGAATTGTCAACAAAAAGTAAGCTGTTGATACAGAGGTCTTCAAAATCATTCTGATGTTATTTTGCAAACTTTGAAACTTTTGCCTGAGCGAATATCACAGATACATACAATTAGTGGGCGGGTAGCCAGGAAGTACTCGTTAACAATGTATTTTTAATCTCTCAAATTATCAGGGCAAAATTTCCAAATCACCTCTCATTTTATTAAGAATCTATTAGGTTTTACTAAAATAGATATTCATCTGAATGAATAATTTTCATGGTTTGTTTTCTCAGGGTGTCACTTCTGTCTTATTTTTGGCAAAGACAGTGAATCTGGCATATTAGTTTTATAGAAGTATTTTGGTGGCAAAACCCAAAAGTGAATATAGCACACCCTGGCCATACATTGAGGCAGGTACTGTTTCTACTATGGGCTGGAGAATTCCTTATTGTGAGAGGCTGTCCTTTACATTGTAGAACGTTTAGTGGCCTCCCTGGCCTCCACCCATTGGATGCCTGTAGCACTCTCCAGTTGCGACAATTAAAGGTGTCTCCAGCCGTTGGCAAATGTTCCTGAAGGACAAAATCGCTCCTGGTTGAGAACCACTGCATTGTAGCAAAAGACTCCCCTCAGTAATGTTTAGGTATTATTATTATTATTATTATTATTTTTACCAGATTACTGAAATAGAATTCTTATTAAGATTTGAATTAAAGTGTGTTTTCTCATTCTCTTGTTTTGCAGTTTGAAGACACATATTAAAGAGTTTTAAAAACAAACAGATGGTGTATGTTCTTAGCCTTCACTTCCTGCCTACATTGTTCAATTATAAACTTGCACTCTGGGCCCAATAGAATCTGTGATGTCAACGCCTCCACTTGGCTGAGCATGTCAGGGGTTTCTGCCCTCGACATAGGCTAATAGAGGCTGATACCCTTTCTTATCTTTGAATCTCTTCTTAAAACCTCGTTGAGGCTCTTTGAATAACAAAACCTTCTATTTGAAAATTACTTCTCGAACCAACCTAGTGAGTCAAACCAAACAAGCATTGTTAACCTGTTTGCACTATACACATCCACAGTAATCTTGCAGCTTTTTCATCCTACCATGACGGAAATAAACCACGACTTTCTTTTTTTCAGCATCATGTTTTAAAACTGGGTAATGACACTTGAGGGCTTCTGTCCACGTTTCTGAACCTATTCATAATCACCATTTTCAACAGTAGAAAAAGCCATTTTATTATGTGTTTTTTTTTATTGTAGACCTGAGAAAGTCCCAGTGCGAGAGGCTGGTAAAACCTCAATAAGAGCTTCATCATGTAGAGATATTCAGATAATAGTAAAACAACCATACGTTAAAAATATTAAGTGCAATCTAAGGGCTAAAATGCATGCTGCCAAATTGTTCATTCTATGCATCCATTTCTAGTTGACAGCTGTCAGTCAGGCAAGACCCTTGAGGAATTCATCACCTCTGTGTAACACCAAAAATACTAGCTGCTTGATTTAGCATTAATTAAACAATTCTGAAATGAAATGACTTTTAGGGAGTGATAGCTAGCAAAATGTGCAACTGGAGCAGACAGTTAGTAGGCACAGGTATTTCAGAAAATATTTTATATAAAATCTAAACAATTTCACCCTAGATGAAAACTGACCAGAAGCTATTGTCATTTTAGCAGAAAATCAACCATTACATTGTAAGCCAAGTGCCATGTGGATTTTTGTGTTGCCCCTTATCTATCCATCTCTCTATCATCTTACACGGTAAGTGCAAACTCTGGGCAGAGCTTAATATTAACTTTATCTTACTTAGTTCCCTTAATTGAACATATTCAAGCTTTAGGTTCATTCTATCTAGACTATCTATCAAGACTGATGGGATAAAATAAGTGATATAGTCTGTTGACTGGGTTAGTGGGTGGGATCTGGAAATTAACCTTGCTGTTTCATGTCTGGTAACATGTCTGCTCCCTAAGCAGCCATCTTCCCTCACAACCTTAAGGCGCATGCTCAGTCACTGTGGTTAAGCCTCAGCTGCTTCAGATTTCTTGACTGCACTTCAGCCACTCTGCTATGATTGGAGCCTTGTCTCTAAGCCCACTCACTTGCCTATCATCTAGCCTGCTTTTCACCCCATGGGATCACCCCATTGGAGATCTGGTGCTCTTTGCCCTATCCTGATAATCTCAATGTTCTCTCCTTTGGGCACTATCTCCTGCTGATGCTTCTTCGTGCTTCATTTGAGACTACCTGATTTATACGGGGGCATTTCCTACATGCTGGAAGACAGAATAAATTAGAAAAGTAAAAGTGGCTTGTTCCAGGAATACCAGTAGAACATTGGGAGTTCTGGTCCCACTTTTGCTCCTAATTAGACATGTAAACTCTGATAAGTCACTTAAAAGCTTTAGTCTTGTTACCTCACTAGTAAAACAAACAGTCAATCTTTTAGCTGCATTATAGCCCTGTCATTTTATGAAATATGATACTCTGCTTTAAGATAATTTATGAATTATGGAAACGGAATGCACATAGCTGATTGTCTGAAATATATATTTTTTCTACATCTATCAATAAATATAAATTGATGCCATGAACATAATGTATTAAAGGAGATATGAGAGATCATCAAGGAGCCTGGTTTGGAGGGCAGGGTAGGGTCAAGTATGGAAGGTTTTTTAGAGAAGGAGAGCTGTGTACTGAGTGTGGAAGACAAAGAAAGACATAGACTGAGAGAGAATAATGGAAACAACATTTCATATCAAAGACAAGTGAGTGCAAATGCTCAGCATGTGCACATAGCAGGTCTGGATGGGTTTATGGCCAGAAAATAACATAATTGGTATTGGAGAGCTATGGAATAATTACTTGTTGGAAAGTGTCAAACATTAGGTTATTTTTTATTTTAAAATTTAAATTTAAATTCATAATCAACATATGGTAATTGTACATACTTATGTTATGTCTCAATGCTTGTATACATTTTATAATGTTCAAATCAGGGTAATTACCTTCTATCACTTTAAACATTTATCATTGCTTTGTCGTGATAACATTCAAAATCTTCTAGTCTCTTCAACTATATCTTCGACTGTACACTGCATTGTTATTTGCTATAGTCACCCTACTGTGTAACAGAAACACCAGAAGTTATTCTCCCTGTCTAAATGTAACTTTGTACTTGTCAACCAACCTCTTCCCAGCCTCTGGTAACCACTATTCTACTCTCTACTTCTGTGAAACAAGCTTCTTTAGATTCCACATATAATATTATGCAGTGTTTGTCTTTCTGTATCTGCCTGAGTTCACATGACATGTTCTCCAGCTTTATCCATTTTGCTGTAAACGACAGGATTTCATTCGTTTTATGGTTGAATAGTATTCCATTGTATCTATCTGTCTATCTATCTATCTATCTATCTATCTATCTATCTATCATCTATCTATCTAGTTTTCTTCAATCATCTGTAGATGGGTTTTTAGATTGAGTCTATACCTTGGCTATTGTGGATGGTGCTGCAATAAACATGGAAGAGCAGATATCTCTTTGACATACTGATTTCTTTTCCTTTGTGTATATCTCCAGTAATGGGATTGCTGGATCCTATGTTAGTTGCATTTTTAATTTCTTGAGGAACCTTCATTCTCTTTTCCACAGTGACTATATAACAATTCCTCATTTAATGCCATTGACAGGTTCTTGGAAACTGTGACTTTAAGTGAAATTGCAAACTGTAAGCCATAGGAAGTTAACTCCTGTTTATATATCAATTAGCCTATGATAAAATTGGTTCTGTTATACAGTATGTCCTTTAACGTAAAGTCACAGTTTCCAATAACTTATTGATGCTATTAAGTGAGGACTTGCTGTACTAATGTACATTCTCACCACCGGTGCCTAAGACTTCCCTGTTCTTCAATTTCTGGGCAAAGGAGTGATATGATCAAAAGGAGACTAACTAAGAAAACTAGTTTCATGACCATATGATACAAAAGATGAGAAAGAGCAGAGACTCTAGGTAAATGAGGCTGTGAGTAACAGAAGTAAGTCAGCTATTACGATTTGTGTGACTGAGAAGGCATGCAAACACAATACATTACCAGAAAGAACATAATCTTAATAGTGGTTAATCATGAACACACTGACATTAGAACAGGGAGGTCCAATAGAAATACAATGTGAGCTACAGATGCAATTTAAAGTTTTCTAGAAGCCATACTTAAAAAGTAAAAAGAAACAGATGAATCAGTTTTAATAATAAATTTTATTTAACTCAGGATATTAAAAATATTACCACTTCAACATGTGATCAATATAAAAATTATTAATGAGATATTTTATTTCTTTTTTTAAACCTTTATTTTAGAATGAAGAGGTATATGTGCAGGCTTGTTACAAAGGTATATTGTGTGATGCTGATGTTTAGCGTGTGAATGAATCCATTGGGAATGTAAATTAGTTCAGCCACTGGAGAGCAATTTGGAGATTTCTCAAATAACTAACAGTTTATTATTTATCTTTAAAATTCAGTATGTATTTTACTATGCAGCACAATTTGGAGCAGCTATATTTCAAGAGCTCAGTAGCTACATGTGGCTGGTTGTTACCCCGATGGATGGTGCAGCTCTAGAGGATGGGGCAAGAGGTTTCAAGATTCCATCATGTTACACTTTATCATATTAAACATAACCATAGCGTGTCCTACATATAAAGATTTATAGAGCTTCAGTAGTTTTTAAACCTGATGGTCGTGTAAAAATAATAGTTTCCATAATTAAGTCAAATTTTAATAAAAACAATGGGGACAACATAAGGTTACCAAACTTAATTTTGTCAAATAAAAACAGTAATAGCAACAATAAAGGCCCTACCATTTATCTTTTACCATCATTTGATAAATGTAAAGACATTTTAATATCACAAAATTAGGAAAGCTATAATGTTCAAACACAGTCCTCTACATAGAATATATTTAGTTTCACTAAAAATGACTAAATTGTCCTTATTTTTCTCATTTCATTGCAGATGAGTAAAAAGTCCCATAGACGCTGTCTGTGGACCATGATTTGGGAACCACTGATCTAGTCCAGGCTCAGGGTCTCTCTGATAGCACAAGTCCTTTAAAATCGTGGTAGGACACAGTAGCTTCAAACAGAATGCATTCTGTTAGCTGTTAACCAATGTTTTGGGTCATGGTCAACGAATCTAGGTACTGCCTTTGTATGTCTCCCTGTTAGCATCTGTTGGAGGCCCTAAGCCTTAGTTTAAAGGCTGCTATCTTGGCTTCTGCTTCAAGACAAGGGGAATAATAGATGGTTTCATGTGCAGAGCTAATCTGCCACATTCCAGGGATTGACACTTGAGGAACAGGGGCTTGTTACCTCTATAATTCCAAGGTTGCCCTGTGGGGCATATTGGATAAAGACTGGGAAGTCAGGATTTCCTCATTTCTTTGGCTCCTTCCAGGTAGCACTAACTTTTGATTTGGGTATAGATTTGGGTGTAGATTTGCAATGCTATGAGAAATATTTTCTTACCTATGGTGAACTTTGCAGAAGAGGCCTCGATTAACAAAGCTGTTTTCTTCCTTTTGCTTTTAGAAGGCTTATCAGTCAGTATAGGTTAGATGATCTGTGGAAAAAATACAACAACCACAGAACCTTAGTTGCTTAAGTCAACAGAAATTTATTTCTCATTTTACATGACCATGATGGTTATCACAAGTCAGTGGAGGGCTCTGATCACCATAGTCTCTCAGGCACCAGGCTGATGGAAATTCTATATTGACACACACATCCATGACTATCAAGGCAGGACACAGGAAACATGGTGAATTCTATCTGGAAGGGACCCACAGCATGTCTGTTTAAATTTCATTGGCCTAACTTCAAAGTGATAGGGAAAGGACAATCCATCCCTGAGCCTGGAAGGAGGAGAGCTAAAAGTATTTTGATGAACATTACTAAGGATAACTTCAGTCTGCCTTTCTGATCTCTAGGCATAATACACTAACCTCTTTTTCAAGAGAGACATTCTAGAAGTTACACCTAGTCACGGTGTCAAGCTCACACTTCGGGATTTCTGGGTGATGCATAGTAGGTGGCTCCTACATGACATCTAGATGTGGATTCTCTTGATTTAATATCTGTGAACTAAAAAGATAAGCTATCTGCCCTGATCTATGTTCCACAGCACAATTTGGAGCAGCTATAAGAGTTACAAATAACTGTAATAACATTCTGATTAGAAAGGAGAAGGCTAGCAAATCCTGCTGGGTAGAACAAGGTAAGGCTCCTTAACCTGAGGATAGGAAATATTCCTTAATTAGGCCCAGAGACTGTTCCCTAGCAGGGGCTGCCCAATTCATCTTTTATTATGGCCCTTTGTCTACACTCTGGAAGATCCTTCCTTTGCATTGATTTGAACTGGCTTCATCTAAAGTGAATATTGCAGAATATGCCTCTTTTGGGTAACAGGATGGGTAAGTACTGAGAAAAATAAAGATTGGCAGAGGAAAAGACAAATGGCAAGCGAATGGGTCATTAACTATTGTACGTTGAATGAGAATATTGTTAGGCTTTATGAACTGGTATATGTGAAGCTTGTGAAGAACATGAAATGTAACTGCTATTATCACAATAGTCATAAATGCACATATTAAAAAATAATTATGTAATTAAGTTTATAATTTTGCTTTGTGAAGACAGATCAATTTTGTCATCTTACTTTCCTCCTGGTGAGATAACACTCTTCAGGCTGTGCTACTGAAATAAAAAGGTGTCAGAATAAGAAATCCTAGTTGTGAAAACAAAAATGTGTCTCCTTTTTCTCATTTAATCTTCCTTTAGAATTACTGGAGTTCAAATTGGAGTTCCTGGAATTTCTAAATGATTTCCCCGGTTAACTGACTA
Organism: Homo sapiens; assembly: GCF_000001405.40. Classification (NCBI taxonomy): domain Eukaryota; kingdom Metazoa; phylum Chordata; class Mammalia; order Primates; family Hominidae; genus Homo; species Homo sapiens. The sequence continues at coordinate 158,513,564 of NC_000004.12, read as the reverse complement.
TTGGTCATGTTTACATGTCATGCAATAGTTACAGGGAATTTCTCGGTGATTGTATTTTCCAGAGACTAACTAAACACAATACATAGTTGGGTCTAGTTGTAAGAACCAAGTGGAGATAGGTTTTGGTAGTTCCTCATTCCTATCATGTTTACTGCTTCCTGTTCACCTTGTGAAATAGGAAGCTGGGTTTTCTCCACAACTTGCCCATCTATAAATATATTCAATAGTCACATATTTGTTAGGGTCAAATATCTTACCAGATCTGCTTTAAGGGTACATAAGAAAACATTTTCTGGGTGAAATATTGTAAGATGTGTGTAAGTGTTGGAACCAAAGGGAGTTGGTGAGGAGGACATAGCAGCTTCAGTCATGGTACAAAGGGCTGAACCATAGAATAAAGACAAGCAGAATCAGGGCAGTAAAAATCAGAAACACCAAGAATCAACAGGGACTTAACAAAAGCTTAGAAGACTATTGGACATTATTGAGCAATAAAGGGAAAAGAAGGGCAGGTGGGAGGAGGATGGGTCTCTAGAAGTGGCTGCTAAATGGGCTGATTTCATGTGCCAGACCACTGTGTTTGAGACTATTTTAACCAGCTGATGGGATACTTTAGACATTGTCTGGTATTGTACTGGGTATTATGCTGGTACTGTTCTGGATGCCCAGTTATTGTCCTAGAAGAAAGGAGCCTTGGATGATGGTGATGCATTAAAAGATTAGAAAGAGCAGAGTTGGAAAGATGATGAATCTAGGTGCACTTTGTCAAATTAGTCAATTGATGGCAAACTCTATTTACTTGCATCTCCATCATGACCATTATTGGATTCGCCATTTTTTCCTTCTGTCCAGTAAACAGTAGCTATTCTTTACCTCCAGCAATTTTCTCATGTTTGTTCATTGTGCCCAAATGCTTCCCAAGTCTCCACACCACAGTAGTAATTTACATCCTTCTGAAAGGCTGGGAGAATTAGTACTCCTAGCATCATTAAAATGAGTTTCTGATCAGGGTTGTTATTAAAACTATGCTTCAACATTAAATAAACAATAAGAAAAAAACCCCTAAAGTCCTAAAAAGTAATCTTGTTACAACAGAATTGTCTTTATCTGTACTAGTCAGTATGCAGCAGAGGAGCTAGTTTTCAGAGAGTTGAACAGCGAGTGGTGGTAAACAAGCACGTGTTGTTCTTTTAAAAAAGTGCTTCAATGAACATAAAAATACACAGAGCTTAAAATCAGTTACAAATAGCTTCTTAGCACACATGTTTAATAATTTGTAGTTTCAAATCTTTGATGAATGAAAAGTATTTCCTTTGGACATTAATTTATACCATAACATTTAGGAAACTAATGTACAGTACTGTTTTTATTGCAATCATCATCTTAATTATTCTCTCATATAGTATGTGTATAGTTTTCCAAGGTAAATGTATTTTTCATTAGATGCTATTTATTAGATTATCGCATAAATGGTGATATAATAAATGGTGCCAATTGGAAATTTTTTAGAATGTGCTCTTATTCTAATAAGAGGTATGCATAAGTGATAGTAAACCATACCCATATACTCATGGATGAATTTAGAAAAAATTAACTTTCTATGCAGTTTGAGTTTGCCTTGGAATTTTTGGAAAATCTATAAACATATGTGAAGTAAATTTTAATTCAGTTGCTTTTTAAAGGTAAAACAGTGTCTTTAATCACATGTTATTCTAAAAAAGAAAACCACATATGTTCTTTGGAAAATTGTCTACAAGCTAAAATAAAAAATAGTTGTGCTTAAACTTTCCAATATGAAGGCAAAAACAGATTCAGTGTAATGATGTTAGACAAATTTTTGACATTTAAAAAATGAATATAATACTATTGTTTACTAAAATTCCTCCAAGAAACATTATGAGGTTCTGATAAGATAAATTTTAGAGCTAGAAGTATGAATGTCTTAATTTTTTCTAATAGTGATTTAAAAGTTGTTTTTGTAAAAATTTTGGTTTTTTTGATTGGACCACTCAGATAGTCTAGACCAGTGGTTCTCATGGTGTGGTCCTGGGAACTGATCAGAAATACAGATTCTCAGGCTGCAACTCCAGGGGCTGAAGCAAAACCCTAGAGTGGGCCCAGGGACACATGGTTTAACAAGCCCTCTAGATGATTCTCATACACGTTCAAGTTTGGGAACCACTGCTCTAGAAGGAGTTGAGATCTTTCTTATCTCATTTATGAGATGAAAAAATAATAAAGAATGTTTGTCTTCAGGCATAGATCTCGCTACTTCTTTAAGTGGCTAAATCCAAGTTGCTAAAGAATAACCATCAGTACTGATCATCAGACAAAAACAATGAGAGTTCCTCCTACAGTGGCCTTTGAAGTTGCACTTTGGAGGACAAACCACAATAGTAATGCAAGGGGGCTTTAGGGGAAAAATGTATTTATTTGATTTCCAGAAAAATGTATTTTGAAAGTCGTTAAAAATTATCGCTGGGTCACGTGCCAGATGCTAAAAAGAAATCAGCATGGTCTAGAAGAAGATGAATCAGTGACCCAAAATTAAGACTGTTTTATCTTTTTAACTGTTTATTGTGGGAAAACATATCCTAGGAATTGGTGAAGTAATTTTAAGAATAAATGTTGTCTTAAACCAGTAACACAGGGAGCAATGGAGGAAAATATGTATGTGTAGAAGAAGAAAATATGTGTTTTTGCATTGTCTATTTTGAGTGGGAACAAGCAGGTCTATTTTAAATAGAATAGTTGAGGACCAGTGATTTTAGAAAGTGGCGCTGGGAAGTCCTAAAGCCAAGCTCCATTGTTGGGACCAAACCTGGGCCTATTACATCTTTAACTCCAAATCAACACTTATTATTAGATTACATTCTCATTTTAATGTGTGAAGCAAATATAATTGTGAAAGTCTCTTGAACAGGACTTTATAGTTATAGGAGCAATGAATTTTGCAGAATGCCATATTGTGTCCTGGTAAAATAGTTAACTGAACTAGTTTATATAAACTACTTTAATCCGGAAATACACATAGTTCTTAAAGAAGCTCTAAGTTAATGTATACCTTCTACTTAACTATTGACAGTTATTTCAATTGTTTCAATAGACTGTGGTTACCAGCTGAACAGATTTTCTTTGTTTAGAAGCAAATTATAGAAGCACTAGTTAAGAATATCTAGTGTATAAGGAGGATCGTCTTTTCTGAGCTCTGAACTTTAAGTTAAATATTTCCCTATGTTATTTAAAAAAGGATTCAGAATTTTGCAGTTAAAAGAAATTGTGTGACACGGAATTTAAGTTGAAATTGTTTACTTTGAAAAGGTAAGAACAAATAAACTGAGGTAGTTTTTTTTTTTTTAACCTTAGGTAAGAAGTGGTTATGAGACAAATGCAAGAAATGTTATATTCCTTGATTTTTCCAAATTAAATTAAATCTGGTTCTCTGTCCATCCACATTCACTTGGCTTTATTCTTCCTTTCATTGTATGGTCCTGGATGTTCATGGTAGTTAACAGAGCTACCACTGCTACTGATTTTTGCTACATGATTGTTAGCGTCAGCATGCGGAGCTCCAGCAATTTCTGGATTGGCCTAGGCATTTTTTTTTTTTAAGAGAAGTTTCTAAAACACAATGAAGTAATTTTTCTCCCTCCCCTAATCAAGTTGAGGTGGAGAACAGAAAGGCTTAGTTACTCTTTAGGACAAGGTGGAGGTGGGGAGAAGCCGAGGAGAGCATTTCACTCTGCCTTTTTTTTAATGTGCAGACATTAAACTGGTTTCGGTGCTGACTGGCTGGAAGGAGAAATCTAAGCAGTAATGAGGCAGTGTTCTGAATATCCTTCCTCACTTATCCTAGTGGTTCTCAGGGGCAGTGATGGGTGTGCTCGTTAGCAGGCTCATTCCACCAATGCAAGAACCAGGCAAGATCAGAGGAGGACACAGATGAGTGGTCTCGCCCACCTGCAAGTGTGGGCTTGAATGGTGTTGCTATGGGACTCTGCGGCACTACGCTTGGCTATGCTCTGACTCTCTCTGCCTAATACTTCATGCCAAGGTACTGGTATGGTTTTTTTAAAAAAATACTCAATTCCAATAATCTGAATTGGCAAATATCTATGGTATAGCATGAAATTTCAGTTTGAGATACAAATTAAAATCTTCTATATCCATTGCCTTGAAAATATTCCACGTATCTTTTTAGGGTTAAAATAAACTGCTGATCAGGAGAATTAACTGCCTTTTTAAATATGAAGAGCAAATATATATTTTTAAATCACTTTATTGAGGTGTGATTGACACGTAAAAAGCTGTACATACTTAGTGTATACAACTCCATGAGTTTGAGGATAAATATATACCCATGAAACCATCACCACCATCATGTCCAAAGGCATATCCAACACCTCCTAAAGTTTTCTCCTATCCCCTTGTTATTGTTATAATAATTATTAATTATTATTATTATTATTCTTGCGGTAATAACACTTAAGAACCTCTTAGAAAATTTTAAGTATACAGTACAGTATTGTTAGCTATAGTTGCCATGCTGCACATTAAATCTCCAGAACTTATCTTGCATAACCGAAACGTTGTAATCTTTGGCCATCACCTCTCCATTTCCCCCACCTTTAACCCCTGGCAACTACCATTCTACTCTCTGCCTCTATGAGTTTGCTTATTTTAGATTCAACATATAAGTAAAGTTTTACAGTATTTGTCTTTCTGTGTTTGGTTTATTTCACTTAGCATAATGTCCTCTAGTTCTATCCACGTGATAGCAAATGGCAGGATTTTTTTTCTTTTTTCCTTTTTTTTTTTTAAGGCAGAGTCTTGCTCTGTTGCCTAGGCTGGAGTGCTGTGGCATGATCTTGGCTCACTGGCTCACTGCAACCTCTGCCTCCTGGGTTCAAGTGATTCTTGTGCCTCAGCCTTCCAAATAGCTGGGATTATAGGAGTTCATCACCATGCTCAGCTAATTTTTTTTTTTTTTTGTATTTTTAGTACAGATGGGGTTTTGCCATGTTGGCCAGGCTGGTCTCGAACTCCTGACCTCAAGTGATCTGTCCACCTCGCCTCCCAAATAAGACTTTCTTCTTTTTTAAGGCTGAATAATATTCCATTACATGTATAGTCCATATTTTCTCTATTCATTCATTTGCCAATAGACATTTAGGTTGTTTTCATATCTTGGCTATTTGTGAATGATACTGCAATGAATATGGGAGTTCAGGTATCTCTTCTACATACTGATTTCATTTCTTTTGTATAAATATCCAGAAGTGGGATTGCTGGATCATATGGTAGTTCTATTTAAAAAGTTTTAGGGAACCTCCATACTGTTTTTTTTGTAATGGCTGTGCCAATTTACATTTCCACCAACAGTGTGTCAGCGTTCCCTTTTCTTCACATACTCTTCAACATGGATCTTTCCTTTTTTTTTTTTTTTAATGATAGCCATCTTAACAAGCGTGATGTGGTATCTCATTGTGGCCTTGATTTGCATTTACCTGATGATTAGTGATGTTGAATACTTTTTAATATCCCTGTTGACCATTTGTGTGTATCCTTTTGAGAAATGTCTATTCAAGTTCTTTACCCTCTTTTTATATTTAGTTATTGTTTTCTTGATATTGAGTTGTTTGAGTTTCTTATATGTTTTGGATATTATCTCCCATTCAGATATACCGTTTATAAATATTTTCTCCCATTCTGTAAGTTGCCTTTTCATTTCATTCATTATTTCCTTTTTTTAATTATTATTATACTTTAAGTTTTAGGGTACATGTGCACAATGTGCAGGTTAGTTACATATGTATACATGTGCCATGCTGGTGTGCTGCACCCACTAACTCGTCATCTAGCATTAGGTATATCTCCCAGTGCTATGCCTCCCCCCTCCCCCCACCCCACAACAGTCCCCAGAGTGTGATGTTCCCCTTCCTGTGTCCATGTCATTATATCCTTTATGTGAAAAGGGTTTTTAGTTTGATGTAGTCTTATTTGTTTATTTTTGCTTTTGTTGGTGCTTTTAGTGTCATACCCCAAATTATCATTGCCAAGACCAATATCAAAGCACTTTCCCCTATGTTTTCTTGTAGAAGTTTTACAGTTTTATGTCTTATGATTAAGTCTCTAACCCATTTTGTATATGGTCTAATATACGTCCAATTTCATTTCTTTTGCAGGTGAATGTTTAGTTTCCTCAACACCAATTATTGAAGAGACTATCCTTTCTTTGTTTTGTAGTCTTGATGCCCTTGTCAAAAGTTAGTTGACTATATATGCTTGGGTTTTTCTCTGAGCTCTCTATTCTGTTTCACTGATATATGTATCTGTTTTTATGCCAGTACCATACTATTTTGATTACTATAACTTTGTAATATAATTTGAAATCAGAAAATGTGATGCCTCCAACTCTGTTCCTCTTGTTCAAGGTTGCTTTTGCTATTCAGGGCCTTTGGTGGTTCCATAAGAATTTTAGGATTGTTCTATTTCTATGAAAAATGCCACTAGAATTTTGATAGGGATTGCACTGAATTTGTAGATTGCTTTCAGCAGTATGAACATTTTAACAATACTGATTTTTCTAATCCTCTAATCAATGAACACAGAATATCTATTTATTTGCATCTTCTTCAACTTCTTTCTTTCTTTTTTCTTTTTTTTTTTTTGAGACAGAGTCTCACTCTTTCGCCCAGGCTGGAGTGCAGTGGCACTATCTCGGTTCACTGCAACCTTGCAACCTCTGCCTCCCAGGTTCAAGCAATTCTCCTGCCTCAGCCTCCTGAGTAGTTGGGATTACAGGCGTGTGTCACCATGCCCAGCTAATTTTTTTGTATTTTTAGTAGAGATGGGAGTCTCACCATGTTGGCCAGCCTGGTCTTGAACTCCTGATCTCAGGTTATCTGCCCGCCTCAGCCTACCAAAGTGCTGGGATTACAGACGTGAGCCACTGCACCTGGCCTTCAATTTCTTTCATCAATGTTTTGTACTTTTCAGTGTGCACTTCTTTTTTTACCTCCTTGGCTGAATTTATTTCTAAGTATTTTATTTTTTGATGCTACTGTAAATCGGATTGATTTCATCATTTCTCTTTTGGATAGTTTGTTGTTTGTTTATATACATGTTCTGACTTGTATATTGGTTTCATATTTTACAACTTTAAATTTATTATTTCGAACTGCTTTTTAGTGGAGTCTTTAGACTTTCCTATATATAAGATCATGCCATCTGCAAACAAAGACAATTTTACCTCTTTCTTTCTAATTTGGATGCCTTTCATTTCTTTTTCTTGCCTAATTGTTCTGTCTAGGACTTACAGTACTACGTTGAATAGAAGTGGCAAGAGTTGGTATTTTTGTCTTGTTTCTGATCTTAGAGGAAAAGCTTTCTGTTGCTCACTGTTGAGTATGATGTTAGCTGAGGGCTTATCATATATGGTCATTATTATATTGAGTTGCATTCCTTCTATCACTAATTTTTTTACAAGATTTGAAAATCATGAAATAATGTTGAATTTTATCAAATGCTTTTTCTGTATCTAGTGAGATGATTATATGATTTTTATCCTTCATTCTGTGAATGTGGTGTATTATATTTACCAGCTTGCATATATTGAACCATCCTTGTATCCCTGAGATAAAGCCTATTTGATCATGGTGTATGAACCTTTTAATGTGCTTTTGTATTTGGTTTGCTAGTATTTTTAATTTTTAATATTTATGGGTAAATAGTGGGTGTATATTGTTATGGGTCACATGAGATATTTTGATACAAGCATATAATGTGTAATAGTCACATCAAGGTAAGTCAGGTATGCATCACCTCAAGCAATTACCCTTTCTTTGTGTTACAAACAATCCAGTTATACTTTTAGTTATTTTAAAATGTACAATGTTATTGTTGACTATGGTCACCCTGTTGTGCTATCAAATACTATATCTTATTCCTTCTTTTTTTTTTTTTTTTTTTTGAGACGGAGTCTCGCTCTGTCGCCCAGGCTGGAGTGCAGTGGCGCGATCTCGGCTCACTGCAAGCTCCGCCTCCCGGGTTCACGCCATTCTCCTGCCTCAGCCTCCCGAGTAGCTGGGACTACAGGCGCCCGCTACCACGCCCGGCTAATTTTTTGTATTTTTAGTAGAGACGGGGTTTCACCGTGTTAGCCAGGATGGTCTCGATCTCCTGACCTCGTGATCCGCCCGCCTCGGCCTCCCAAAGTGCTGGGATTACAGGCGTGAGTCAAATACTATATCTTATTCCTTCTAATAATATTTTTGTATGCATTAACCATCCTCTCTTCCTCCTGTCCTCCTCCAATCTTCCCAGCCTCTGGTAACCATCATTCCACTCTCTATCTCTATGAGTTCAGTTGTTTGAAATTTTTTAGTTCCCACAAATAAGTGAGAACATTCAAAGTTTCACTCTGTGCCTGGCTTATTTCACTTAACATAGTGATCTCCAGTTCTATCCATGTTGTTGCAAATGATAGGATCTCATTCTTTTTTATGACTGAATAGTACTCCATTTTACATATGTATATTTTCTTTATCCATTTGTCTGATGATGGGCACTCAGGTTGTTTCCAAATCTTGGCTATTATAAATAATGCTGCAATAAACATGGGAGTGCAGATATCTCTTTGATATACTTCTTTCTTTCTTTTGGGTATATATACAGTAGTGGGATTGTTGGATCATGTGATAGCTCTATTTTTAGTTTGTTTTGAGTAATCCCCATGCATTCTCCATAGTGGCTGCACTAATTTAGCTTCCTACTAACAGTGGAAGAGAGTTCCCTTTTCTCCACATCCTCACCAGCATTCATTATTGCCTTTTGGGTAAAAGCCATTTTAACCAAGGTGATATGATATCTCATTGTAGTTTTGATTTACCTTTCTTTGATGATCAGTGGTGTTGTGCACCTTTTCATATATGTGTTTGCTACTGGTATGTCTTCTTTTGAGAAATGTCTGTTCAGATCTTTTGCCCATTTTTAAATTGGATTATAAGATATTTTTTCCTAGAGAGTTATTTTAGCTCCTTATATATTTTGGTAATTAATCCCTTGTCAGGTAGGTAGTTTGCAAATACTTTCTCCCATTCTGTGGGCTGTCCCTTCATTTCCTTGATTATTTTCTTCACTGTACAGACACTTTTTAAGTTGATGTGATTACATTTGTCCATTTTTGCTAGAGTTGTCAGTATTTTGTTGAGGATTTTTGCATCTATGTTTATCAGGGATATTCTTTCATATTTTTTTTTCTTGTAGTGTCTTTGTCTGGCTTTGCTATCAGGGTAATGTTGGCCTCATAGTGACTTTGGAAGTGCTCTTTCTTCTTCAATTTTTTGGGAAGAGTTTGATAAGGATTGGTTTAATTTTCCTTAAATATTTGGCAGAATTCACCAGTGAAGCCATCAGGTCCTTGGCTTTTCTTTGTTGGGAAGTTTTTAATCACTGACTTAAAGTCCTTACTTAGTATGGTCTGTTCAGATTTTCTGTTTCTTCATGAGTCAGTCTTTGTAGGTGCTATGGTTTCAATATTTGTCTCTTTCAAAACTCATGTTGAAACTTTATCCCCAGTGTGGCAATATTAAGAGGCTGGGCCTTAAAAAAGTGATTGGATGATGAGGACTCTGTCTTTGTGAATGGATTAATCTACTAATGGATTAATGGATTAATGGGTTATCATGGGAGTGGGACTGGTGGCTTTATAAGAAGAAGAGAGATTGGACCTAGCATGCTCAGCACCCTGGTCATGTGATGCGCTGTACTGCTTCAGAATTCTGCAGAGTCCCCACCATGGAGACTTTCATCAGATGCACCCCCTTGATCCTGGACTTCTCAGCCTCCATAATGGTAGAAAATAAATTCCTATTCTTTCTAAATTACCCAGTTTCAGATATTCTATTATAAACAACAGAAAACAAACTAAGATAGTCAGCTGTATGTTTCTAGGAATTTCTTCATTTCTTTTAGGTTATCCAACTTGTTGGAATATAATTTTCATAGTAGTCTCTTATGATCCTTTGTATTTCTGTGATATCAGTTGTTATATCTCCCTTATCTATAATTTTATTTATGTGAGTCTTTTCTCTGTTTTTATTACTCTCAGTTTTGTTGATATTTTCTTTTGTTCTTCTAGTATCTATTTCATTTATTTCTGTTCTAATCTTTATCTTCTTCCTTCTGCTAACTTTGGGCTTAGGTGTAAAGTTAGGTTGTTCATTAGAGATCTTTCTTTTTTTCTGAATGTAGGTGTTTATTACTATAAACTTCCCTCTTAGATTTGCTTTAGCTGCATTCCATAAGTTTTGATATCTGTATATTTCCATTTTCCTCAAGATATTTATGTCCATTTTGATTTCTTCTTTGATCCATTGGTTGTTTAAGAGTGCATTGTTTAATTTCCACATATTTGTGAATTTCCTAATTTTCCTCCTGGTATTGATTTCTAGTTTCATACTGTTGTGGTCATAAAAGGTACTTGATATTATTTGTCTTATTAAATTTGTTAAGACTTGTTTTGTGGCCTAACGTATGATCTATCTTGGAGGATGCTCTGTGGGTGTCTGAAAAGAATGTGTATTCTACTGCTACTGGATGGAATGTTCTGAATATGTCTGTTAGGTCCATTTGGTCTATAGTTTGTTCATGAAAGTGAGGTACTAAAGTCCCCTACCATTATTGCATTGCTGTCTATATCTCCTTTCAGTTACATTAATATTTGCTTTATATATTTAGGTGCTCTGATATTTGGTGCATAAATATTTGTAATTGTTATATCCTCTTGATAAGAGGATACTTTTATAATTATATAATGACCCTCTTGTCTCTTGCGACAGTTTTTGATGTAGAGCCTATTTTGTCTGATGTATAGCCATCCATTCTCTCTTCTGATTACAATTTGCATAGAATGTCTTTTTCCAGCCCTTCACTTTTAGCCCGTGTGTGTCCCTAAAGTCAAGAAGTGAGTTTCTTGAAAGGCAGCATATAGATGGATCTGAAATAAAATATTTTAAAATCTCTTTTGGCCCTAGAGAATCCATTAGCACATAGCCTCACCAATCTATTAGCGCACAGCTTTTGCAGTGCTCCAGAGGCACAGAATTCTAGCAGATGCACATGCATGGGAGTTCAGGGAGACCTACTGGTAGTATAAACTAAGCATGTCAAGGATTCCCTCTCTTACCACTCCTATTCAATGTGGTATTGGAAGTTCTAGCCAGGGCAATCAGGCAAGAGAAAGAAATAAAGGGTATTCAGATAGGAAGAGAGGAAGTCAAATTGTCTCTGTTTGCAGATGACATGATTGTATATTTAGAAAACCCCATCATCTCAGCCCAAAATCTCCTTAAGCTGATAAACAACTTCAGCAAAGTCTCAGGATACAAAATCAATGTGAGAAAATCACAAGCATTCCTATACACCAATAATAGACAAACAGAGAGCCAAATCATGAGTGAACTCCCTCTCACAATTGCTACAAAGAGAATAAAATACCTAGGAGTACAACTTACAAGGAATGTGAAGAACCTCTTCAAGGAGAACTACAAACCACTGCCCAAGGGAATAAGAGAGGACACAAACAAATGGAAGAACATTCCATGCTCATGGATAGGAAGAATCAATATTGTGAAAATGGCCATACTGCCCAAGTAATTTATAGATTCAATGCTATCCCCTTCAAGCTACCATGGACTTTCTTCACAGAATTAGAAAAAACTACTTTAAATTTCACATGCAACCAAAAAAGAGCCCACATAGCCAAGACAATCCTAAGCAAAAAGAACAAAGCTGGAGGCATCACACTACTTGACTTCAAACTATATTACAACGCTACAGTAACCAAAACAGCATGGTACTGGTGCCAAAACAGATATATAGACCAATGGAACAGAGCAGAGGCCTCAGAAATAACACCACACATCTACAACCATCTGATCTTTGACAAACCTGACAAAAACAAGCAATGGGCAAAGGATTCCCTATTTAATAAATGGTGCTGGGAAAACTGGCTAGCCATACGCAGAAAATAGAAACTGGATCCCTTCCTTACACTTTATACAAAAATTAACTCAAGATGGATTAAAGACTTAAAAGTAAGACCTAAAACCATAAAAACCATGGAAGAAAACCTAGGCAATACCATTCTGGACATAGGCATGGGCAAAGACTTCATGACTAAAACACCAAAAGCAATGGCAACAAAAGCCAAAATACACAAATGGGATCTAATCAACCTAAAGAGCTTCTGCATAGCAAAAGAAACTATCATTACAGTGAACAGGCAACCTACAGAATGGGAGAACATTTTTGCAGTCTATCCATCTGACAAAGGTCTAATATTCAGAATCTACAAAGAACTTAAACAAATTTACAAGAAAAAAACAAACAACCCCATCAAAAAGTGGGAGAGAAAGATATGAACAAACATTTCTCAAAAGAAGACATTTATGCAACCAACAAACATATGAAAAAAAGCTCATCATCACTGGTCATTAGAAAAATGCAAATCAAAACCACAATGAGATACCATCTCATTAGAATGGCAATCATTAAAAAGTCAGGAAACAACAGATGCTGGAGAGGATGTGGAGAAATAGGAACACTTTTACACTGTTGCTGGGAGTGTAAATTAGTTCAACCAGTGTGGAAGACGGTGTGGCGATTCCTCAAGGATCTAGAACCAGAAATATCATTTGACCCAGCAATCCCATCACTGGGCATATACCCAAAGGGTTATAAATCATTCTACTATAAAGACACATGCACACATATATTTGTTGCAGCACTATTTACAATAGTAAAGACTTGGAACCAACCGAAATGCCCATCAAGGATAGACTGGATAAAGAAAATGTGGCACATATACACCATGGAATACTATGCAGCCATAAAAAAGGATGAATTCATGTCCTTTGCAGGGACATGGATGGAGCTGGAAGCCATCATTCTCAGCAAACTCAAGACAGAAAACCAAACACCGCATGTTCTCACTCTTAAGTCAGAGTTGAACAATGAGAACACGTGGACACAGGGAGGGGAACATCACACACTGGGGCCTGTCGGGGGGTGGGGGACTAGGGGAGGGATAGCAGGAGAGATACCTAAGGTAGATGATGGGTCGATGGGTGCAGCAAACCACCATGGCACATGTATACCTATGTAACAACCCTGCACATTATGCACATGTACCCCAGAACTTAAAATATAATAAAACAAAACAAACAAAAAACTAAGCAAGTTGAGTGTCAAACTAAGTGCAGTGCAAACAGGCTGAGAGGCTCGCTTTCTATTTGAACACGAATTGCTTTGAAAGTGGGCAGTGTCCTTCTAAACCAATGACATACATAGGTACCCTAGCATATCCCTTGTTACTCCTTTCTCCTTTTTATACTAGCTAAACATTTACACTGAAAATGATGACAAAGAGGGAAAGTGAAAAGTAGGATTATTCATAGTTTCTTGTTTTTTCAAACCTTCCTTATTTATCTGTAGAGAATATTGGTACGATGTGATGTATTAAGAAGTGAAATAAGAACAGTTGAGTTAGTTTTGCATAGTGTTTCCATTGTTTTGCTAAGAACAAAATGTGTATTGACGTGTGAGCTATGAAATACAAATCAAGTAATTGTGGTCATTTTGTATAAGTTAAATATTCCTATATTTGCATTTAAAATTTGCACTGTACAATACATAGATGAACAGCAAAATTCATTTTAATAATTTAAAATTTTAATTTTTCTTTACCTAGAACAACATTATAGTGCAAATAAAAAACACTGTGACAAGTTGAACAATGAGAACACGCGGACACAGGGACGGGAACATCACACACTGGGTCCTGTCGGGCGGTGGGGAACACTGTGAGGGAGAGCATTAGAACAAATACCTAATGCATGTGGGGCTTAAAAACCTAGAAGACGGGTTGATGAGTGCAGCAAACCACCATGGCACATGTATACCTATGTAACAAACCTGCAAGTTCTGCACATGTATCCCAGAACATAAAGTAAAATAAAATAAAATAAAAAAGAAAAAAAAATTACCTCCAGTTTCTAATTCAATAAAAAAACCCCACTGTGACAGAGAGAGAGAGAAAAAGAGAGAGAGAAGAAATGAAAAAGCTTTATATTTTCATACCTTTAAAAAATGCTTTCCCCTGCTTTTTGAAAAAGGAGTCCCAAATTTTCATTTTGCGCTTGACCCTGTAAATTATGTAGCTTGCCCTGCACCTGTACCAACATTAAGCTGTGCGCAGATGTCAATTTTCCTTTCTCCTTTCTTGGCTCTTACGAGTCAGTACAGGAATGAGGATACGACAGCCACTTTGAAAATCTTGCTCTCCCCAGCAGAATTCACTGAAGACAAATCTTTGAAAAATGCATCAGTTCACAAGCTATTTGATTTCAGAGACCATCTTCTACCTGAACTGTTTAATACACAGATGCTTTTCCTATTGTGAAATTGATGTACTTGTTATATCTGCATCTCAGAAAGTAGAATTTAATATTTTAAAATGTAAATCAAGTGTTGTTATGAATCTCTGAAAGTAAAAGTATAAAATACTTTGCTTAAGGTTGAGGTATCATCTTGTCTGATAGTTTATTTATAGAAAGTATTAAACATGGCCTAAATATAAAAAGTAAGGAAACAAGTCTATTTTCAATAATGTAATATCCTATAACTCTGAGAAATAATGTATTTTATTGGAGATGAGTGTGTAGCATTATGTTAAAATGTTTGAAATAACTTTTGTTGTTTTTATTCAAATTGGCTAGGAAAGAAGAGTTCATTTTCCTCAGTAAAAGTTTATTGCCTAACTGCCTTAGGACATTATGTTTTACAGCATTTGGCTTATAATAAAGACCTTTGAATTGTCCAGTGTGGTAGGCTTTTAGCAATTATTGACAACTGCTGCATTTGCTCCTGTCTAGCATTATAGATTATAGAATAAAATGAAATGCTTATATTACATAAATAATAACTTTTAGTCAGAAAACTCACTAATAAGTATAAATGTCAGTGACTAACGCTTTTAGTTACTTTACTGTTCAGTTACCTATGTTTTTGCCTCCTCCTTTTTTTCTGCATTCTTCGATAGCACTCTGCCTTTATTGTTATTGGTCGTACCGGGAAACAAATGGTAATATATTTGCTCACTTGTTCATTTAGTTATTAAATCAAAAATGTCTTTGAACTACTTGAATGTAATGTATTTTTGGAACAAGGAAAGGTAAAAATGGAATTTAAAAATTGCAGATTGTCTCCAATAGCAGTCAATCAGTTAATCATCTGACAATTACTTTATGTTCGTTATGTTGCAAGCACTGGGATTCAGGGTTCCTGCTCACAGCGAACTTTCTCGTTCATGTGGGAAATACACCCGTATGGGTGGTTGAGCTAAGTGATTAGAGAAGGCCCTTCTGAGGGTTAATATTTGATCTCTACCCTGAGTGACAGAATGGGGCATTCTCCTATTTGAAAACTTGCCTTCTCTTGGATCCAGTCTTGCGTCTTTCTGCTTCTGCTCTCTGACTGCCAGCTCTTTCTCAGGCTCCCTTTTGGCAACTAATTGTCTTTATGTGTATGAACATTTATATATTTTATATTTTATGTGTATGGACATATTCTTTTTTTTTTTTTTGAGACGGAGTGTCACTCTGTCACCTAGGCTGGAGTGCAGTGGTGCGATCTCGGCTCACTGCGACCTCTGCCTCCCGGGTTCAAGCGATTCTCCTGCCTCAGCCTCCTGAGTAGCTAGGATTACAGGTGTATGCCACCACGCCCGGCTAATTTTTGTATTTTTAGTAGAGAAGGGGTTTCACCATGTTGGTCAGGCTGTTCTTGAACTCCTGACCTCGTTATCCGCCCGACTCGGCCTCCCAAAGTGCTGTGATTACAGGCGTGAGCCACCGCTCCCGGCCGTATGGATGGACATATTCTTCAGAGAATGTTTCCTGGATATTTTCGTTTCTCAATCTAGATCTCTGGTTCAAAACCTTTTTGGGTAATGAATTTTTGAGAACATGGAGAAAGATACAGGCCTTCTCTCCTGAGGAAAAGAACATGCTCACAAAAATCTCATGAAATTTCGGGGATTAAAGGATGCTTCTGAAGATCACTCATGGTACCCACAGGAGTTTGTGGATCCCAAGTTGAGCACCTCTCTTTTACTTGCTCTTTTTGGTCATTTTCAACCATACCTGTGACATTGGCCATCCCGAGAACTCCAAAATCTGTGTTTCAACCCAGCTTTAGTTGTGTATACCTGACTGCATTCTAGACATTTCCACTGCAATTCCTAAAGGCACTTTGATTCAGTGTATCCAAAAGGAATACACATATTCCCCCAATCATCACCATTCCTTCCTTTTCTTTCCATCTTCTGCCTCCTCCGACATGCCCAGTCTTGGTGAACAGCAGCACCCATAACTGAGCTGCACAGTTCAGAGTCCTGGAGGTCAACCGGCACTTCTCCCTCTCTCCGTCCTTTTGGAATCCAACGTCCTTTCTATTCCAAGAAGCTGCCACATCTTTCCCTCATTAGCAATGCCCTGCAATCCCACTCTCATTGCCTTTATTCGTGCCTTTTAGTTTCTTTTTTGGATATTCTCAGAGAGTTAAAGTGGGACAGAAATCTTGAAGAATATGGTAAATGCTTAGAAAGACTATTCAGAACAATGGGTGAGTTTGCTGATTTGGAATTGCTGACTAGCACTGTGGGTCCAGTCAGTTCTCATTAAGAGGAAATCCCTCCTTTTTGTAGCAAATCCCTCATGAAATAGCAAGGATTAAAAAGTCATTACTGCATAATAGTTTTTTCCTCCTAATTCAAAGACAGTAAGTTTCTCACTGCCTTTTCATTGACCAATTAAACAGGTTCACTTCCTTTATTTTCCATATTTTTCATCTGTATTGCTATCTTTTGTAGTCTTTCAATATTTTCCTCATATATTTTAATGTTTAATTCAAACCAGATGTTGGATCCTGATAATTTAGTCAATTCAGCAATTATATATTCTTTTCGAGATCTTATGGTAGAAGGGAATTAGGGAATGCTGATTAGATTTATACATAACACAATTCAGCAAAGCAATTTAAAGCACTATAACAGAATATAATAAAATGCTGAGATGCATATTTTTTTCACGCATCAATGTCTGGCATTGAGAAGAGTAGAAAAAAGTAAGACTATGCAGATCAGTGATTTTTGGAGTTTCAGGAAAGTCTTAATAAGAAACTATTATGGCAGCTGAAAGAATGTCCAGCCAAGGAGACTCCTTTTACAGTGATTCTTCCACCTGTGCTTTAGCTTCAGCTGTGCTCTAAGGCGCCCCCTTGAGGGAGAACCTGTGCTCGATTTTCCCCTAGGTGGAATGAAATCTGGGCTCCTACCTATCACGTCAACAAGAGCAGTTGTGGTTTCATTTGTTTTATATATATGTGTCTTCTCTATAAGACTGTGTTTATATTATAAAGATTGTATTTATATATAAGATTTTATTTAACACAGCATTTCAGGAAAGAAAAATAAGAAAATCATCATTATGGACGATGAATAAGGTTACTCTCCACACACACACAAAATATTTCTTTTGATGGTTTGAATTCTTCTGTCAAATGTCAAAATGTTAAAATTTCATTACAGATAGCATTATTTGTGTTTACTATATGACTGCATGCTGTGCCTGTCTTCAAGTTCTAAGCTTACAAGATTTTGGGTATCAAATGAAAAATTCATAGCTTTAATTTTGCAGAATCATATACATTGGTAGTGAAAGAAAACCCAAGGAGGTATCAGGCCAGCTTTCTGATTTTGGAGAGTGAGTTATGGATATTTATATTAATATTTTATGGATGTCATATGTGAGACTCAAAAAAGAAACTTATCCAAGATGTATTATGACAAGAAGTGCTAGTAAAAATTAGATATTTCACGTAGATTTGTGTAGATTTTTCATTTCTCAGAACATATCCTCATCATCAAGTGAAGTATGACTGTATATGCATTTGTTGATCATTGGTAAATTTTGTTTCACAGTTTGATATTAGCAACAATATTGGTATAACTATCTTTTTATTGTCTACATCAGGGATTATCTGTTTTTGCAGAAATCGTATCATTGTTTTCCCCTAAATTTTTTGAATCATTGGCCCATCAATTGCTAAGAAAGGAGTGTTAAAATCTCCAAGTATGATCCTGGAATTGTCTATTGCTCCAGTAATTCTCATTTTTTTCTTTATATATTTTAAAGTCTGTATTAGGTACATACATATTTATGATTGTTATATCTTCCTGATTTATTGGTTCTTTTAGCATTATGAAATGTCCCTCTTTATTCCAGTAATACTCTTTGTCTTGAAGTCTACCTTATCTCATACTAATATAAACACTCTAGCCTTTCTCATGCCTATAGTTTGCATGGCATTTTTCTCCCAGCTATTTAATTTCAATCTATCAGCATCTTTATATTTAAAGTGCATCTTCTTTTTTTGTTTTGTTTAGATTTTTTGAGACAGGATCGCATACCGTCACCCAAGCTGAAGTGCAATGGTGCGAACATGGCTCACTGCAGCCTAGACCGACTGAGCTATGCAGTCTTCCCACCTCAGCCACCCGAATAGGTGGGACTATAGGTGTGTGCCACTACACCCAGCTAATTTATGTTTATTTTTATTTTTTAGAGACTAGGTCTCACTATGTTGCCCAGCCTGGTCTCGAGCTCCTAAGCTCAAGTGATCCTTCCGCCTCGGTCTCCCAAAGTGCTAAGATTACCAGCATGAGCCACTGTGCCCAGCCTGCATCTTCTTGAGATAACATGTTTGGGTGTTTAAAAAATTCATTCTGACAATCTCTATCTTTTAATTGGGGTGTTTAGTCCAACAACAGCTAATAGAATTACTGGCATGTTTACAATTAGGTCTACCATTTTACTATCTGTTTTCTGTTGTCCCCTCTGCTTCTTTGCTCCTATATTCCACCTTTCTTGCTTCCTTTTAGATTAATTGAATATTTTTAAACTATATTTTATTTATTAGATTTTCAGAGTTTTTTGCATTAGTTTCAATGGTTGCTCATGGAGTTACAATACACATTCTTAACTTCTCAGTCTACTTAGAGTTAATATTGTATGACTCCATGAAAAATGGAGAAACTTTGCGACTCCATAGGTCCATTTATTATAATTTTCATATGTATATGTATTTATTCTATAAACCACACAAAAGAATATTACAGTTTTTGCTTTGAAACCATATGCATTTTAAAGAAATTAGGAGAAAACAATATTCTCTTATATTGACCTAGATGTTTATAGATTCTCATGATTTTTATCAGGTATGATTTTTCTTCAGCCAAAAGAGCTTCTTTTTTTTTTTTTTTTTTTTTTTGAGACGGAGTCTCACGAAAGAGCTTCTTTAACATTAGTTTTATTGCAGAGCTGCTGGTGATGAACCCTGCTAGTTTTATTTTTATCTGGACATGTCTTTATTTTCATTCTTAAAAAATATTGAATCATTGTTCAAATTTGTTCAAATAATTGTTCAAATATGCTGTTCTTTTCCTGGCTGTTTTCAAGATTTTCTCTTTACTTTTTGGTTCTGTGGTTTGAATATGGTATGCCTAGATGCGGTTATCTTAAATTCACACTGCTTAGGGTTTTCTGCGCTTCTTGAATCTGTAAACATGTCCTCCCTAAAATTTGGGAGCTATTCATCCATTATGTCACCAAATATTTTTTTCTGTCCCACTTTCTGCTTCTAGGATCGATCATAATTTCCCATGTGTGAGATCTTTTGATATGTCCCTCACACTGTTTGAAAGTTCCCTAAGAAGTCTAGCTGGTTACCAACACCTTCAAATTAGAGCATTTATCTAGAAACACCAGTTGAAATTAATATTTCCCTTTTTGCTCTGGATATTAGAAAGCTGCAAAAACAATATTAAGGCTCAATCACAGAAAATATGTGAAACATACTTGACTCCTTTCCACACTTAAATTTTCAGTTTCCATTTTATTAACCCCATAATATTATTTTGTTACTATTACTATTTTGTTACTATTTTGCAAGCCATCTTTGTTTTGGAAGAGCCATAGTATAAAAAGTATGTAACATACAGTAAATGCCTATGAAGAAAATGAAAGCCTCCCCTCAAAAACCTACAGAAAATAATTCCGAATTGCCCAATTAATAAAAATCCATGAGTGCTATAGTTCAGGTGTGTCTTCCCCTCCAAATCTCATGTTGAAATTTGATCCCCAATATAGGAGATCAAATGAGAGGTGTTTGGGGCATGGAGGTGGATCCCTCATGAATATTAATACCCTCTCTAAGGGTAGGGGTGAGTGAGTTCTCAGTCTATTAGCTCCTGCAAGAACTGATTGTTAAAAAGAACCGGACACCTCCCCACTCTCTCTCTTGCTTCCTCTCTTGCTTGGGATCTCTGTGCATTGCCAGTCACCCTCCGCCATAAGTGGAAGGAGCCTGAAGCCCTCGCCAGAAGCAGATGCTTGTGCCATGCTTCTTGCTCTGCCTGCAGAACCATGAGCCAAATAAACCTCTTTTCTTTATAAATTACCCAGCTTTAGGTATTTCTTTAAAAGAACATACTAAATGAACTAAGACAGTGAGAATCTCACCAAAATTAAAATACAGTTAAATATTCATCTAAGGAGCATTATATGCATTAAAATATTACATTTACTATGTTAGATAAGAGATTAGCAAGCTTTAATCCTG
The DNA here is from genome assembly GCF_000001405.40 of Homo sapiens. Taxonomy (NCBI): domain Eukaryota; kingdom Metazoa; phylum Chordata; class Mammalia; order Primates; family Hominidae; genus Homo; species Homo sapiens. The sequence goes on along the minus strand of NC_000004.12, from coordinate 158,492,822 downwards.
GCCTTGAAAGAATTTAAAATTAAGAGAAACTTAAAATATACATATACAATAATTTTGTAATAAATTTATATAAACAACCAATTTGTAATATAAAGCATGGTGACCTTTGTTTTTATAAATAGGAAGCAAAGCTCTGTTGAGTCCAGAGAAGAAATGATGAGGAACTGGCATTTGAGGTGGATCTGAAATAATGTGTAAGATTTGGACAGATGGAGAAGTCAACAAGTCACATGGTGACCTATATTATGAAGTTAGCAGAATCTGAGGATTGGGAGCTGACCAAGAATGTGGAGTGGGTTGTTAAGTTAGCAGAGAATATGACTAAAATAGAGAAAGAAGAATTAAAGAGCTATGCTGCACTGAATATCAGGAACAACCTCACAGTAGATGGGTAGCAGAGAGCTTAAAATCTTGGAATCTGAGCTAAGTTGAAGATTAAATGGCACCATCTCTTATGAATGTGCTGTTATAGTGGGTATTGTTGTTGGTGGGGTATGTATGTGTACAGTTATAAGAAAGAAGACTAGACAAATGCTGTTGGTAATATACTTAGTACTCCAGCTGGCTTTTATTTGCCCCTAGTACTACATAACGCTCCTCCAGTGCACCAAATGGAACAGTCTCAGTAACTTCTGTTGGATAGTCAATTTTGGTTGCAGCTAAGGTAAAGAAGAAAGAAGAAAGGAGAGAGAGAGAGAGAGAGAGAGAGAGAGAGAGAGAGAGAGAAAGACAAAGAAAGAAAGAAAGAAAGAAAAAAAGAAATAAAGTTAGACAAATAGGTTGGGAGTAGATTGTTGCAGACTTCATTACTTTTTTAAAATATATTTTTAATTTATATAAAAAATAAAATGCGTATGTTGATAATCAAAAAATAGCTAAGGGCTTAGGATGAAATGTTCTCAGTTATATCTCTTTTCTTTTTCTTTTTCTTTTTTTTTGAGACGGAGTTTCACTCTTGTTGCCCAGGCTGGAGTGCAATGGCATGATCTTGGCTCACTGCAACCTCCACCTTCTGAGTTTAAGTGATTCTCCTGTCTCAGCCTCCCAAGTAGCTGGGATTACAGGCGCCTGCCACCATACCCAGCTAATTTTTGTATTTTTAGTAGAGACAGGGTTTCACCATATTGGCCAGGCTGGTCTTGAACTCTTGACCTCAGGTGATCCCCCTGCCTCACCCTCCCAAAGTGTTGTGATTACAGGTGTGAGCCACCGTGCCCGGCCTATATCTCTTTCAATTATCTACTTCCTCTATTGCAGAGATAGCTGTTTTTATTTTTTAAATTTTATTTATTTTTTGAGATTGCTATTTTTAAATTTTTCTTCTAGCAGTTTCAACCTACCACCATATACTATGCACATATTACTTAATTTAAACATGATCTATTAGTTTCTGCTATGATAGATAAAATTTAGCATACTTTTTCAAAACTTACTAAATTTCCTTTCCCCATACCAATATCATAATTAGTATACTTCTATTCCTCTTAATAAATTTCAATAATTTTTAAAATTCTTGTTCCATGAACTATGTGCAATAAATCTTGAATCCTCACATTCTAATGTGACTTAACTTCACCTTTTCTTTCTTTCATTCACCAAAATTTGTACATTTTAACTTTCACTTTAAATTGTTAAGGTTGATAAGATATAAATTCTATTTGGTAATCCTATTTCTTTTGGATTTTTGTCTAGTAATTGACAATGAATTTTGCAAGTCAGTAAATATATACTGTGCATTTTGTTATTGCTGTGCAATTGCTTTTGCTCTGGCTATCAGTATTGTATGATTATGTTGTCTTTTAAGCATCTTTTAATTTTTTATGAAGATTTTATTTACATTCCAAATTTATTGCACTGACTTTTTATTACATTCTGAAGTTCTTAGTAACTTCTCAAGAATAATATCACATCTTTAATTTTTTTTCAGTTAGCTTCTTCCTGGAATCCTGAATCTTCCTGCTACAGGATTTAGAGTGAGTTTATACCTATTATATTACTTCATATAATTTTAAGAGATCATGATAAAGAATGAAGATAAATACTTGTGGCTACTCTTCTATTTTGACCTTTGTAATTCCTTGACTGTTACTGAAGGAACAGGATGCTTGCTAGAAGCTAAATCCAACCTAGCTTCTTTTTGGATATCTCAGGCTTCTCAAACTTTGTATTTATGAAACACACTTCATTTATCTACCCAGCTCCTAGCCCAACCTTCACCTCTTTAAAATGCAAATGTTTTGGAAGAGCCTGTATAGCCAAGACAATCCTAAGCAGTAAGAAGAAAGCTGGAGTCACCTCACTACCTGACTTCAAACTATATTACAAGGCTACAGTAACCAAAACAGCATGGTACTGGTACCAAAACAGATATATAGACCAATGGAACAGAACAGAGGCCTCAGAAATAACACCACACATCTACGACCATCTGATCTTTGACAAACCTACAAAAACAAGCAATGGGGAAAGAATTCCCTATCTAATAAATGGTGCTGGGAAAAATGCCTAGCCATATGCAGAGAATAGAAATTGGACCCCTTCCTTACACCTTATACAAAAATTAACTCAAGATGGATTAAAGACTTAAATGTAAAACTCAAAACCATAAAACCCTAGAAAAAAACTTAGGCAATACCATTCAGGACATAGGCATGGGGCAAAGACTTAATGACTAAAACACTAAAAGCAATTGCAACAAAAGCCAAAATTGACAAATGGGATCTAATTACACTAAAGAGCTTCTGCACAGCAAAAGAAACTATCATCAGAGTAAACAGACAACCTACAGAATGGGAGAAAATTTTTGCAAGCTACTCATCTGACAAAGGTCTAATATCCAGAATCTACAAGGAAATTCAACAAATTTACAAGAAAAAAACAAAAAACCCAATCAAAAAGTGGGCAAAGGATATGAACAGGCACTTCTCAAAAGAAGACATTTACGCAACCAACAAATATATGAAAAAAAGCTCATCATCATGGTCATTAGAGGAAAGCAAATCAGAACCACAATGAGATACCATCTCATTAGAATGGTGATTATTAAAAAGTCAGGAAACAACAGATGCTGGCAAGGTTGTGGAGGAATAGGAATGCTTTTACACTGTTGATGGGAATGTAAATTAGTTCAACCATTGTGGAAGACAGTGTGGCAATTCCTCAAGGATCTAGAACCAGAAATATCATTTGACCCAGTAATCCCATTACTGAGTATATACCCAAAGGATTATAAATCATTCTACTATGAAGACACATACACACATATATGTATTGCAGCACTATTTATGATAGCAAAGACTTGGAACCAACCGAAATGCCCATCAATCATAGACTGGATAAAGAAAATGTGGCACATACACACCATGGAATACTATGCAGCCATAAAAAAGAATGAGTTCATGTCCTTTGCAGAGACATGTATAAAGCTGGAAGCCATCATTCTCAGCAAACTAACACAGGAAGAGAAAACCAACACTGCATGTTCTCACTCATAAGTGGAAGTTGAACAATGAGAACATATGAACACAGGGAGCGGAACATCACACACCAGGGCCTGTCAGGGGTTGGGGAGCAAGGGGAGGGAGAACATTAGGACAAATACCTAATGCATGCAGGGCTTAAAACCTAGAGGACGGTTGATAGATGCAGTAAACCACCATGGCACATGTATATCTATGTAACAAACCTGCACATTCTGCACATGTATCCCAGAAGTTAAAGTAAAATTAAAAATAAATAAATAAAATATAATAGAAAAAGAAAAAATGCAAATGTTTTGGAATGGATTAAATTTCTCTGAATGTCAAGCTGCTTTCTTTTTGTTTTGTGTTTTTTTCTTTTTTTTTTCCTTTTTTCTTTTTTTTTTTTTTGAGACACAATCTCCCTCTGTCACCCAGGCTGGAGTGCAGGGGCTCCATCTTGGCTCACTGCAACTTCTGCCTCCTGGGTTCAAGTGATTCTCCTGCCTCAGCCTCCCAAGTATCTGGGACTACAGGTACGTACCACCACCTCTGGCTAATTTTTGTATTTTTCGTAGAGAAGGGATTTCACCATGTTGTCCAGGTTAGTTTCAAATTCCTGGGCTCAAGTGATTTTCCTTGCCCTCCCAAGGTGCTGGGATCACAGGCATGAGCCACTGTACTGGCCTCAAACTGCTTTCTTAAGCCTTTTTCTCATCTTACTTTTATAAAGCCTTAGGTAAATCACATCAGTATCCTAGTTTCAGTTACCATCCATTTGCCATTAAGTCCTGAGTTTATATCTCCAGCTAAGATCTCTCTTTTGAGCTCCATACTTACCTACCAGAAACATCCTCTCTCAGTCTCACCAGCACCCTGACATCAGCATGCATAGAGCGCATCATCATCTTTCCTCCCGATTCTGCTCCTCTTGTGGTCCTTGCCACATGGCTTGCCTAAGCCAAGAATCTGGGAATCACTCTTGACTCCTTTCTTTTTCTCACTTCCTCCATCTCACCAATAGTTAATTGCTATCAAATCTATCATAAAGCTTTCTCAATTTCATTCCATTTCCTAATCCCCACTGTCAGTATGTTAGCTGATGCCACCATCTGAATTATTTCAGCACCTTCCCAATTAGTTTCTTTGACTCTCTTTACCTCTGCCATGGACACCTGGTTTTCTCCATTGCTCTGATCATCTTTTAGGAGATTTTCCTTTAGGAAAATAGAAAAGAGCCACAGATGCTCTTGCTATGTACTTTTACATCATCCCAAGCATTTCCTATTCATAACAGTATCTTATTTTGTTGAATAATGTTTTTCTGCATCCTATTCTATGAACTAATTAAAGCTGTGTCTATCTTACCCAATGTTGTATTTCTTGTGCCTAGCACAATGTCTGAAGCATAGCAGAGGCTTAATATATGTTTTTGAGTGTTGAACAATTGAATGAATGTCATGCTTAGTATTTCTTTAGAAGCTCTTTTCCCATTTTGATCTTTCCGGCATATAAATATCAAATCAATTTAATCACATCCCAAGAGGCAGCTTTGACTATACATGTCTCATTTGGTTATTAAAACATCCATTTTCCTCAATTTCACTTTTTAATGGAATTTTATCTTTCAATGCTTGTAAAACATTTTGTACTCTCATTTTTCTGCTTCCTACTTAGGATGTCTATGAATATGTACCATTTGCTGTTCTCCAGGGCCTCTGGTTTCTCAGTACTCTTTTGTAGTAATTAAGCTATGTTTTTTAATTCAAGGAGACAAGTGTTCATTTAGAAATATAATAAAAGGTTTTATCTGCTAAGGCAAATGTAATTGAATAGAGACAAAAATGTTGTAAATATACCTGACAATTCAGGATATACATTAGTGAGCCTCTTAACCCTTGAATAAGTATCCTAATCAAGCATATCCTAAATACTTACCATTTAAATTCTAAAACAGGAACTGCCTTGGCCATGAATTTAATACACTGAATCACAAATATGTGATGTCATAGTGACCAAGTCATTTAATGACTCTTTACATAGTGATAAAAGATTCAATTTTTTAGTGATAAAACATTCAATTTTTGAAGAGTTCATTGGAGCAAGTAGCAATTAATGAATTAGATAGCTCCAGACCACAGGTGGTTTGGGGCTTCAGTGAAGGAGTGTGGGGGGAAGGCTTTTATAAGGTGAACGTAGAAGCAAGGCAAAGAAAATGTTAGATTAAAGTGGAGCAGTTGCCTCAAAATCCGTAGTTAGAGGTTTGTTGGCAGTTTCTACTTGGTAAAACTAAGTTTCATTTTCCTAGGATAGGACTATTCATGCTGAATTGGGTTTTGGCTTGCTTAGTGGCCTAGTTTGTTTAGTAGGAAGGATGGAAGCACAAATAATACAAGAGAATATATGTGATAAAGAGGTAGAGAAGATGACAGTTGATGGAATTTCTACAAAATAAGCCTTGTTTTTATTCCAAAGTAGGAGGCAAAGGCCTTTGGTTAGATCTAGGGGTTGAAGAGAATGTCAGACAGGGTCTTTTATCTTTATAGTACTTAGCATTGTACTTGGCTGTTATGAATTAAATTGTCCCTTGCACCCCAAATTCATTTGCTGAAGTCATAACCACCAGTCCCTCACCATGTTGCCCAGAATATGACTATATTTGAAAATATGTCATTGCAGATGTAATTAGTTAAGATGAGGTCACACTGGAGTAGGGTGGGCCCTTAAACCAACATGTCTAGTGTACTTATAAAAAAGGGAAGTTTGGACACAGACATACAAAAAAGAAAGATGGTATGAAGAAACATAGAAAGAAAATGATCAAGCCAAGGAGACAGACCTGGAACAAATCCTCTCTTCATAGCCCTTGGTAGGAGTCAACCTTGCTAGCACATTGATCTTGGATTTTTAGCCTTCAGAACTGTGAGACAATAAATATCTGTTGTCTAAGCCTCTTAGGTCTAGGCAATCCTAGGTATACTGGCCATGATAGTAGGAAGTCAATACTTGGTGAATTAATAAATGGATAAATGAGTAAATAAATGCATGATTAAGTGGGGTGGGACTAGGGGAAGACTCTCAGGGTTGAGGAGAACAAGAAAAATTTTGGTCAGTTTTTAAGTTATCTCAAAACTTTGAAATAGTTCTTGGAGTTCAGTGGTGCTTTGGAGATAACGGTAAATTTGAAATTCAAATGAAGATACATGGAAGGAAGGTGATAAATTAGTGGTTTAGAAGTGATGAGATGGAGCAAGGCAAGAATAAACTTCTTTTCCTGCCCCACTGAATTAAAGGAGAATTAGAAAAGGTGAACCTTTAACAATGTGAGCAATTGAGGATATGGTACAAAAAATTTTCATTATCTGCTGTTCTAGACCTCATGTACATTGACAGTCTTTGAAGTGCTCAGCAAGATCTCTTTTAAGCTACCAGTGTCCATAAAATAGTTGATGTCACGTCAGGAGCCCAAGGATGTGTGTGCATGCTAATGTTTTCCACTTTGATAATTCTGGCATTTTTTTGAATAGGTTCTTCGGATATTTTCCTATTATCTACCTTGATAAAATGAATGTTTTCAGATGTCCTTCCTCACCTCTCCTTAGGTGCTTTGAACACGCAGTGATATGCTGTAGAAGCCAAGAAGAAAATGCAAATGCCTTCCAGGTAATGAATGTCAGAATTTAGTCATTATGTTTGAAAGATGTGTTTTATAGGCAATATCTATACACATGAACAACACAGGTGAAGATGAGGGCACTGCCTTGCTCTTAAAGATAACACAATATTAAAAAATAAGACACTCGGCTAGACATTTATTTTTTGTTATATACACACATTGATTCCCATAGGAAATATTTATAAAATGATGTTGCCTCTTAGAAAAGCAGACACCCGGTGATCACACTGCAGAAAGGATCCTTTGTGCATCATGATAGTCTCAGGGAGGTCAGTGGGCCCTGCAGTACAGTGCTCCTTGAGTTTTGAAGAGTCCCCAGGCTAGATTCCCAAACACCTGGAGCTGTGGCTCTTTACTGGGTTTGGATTCTTATTTTTGGAAAAAGTTTCCCATTTCTTCCACTTGCAGTTCTTCCACTACAATTTTTATGCTTCTAGTGCTTTAGAGTTAACTTCAAAATTATCTATTAAAGTCACACGCCTATCCAGGTGGATCATAGAGAGTACATGTGTTAGTGGGTGACTTTTAATGGTGAGCTCATTAGCTTGGGTGGTAGGTAATCTATGAGAAGATTATAGAGTTTCTGTCCCACTGCTTATGTGGGTGCAAGTAATTAACATGGTTTTCCTGCTCTAGGAAGTTGTAGGGGAGCAAAATGTGCCACTCCAAAATGTGTTACCTTGGCATAAAGATTATTTTGAGTTGGAGGCAAATAAGAAACAACAGATGAAGAAAGAAACCTTTCCAGAGCTTCTCTTATTTAACTAAAAGCAGAAATTTCTGAGAAATGAGAACCACCATAAATCATCTCTCCTGTGGAAGTTTTATGACCACAAAAAAGATGGAAAGTCAGTCCTGAGATGGACCCGCATAAACAAATCTTACTCTGTTTCCCACACATAGTTACCTTCCCACAGTTTGCCACCTTTGGAAGCCTAAAACCCTTTTCCTTTGTCTTGTCCCTTCTCTATAAATTTCTTTTTCTTTGCTAAGAGGCTATATAAGCTGAAGTTCTAACCACAACTTTGAGTTACTCATCAATGAGGTTTCTTCCATGTGATGTGCACTACACACATTCATAAACTGTTTATTTTTCTCTTGTGAATGTGTCTTTTGTCAGTCTAATACTCAGGGTTCCAGCCAATGTACCTAAGATGGGTATAAGAAATTTCCTCCCATCCAAAGTCATCTAAACCTATTTCTTCTTCTGCAGAACTTGTTGAGCTACTAAAACACATCTTTAACAAGCGGGATAAGGAGAAATATGACACACCACCCAAGCCAGGCAACTGCCTTCTCTCTAAGACTTTCTCTCAGTTCCATGTTGCTATTCAACCTCCCACTAAGTCATGTTCCGCGGTTAACTTCTTTTTTAAGCTCTCCTAACTGAACTGTGAGCTTCTGATTTGTAGCTTCTTCTCCTGGAGTAGGCTTGTGCTTATTTCCCACCTGTATTTGTCTTTCTAATCAGGATAATGCTGTTTGCCTTAGCCAGTTCCATGAGCTCAACCTACAGTCTCTTAGGGAAGGTGTTATTATAAATTCCAAAGGACTTACCAAATGACTAGACACACATGAAACACTGAAGAAATATAAAATGGTGCAGGCATAATTAGTTGATGGGGACTGTCTTACCATTACACACTGACTGAACTCCAGTTATATTAAAATAGTTAAGAGTTTGGCAACCAGATGGGGCAATCAGGCCATTTGAGAACCAAAGTAAACCTGGTGAGAAACAAATGGATTGTTTCTAAATATCAGTTTATTAATGTTATTAATGTTTATCATTTTAGCTAACATTTGTTGAGTACCTGCTCTGTGCCAAACACCAGAGCTAAATGCTTTACATTTAACGGTAATTATGGGGATGATATTATTATCTCTATTTCTTAGATGAGGAAATTAAAGCTTGGAGAAATTAAACAAGATGCTCCAAGTCACAGAACTTAAATGGCACATAAGTGGTTGGGATTTGAACCTGCATCTGTCTAAATTTACAGTATGTGGTCTTGACAAGGGAGATACTCTTTGTTGTTATGTTTGGGAAGTGGTGGGCCCAACTGCTCTCAGAGAGAAAACATTGTCAGAGAGCAGCGTTGCTCAGAGGATTCTGCCAGTAATTGTCTCTAAAAACAGTCTCTTTATACCCAGTAATGGGACTGCTGGGTCAAATGGTATTTCTGGTTCTAGATCCTTGAGGAATCACCACACTGTCTTCCACAATGGTTGAACTAATTTACACTCCCACCAACAGTGTAAAAACATTCCTATTTCCCCACATCCTTGCCAGCATCTGTTGTTTCCAGGCTTTTTAATGATCGCCATTCTAACTGGCATGAGATGGTATCTCATTATGGTTTTCATTTGCATTTTTCTAATGACCAGTGATGATGAGCTTTTATTCATAAGTTTGTTGGCCACATAAATGTCTTCTTTTGAGAAGTGTCTATTCATATCCATTGCCCACTTTTTGATGGGTTTGTTTTTTTTCTCGTAAACTTGTTTAAGTTCCTTGTAGATTCTGGATATTAGGCCCTTGTCAGATAGATTGCAAAAATTTTCTCCTATTCTGTAGGTTATCTATTCACTCTGATGATAGTTTACTTTGCTGAGCAGAAGCTCTTTAGTTTAATTAGATCCCATTGGTCAATTTTGTCTTTTGTTGCAATTGCTTTTAGTGTTTTAGTCATGAAGTCTTTGCCCATGCCTATAAATCATTCTACTATAAAGACACATGCACACATGTGTTTATTGCAGCACTATTTATAATAGCAAAGACTTGGAACCAACCCAAACCCCCATCAATGATAGACTGGATAAAGAAAATGTGGCACATATACACCATGGAATACTATGCAGCCATAAAAAGAATGAGTTCATGTCCTTTGCAGGGACATGGATGAAGCTGGAAACCATCATCCTCAGCAGACTAACACAGGAAAAGAAAACCAAACACTGCATGTTCTCACTCATAAGTGGGAGCTGAACAATGAGAACACGTGGACACAGGGAGGGGAACATCACACACTGGGGCCTGTCACGGGGTGGGGGGATAGGGGAGGGAGAGCATTAGGACAAATACTTAATGCACGCGGAGCTTAAAACCTAGATGACGGGTTGATAGGTGCAGCAAACCACCATGGCACATGTATACTTATGTAACAAACTGGCACATTCAGCACATGTATCCTAGAACTTAAAGTAAAATAACAAAATAAAAAGAAATAAACAGAAAAAAGAAAATGGGCACAAAGAAACTCTGGAAGATAATGGAAAAAAAATCTCTTTCTTCAGCTTGGTCTTCAGCCTTCACTTAACACTGCACCACATTCTTAGAAATGTTTCTTATAAAGTTGTTTAGGTTGATTCTCCTTGTTCCATGTTCTTTTCACAGGTTATGACACCAGTTTGATCTGAGGGAGTGATCTTTGCCTTACCACTCCTGCTCCGTAAGAATAAAGGGACATCAGAAGTTTCCTTCTGCAATGACTGCATAACCTACCCCTGTCCCCATAAAGGGTATAAACTCAGATGACCTTAGTTATTATTCCCATGGTGATTTTAGAAAGAGTTTATGTGTTCATATGCAAGTGTGCATACACATTGGAACAGCAAAGATAAAACATGATACATTGTTGTTAACCTTCAAGTCTCTTTATATCCTTTAGTAATTGCACAAGAGGGCCAGAGTCACATGTGAAACTAATTGCAGAAGATCATATTGAGTAGCATACCCACTAAAATGCTGTTATGAGTTTACATTATTTGCTAAAAGATTGAATATGAGAAAAAATTCTGATTTTTACACATTATTTCCAAAAGGAGTCAACTCCATTTTAAAAATGCTACTGTTTGGGGAGGGGGGTCTCCTTATTTCAATGAAATGACTATCTGAAAAGTACACATATTGTTTTGTTTATAAAAATCTCTGGTGTGTTTTGTTTGTCCTTTTCTAACCACTTCACTTAGCAAATTGGTTTTTGCCCAGATGTTTTATACATGCTGTATTATTTGACTATCTGTTGTCTTTGACACATTGTTTTTCTGAGTTTTATTTATTTTTAAAAAGTTGTCTCTCAGTGAGTTGCTCATTTTACTACTTATACAGATACTCATGCTGTATGTGAAATAAAGACCATTTGTTGTTTTTTAAAAGATCAGTGTATTTCTGTCTGAGAAACGTTCCCAGCTTCTATATAATATGTGTTTTCATGTACAGCTGTCAGTCCTGGGTGATGGATTGCAATGAAAATTGGTCAGTACAAAATGGCACAAGTGACCAGAGAGCTTGGTGGATGTGGCACAGAGAGGAGAGCGTCAGGTCACAAGTTGGAGAAAGCCAAGTGAGTTAACATTGCAAGATGAGAAAAGCAAGTACCTAAATTCAGAGGATGAAGCTGACATCAGAGTCAAGAGATAGTGACATCAGGGGTATAGGCTCATGGAGAGACTACTGAAGAGTTACAGCAGAGGTTTGGAGGGGGTGGTACAATTCAGACAGAAAGATCAAGGAACGGAATCTAACAGAGCAAGAATATGGAAACGTGAGAGTTTGAGAGTCTAGTAACAGGTGATGGGTCCGTAACTGTGTCTTAGAAGAATATAATTCCTCATCTCTGGAAAAAGGAAGGATGATGTCTGAGAGTTGGGTAGTACTTCCTAGACTAGAGAAAGGCATACCACTGAGGTGTTTTGGGTAAATTGTCTCAACAAGGGGAAGGTTAAGCTCTCCTGGAATATTGACTTCTTTTTTTTTTTAATTTTTTGAGACGGGGTCTCGCTCTGTCGCCCGGGCTGGAGTGCAGTGGCGCAATCTCGGCTCAGTGTCAGCTCCGCCTCCCGGGTTCACACCATTCTCCTGCCTCAGCCTCCCAAGTAGCTGGGACTACAGGTATCCGTCACCACGCCCGGCTAATTTTTTGTATTTTTAGTAGAGACGGGGTTTCACTGTGTTAGCCAGGATAATCTCGATCTCCTGACCTCGTGATCTGCCCGCCTCGGCCTCCCAAAGTGCTGGGATTACAGGTGTGAGCCAGTGCACTCAGCCGGAATATTGACTTCTTGACTGGCATATTCTGAGTAATAATGATATAATCCTTGTAGTTGGTAAGGCTTACTTGGAAATTATGACATAAAGTAAGTACTAAATGACAGTCTTGTTTGGTTACCAGATACCAGCTAAATTGGCCATGCTCAGGAGTCTCGGCTATCAATATGTGCCCATCTTCCAAATAGCATTATTGGGTTTTGCTTTTCAATAATCTTAAAATGCATCTCTGCTGTAAATAAAGAGGAAATTATGAAATGATTTTAGACATTCGAGTTTGAGGCTAGTATTCTTATGAAAATAAGCAATCCATTTTCCCAATACGACCCATTCCTGCTCAGCAGTCATAGCCCTTGCTGTGACAGAAAACTCCAATTTCTATGGCAAGATAAGAGTTTCTAAGCACTTGCTAAGGTCAGTAACATGATTCATGGAAGCAAAACTGGAAATTCTTGGAAAGGCTAGGTGCTGGTTTATGCAGCTGGTCTGATGACAGGCACAGAAGATAGCTCAGAAAGGCAGACTTTGGAACAGTACATGTGGATCTTTCCACAAACATGAATCGTTCTTGGAAAGTTTATTCAGTTTATTGGACATGGTAGTCTCCTTCCCTATCAGGGATGAATGCTTCCATTGACCGATGTCAAAAGACTAAATCCCACCATTAGTTTCAGAAATCTCAAAGAACAGAGCTTTAAAAGAGGTATAAGTGTTTTCTTCTTTTAAGAGATATTTGAAACTCTGGCAAGGGTCTTGAACTATAATTTGTATAAACTGGGATGCATTCATGGAAAAAGAGGCTGTTGTGCAAACTACTGGGATTCAGGGATACTGACATAAAAATGAGTAAAATTAGACTTTACTTCTCCTTCTCCTGCTGATTGAATTTACTTGATGCCCTTCGATGAGTCATGGAATGTCTTTGTATCTCAACTTTTTCCTTTGAAAATGTGAATAAGGTTGATATACAGTATAAATAAGAGTTTGTTTATAGTCCATGGCTCTTTGGATATTTTGTATATATACTTGTAACACTGCCTGTATTCCAGATAAATTCCTCAATAAATCAGATTTTGGAAAAATCCAACAAGAAGACGGCAAACCCTATCTATTTTTTGTTTGAAGCTGATTCATGACAGAAAAATGAGGTTTGATATTCATTGCCTTTTCTTCTCCCTCAAATACCAATTTTTTGGAACAAAATAGAATTGCTGCTTCTTTCAAGTTATTTTTTTCAAGAAGAATTTGAACTTGCTCATTGCATTTTATTCTAAAGAAATTGTGCTTTTAAAAGCCCTCTCCCTATATATTTTACAAGCAAATTGTTTTGACATTGAATTTGTTAACTTTTTAATTTTAAAGTAATTGACTCTGAGACCCCTCTCTCAATTTAAACTAAGAATATAAAATTTCTCAAAAATTATCCTGAATAAAATTGATAATAAAGGGTTTTATAGAACTTGCCTCAGTTTACCAATAAAACTCTAATTCAGATTCTGTTGTTAATTTCAGAATGAGGAGATAGTAGAAAACAAGGCGACACTTATTGCCAAGAGAGATCTTTAAGTTACATCATTTATTGATTGGATTATTTTACATGTGTAATGAGATTCTTGATTCTAATTACATATACCTTAAAATTATTTAATTAAATGTGAAGTTGGATTTCAAACTTGTTTGCTTAATGGAAACACCGGAGGAACTTACAATTGGTGCATATACAGGTCTTTCCTCCAGATATCCTGATTCAACTGATCTGGGTTTGGCTTTGGCATCAAGAGTTTTAAGAGTTCATCATGTGATCTTAATAGTGCAGCCACTGGTCTACAGATGGGACATGATTGGGAATCAAAAAACATCGGCTTCAATAATAATCCTCATTAAATAGAAGGTACCTGAGGATAAGGCAGGAGGCAGAAGCCAAACACTACATCTACCATACTACCTCTAGCTAAGATGAAGCTTCAAGATGATAGATTAGGTTTTTTTATTCTTCTTATCTAGAAGATCTGACCTTGCAAAATATTGTTTTGGATTGGCAGTGATGAAATTGTCATAGCTTCTGGAGGGGTTATCTAATTCTCTAATGTGTACATTTTCTGTATTATAGTAATAATGGATAGAAACAAGTCGTTGGCCTTTTAAAATCAGTTTTTTGGCAACAGCAGCACAATGTAATAAAAAATAAAAGCATCTTCTAAGGCTCCAGTGTAATTTCTCTTTCAAAAGCTTTGAGACCAATTTTTCTTGTAAGTATAATGAAAAACCTTGCTTTGTCATGAGTATTGAATACTTAAAAGGGTCTGAACAGAATTTGAAAAATTTCTAGAGAAAGCTGAATTGACTTTTATATAAGCATACTCACTCAGAAAATACACTAGCCAATGACATGTCTAAATATTTCATTCTCTAATAAAAATATGAACTGCTACCCTAGGAAATGAAATAGGAAAGACAGCATAAATAAGTGTTTCAATGATTACAAATACCATCTAGGTGCTGTGTCCTGTGTGTACCTTGGTGATTGTTATCTCACCTTCTAGTCTTCCCGCATGTAACCAAGTAAGATGATCACTACTAGTTCCCAGGTTGGAGAAATTTGAAGTTTAGAGTGAACTGTGATGAAGGTTAGCTCTGGAAGTGATGCTGACACCTTCTGATACAAAATTTATCTCTAAGTTCCTTTAGAAGCTCAGAAAACCTCACCAGGATAACTTTTCAATTTTTCTTTGGCTGACAATTAAAAGAAAACATTTTTCTAATTATGCAATTTGGAAATGATTCCAATTGATTCCAATATCATCAAACACTTTTCATATTGAGTGGACTTGATAAAAGATTACATTAATTCATGTAATAAAATAGAAAAACTATAATTGAAATCTGAATGAGGGAAGACATACAATAATGCAAGATGGGGAAAAACGAGTTTAAAATATGCAGGTCATGGTGTTCTACACAGTTACTAAAGTTGAGCAACAGATTTGGTTCTAAGTTTCCTGGTTTTCAAAGAAAAAAGGGCACAAGAAAAAGATTACATATTTTTATGTCATCTCTGAAAAGAAAACACACTAGTTCTCAGGGAAAAATTCACATTGTTCTCAGAAAGACAGACAAGAATAAACTCCTCAAAAATCATTATCGGAGAGAGGAGGGCTGAACTGTTCTATGCCCTCCTCAGTCAGTAAATTCCTTAAATATTTAGAGTCTGCTACTTCTGTCAACAACTTTGAGAAAGCTGAATATCAATTTATGCTGGCTCAGTGGATCCAAAGTATGCTATCAAGTCTTTTCATAGAGACTTCATCATTAACCAAGTCTGAAGAGATGTGTGAGGGGCTGTGTTTATGCAAACCCACCAATTCTCAAATAGTGTCACTACTATTGTTATATAACACTGTTATATCTCTCATTTGGATTCATTCCTGAAACCAAAGTGATATCCACATTAACCAATTGGATCCATGGATCCATGTTGCTTTTAATTTATACAGAAGTTATAGACTGTTCAGGGTGAAATTAAGACGGGTTCTTGTCTCTACCACTGTCTCAGAATCTCCTATGGAAAACGTATAAAAATCCTGGGGCTGTGTGTGATTTCACAAAGTCAGAATATCTGAGAGGTGAAGGTCTAGCATCAATATTTTAAAAAAGTTTTGCAGGTGATTTTGAAGCAACGTCAGAATTGAAAATAACTGCAGTGTATGTGTCGAGGAATTTATCCATTTCTTCTAGATTTTCTAGTTTATTTGCGTAGAGGTGTTTGTAGTATTCTCTGATGGTAGTTTGTATTTCTGTGGGATCCATGGTGATATCCCCTTTATCATTTTTTATTGCGTCTATTTGATTCTTCTCTCTTTTTTTCTTTATTAGTCTTGCTAGCGGTCTATCTATTTTGTTGATCCTTTCAAAAAACCAGCTCCTGGATTCATTAATTTTTTGAAGGGTTTTTTGTGTCTCTATTTCCTTCAGTTCTGCTCTGATTTTAGTTATTTCTTGCCTTCTGCTAGCTTTTGAATGTGTTTGCTCTTGCTTTTCTAGTTCTTTTAATTGTGATGTTAGGGTGTCAATTTTGGATCTTTCCTGCTTTCTCTTGTGGGCATTTAGTGCTATAAATTTCCCTCTACACACTGCTTTAAATGTGTCCCAGAGATTCTGGTATGTTGTGTCTTTGTTCTCATTGGTTTCAAAGAACATCTTTATTTTTGCCTTCATTTCGTTATGTACCCAGTAGTCATTCAGGAGCAGGTTGTTCAGTTTCCATGTAGTTGAGCGGTTTTGAGTGAGATTCTTAATCCTGAGTTCTAGTTTGATTGCACTGTGATCTGCGAGATAGTTTGTTATAATTTCTGTTCTTTTACATTTGCTGAGGAGAGCTTTACTTCCAAGTATGTGGTCAATTTTGGAACAGGTGTGGTGTGGTGCTGAAAAAAATGTATATTCTGTTGATTTGGGGTAGAGAGTTCTGTAGACTAAACCAGGAAGAAGTTGAATCTCTGAATAGACCAATAACAGGATCTGAAATTGTGGCACTAATCAACAGCTTACCAAAAAGAGTCCAGGACCAGATGGATTCACAGCCGAATTCTACCAGAGGTACAAGGAGGAACTGGTACCATTCCTTCTGAAACTATTCCAATCAATAGAAAAAGAGGGAATCCTCCCTAACTCATTTTATGAGGCCAGCATCATTTGGATACCAAAGACGGGCAGAGACACAACCAAAAAAGAGAATTTTAGACCAATATCCTTGATGAACATTGATGCAAAAATCCTCAATAAAATACTGGCAAAACGAATCCAGCAGCGCATCAAAAAGCTTATCCACCATGATCAAGTGGGCTTCATCCCTGGGATGCAAGGCTGGTTCAATATACACAAATCAATAAATGTAATCCAGCGTATAAACAGAGCCAAAGACAAAAACCACATGATTATCTCAATAGATGCAGAAAAGGCCTTTGACAAAATTTAACAACGCTTCATGCTAAAAACTCTCAATAAATTAGGTATTGATGGGATGTATTTCAAAATAATAAGAGCTATCTATGACAAACCCACAGCCAATATCATACTGAATGAGCAAAAACTGGAAGCATTCCCTTTGAAAACTGGCACAAGACAGGGATGCCCTCTGTCACCACTCCTATTCAACATAGTGTTGGAAGTTCTGGCCAGGGCAATTAGGCAGCAGAAGGAAATAAAGGGTATTCAGTTAGGAAAAGAGGAAGTCAAATTGTCCCTGTTTGCAGACGACATGATTGTATATCTTGAAAACCCCATTGTCTCAGCCCAAAATCTCCTTAAGCTGATAAGCAACTTCAGCAAAGTCTCAGGATACAAAATCAATGTACAAAAATCACAAGCATTCTTATACACCAACAACAGACAAACAGAGCCAAATCATGAGTGAACTCCCATTCACAATTGCTTCAAAGAGAATAAAATACCTAGGAATCCAACTTACAAGGGATGTGAAGGACTTCTTCAAGGAGAACTACAAACCACTGCTCAAGGAAATAAAAGAGGATACAAACAAATGGAAGAACATTCCATGCTCATGGGTAGGAAGAATCAATATCATGAAAATGGCCATACTGCCCAAGGTAATTTACAGATTCAATGCCATCCCCATCAAGCTACAAATGACTTTCTTCACAGAACTGGAAAAAACTACTTTAAAGTTCATATGGAACCAAAAAAGAGCCCACATTGCCAAGTCAATCCTAAGCCAAAAGAACAAAGCTGGAGGCATCATGCTACCCGACTTCAAACTATACTACAAGGTTACAGTAACCAAACAGCATGGTACTGGTACCAAAACAGAGATATAGATCAATGGAACAGAACAGAGCCCTCAGAAATAATGCCGCATATCTACAACTATCTGATCTTTGACAAACCTGAGAAAAACAAGCAATGGGGAAAGGATTCCCTATTTAATAAATGCTGCTGGCAAAACTGGCTAGCCATATGTAGAAAGCTGAAACTGGATCCCTTCCTTACACCTTATACAAAATCAATTCAAGATGGATTAAAGATTTAAACGTTAGACCTAAAACCATAAAAACCCTAGAAGAAAACCTAGGCATTACCATTCAGGACATAGGCGTGGGCAAGGACTTCATGTCCAAAACACCAAAAGCAATGGCAACAAAAGCCAAAATTGACAAATGGGATCTAATTAAACTCAAGAGCTTCTGCACAGCAAAAGAAACTACCATCAGAGTGAATAGGCAACCTACAACATGGGAGAAAATTTTCGCAACCTACTCATCTGACAAAGGGCTAATATCCAGAATCTACAATGAACTCAAACAAATTTACAAGAAAAAAACAAACAACCCCATCAAAAAGTGGGCGAAGGACATGAACAGACACTTCTCAAAAGAAGACATTTATGCAGCCAAAAAATACATGAAAAAATGCTCATCATCACTGGCCATCAGAGAAATGCAAATCAAAACCACTATGAGATACCATCTCACACCAGTTAGAATGGCAATCATTAAAAAGTCAGGAAACAACAGGTGCTGGAGAGGATGTGGAGAAATAGGAACACTTTTACACTGTTGGTGGGACTGTAAACTAGTTCAACCATTGTGGAAGTCAGTGTGGCGATTCCTCAAGGATCTAGAACTAGAAATACCATTTGACCCAGCCATCCCATTACTGGGTATATACCCAAATGATTATAAATCATGCTGCTATAAAGACACATGCACACGTATGTTTATTGCGGCATTATTCACAATAGCAAAGACTTGGAACCAACCCAAATGTCCAACAATGATAGATTGGATTAAGAAAATGTGGCACATATACACCATGGAATACTATGCAGCCATAAAAAATGATGAGTTCATGTCCTTTGTAGGGACATGGATGAAATTGGAAACCATCATTCTCAGTAAACTATCGCAAGAACAAAAAACCAAAAACCGCATATTCTCACTCATAGGTGGGAATTGAACAATGAGATCACATGGTCACAGGAAGGGGAATATCACACTCTGGGGACTGTGGTGGGGTGGGGGGAGGGGGGAGGGGTAGCATTGGGAGATATACCTAATGCTAGATGACGAGTTAGTGGGTACAGCGCACCAGCATGGCACATGTATACATATGTAACTAACCTGCACAATGTGCACATGTACCCTAAAACTTAAAGTATAATAAAAAAAAAAAAGAGAGAGAGGATACAAAGAGGCACAAGGAAGTCTTTGGGGGTGAAGAATATGATAATTATCTATTTGCTGATGCTTTCATGGGTATATGCATATGTCAAAACAAAATTGTACTCTATAAAATGAGAGGCTTATTGTAAATACATTATACTTCAATAAAACTGTAAAATAAAAAAAAAAATCAATTCAAGATGGATTAAAGACTTAAACGTTAGACCTAAAACCAGAAAAACCCTAGAAGAAAACCTAGGCTTTACCATTCAGGACATAGGCATGGGCAAGGACTTCATGTCTAAAACACCAAAAGCAATGGCAACAAAAGCCAAAATTGACAAATGGGATCTAATTAAACTAAAGAGCTTCTGCACAGCCAAAGAAACTACCATGAGAGTGAACAGGCAACCTACAAAATGGGAGAAAATTTTCGCAACCTACTCATCTGACAAAGGGCTAATATCCAGAATCTACAATGAACTCAAACAAATTTACAAGAAAAAAACAAACAACCCCATCAAAAAGTGGGCGAAGGATATGAACAGACACTTCTCAAAAGAAGACATTTATGCAGCCAAAAAACACATGAAAAAATGCTCATCATCACTGGCCATCAGAGAAATGCAAATCAAAACCATAATGAGATACCATCTCACACCAGTTAGAATGGCAATCATTAAAAAGTCAGGAAACAACAGGTGCTGGAGAGGATGTGGAGAAACAGGAACACTTTTACACTGTTGGTGGGACTGTAAACTAGTTCAACCATTGTGGAAGTCAGTGTGGCGATTCCTCGGGGATCTAGAACTAGAAATACCATTTGACCCAGCCATCCCATTACTGCGTATATACCCAAAGGACTATAAATCATGCTGCTATAAAGACACATGCACACATATGTTTATTGCGGCATTATTCACAATAGCAAAGACTTGGAACCAACCCAAATGTCCAAAAATGATAGACTGGATTAAGAAAATGTGGCACATATACACCATGGAATACTATGCAGCCATAAGAAATGATGAGTTCATGTCCTTTGTAAAGACATGGATGAAATTGGAAATCATCATTCTCAGTAAACTATCGCAAGAACAAAAAACCAAACACCGCATATTCTCACTCATAGGTGGGAATTGAACAGTGAGATCACATGGACACAGGAAGGGGAACATCACACTCTGGGGACTGTTGTGGGGTGGGGGTAGTGGGGAGGGGTAGCATTGGGAGATATACCTAATGCTAGATGATGAGTTAGTGGGTGCAGCACACCAGCATGGCACATGTATACATATGTAACTAACCTGCACAATGTGCACATGTACTCTAAAACTTACAGTATAATAATAAAAGAAAAAAAAAACTTAAAAAAAAAAGAAAAGAACTGCAGAAGTAGTTGCTACTGTTTGCCAAAGAAAAAGATTATGCAGTGCATTAGAAGGAGGAGAAGGAGGAAGAGAAACTGTTAACAACCACCTTAGAGAGTTGATTGGTACCAACTTCTGTATTTTATAACTGCCTTAGAACATAGCCAATTCTTTATAAAAATTTCCTCATATGTTGCTTATAAATATCATGGCATTTAAAAACCATAACAGCATAGTTTCTTGTATTCCTGTAGCACATTTTATTAAAAATGACTTCATAATACATTAAAACTTCTGTAATAACTTCATCCAAAATAGAGGTAACCTTTTGCCACCTCTGTTTTCTGCACTGATCTCATGTATCTTCACTTCCTTCCACTTCCATTAAGATAGCTTGTGTAAGAGGCCCTGGATGGGGTGGAATGGAGGTTATACGGAGCCTAGTAAAGTCAAAATGACTTCCAGAACTTTCCTTGTCATTATATCTCATTTCTGTAGTTACTATGACTAAAAACAGATGGTCTGTGAAACCCAATAGCTGTACACGATGTTACCTCAAACAAGTACTTCTGATGGTTCAGGGGTGCAGACAGGTAAATGATACTGAAATACCATTTCCAGAGTTGGACGTCTGGCTTATCTCTGAAGTCAGATTTTAGTGTGTTCTCTTTATGAACTTTTTTAGTGCCTCTTTTATATCCATGTCTCACATGATATGTCAGTGTGAATAATTCCAAATTGAAATGTATTTTAAATAAGAAAAATTGACGTGTAGTTTAAATTAGAAGGATAGAGCTTATTCTTGTTTTGGTTCATGAATTTGACACTCTGTCCTTCAGTTGGATTGGCTTTGAGTCTTGTGGTTTGTGGTTACAATCCCCCTCAAAATCCCCAATTTTAAGGGCCTAAAATCCATCTTTTTTATCCTCTCTCTTTGCTTAGAGACCACATCATAATAAACAGGTGCCAGAGATGCTTTCCACTCTCTTTTTTTTTTTCCATCGGCGTACTAATCTGTGCCTCTCTCTTCTTTTTTCCCCCCTAAAATCCAGTTTATTTTTTGTGTTATGAACAGATCTAGTCAGTGTAATCGGGTTTTTCTGCATGTGTAATAATTTTGTCAAAATAAGTTTTCCCACAAGACTCTTCTCCATCTACTCTGAAAATCTGGGTCTGACAACCTACCCAAAGAAGGCTCTTGAAAATCACCTCCTAAAGTTTGGAAGAAAATGTGGCCAAGTCTTTCCTATAACATTTACTGCACTACAAATGACTAAAGAACAATTCATGTTTTAAAATATGACCAATACTACAGTTGAGATCAGGAAATTAATGTTTTAGTGCTCTTTGCTCCAGTTTTAGCCAGCATCTACAGTCCACTTTTTGTTTATTCTGGGGGTTGGGGGAGTGCACAAAGTGGGGCACTGTCATCCTCCTGTGGAATTTTATTTTCCTCAAAGTTTTGGTTCATATCAGTGAGTACTATTGCTGTTATGTAAATTAAATGAGACATCATCTGTCTGTGAGCCAGTAATGCCTTTCATCTTTATGTTCTTTTTCTACTCTGTCCCTTTTCAGTGCTTTCAAAAATGCACTCTTCTTACCACTGTGTCAGTTTGGTTAGACAAGGCTGCTGATTAAGTTTGTCAACAGGCAAAGAGGAGTTTGAGTGATGACCCTCTTTCACTGAATTTGTTGATGGACTAAAATTCTTGGTAGTTGATTTAAAAGCATTAAAGTTGCCAATACCATATGTAGACTCATGAGGAAAAGAAGTCCCAAGTTTATTCTCTTTAGCTGGGCTTTTCCATTGCGTAGGTTTTGTAGGTAGAGCAGCAGATTTAGAGACTAAATCTTTGTAAACACTTGAATGACTTCCGTTCTTACCTGGCTGTTACTGAAGATATCCTACTACTGGCAATCCAGCTGTCTGTGAGTCTATTATTTTGTATTACATAGCTTAATGACCAGAGTTCAATATATTGGCCCTCAGTACCTTGGAGCTCTAGATTTAGGATTTGGAGGTATTCCCACACACCTGCAGCTAAAGATCTGTTCTGATTTGGTTCTCCCTCATGTTGAAGATTTAAAGATAGAAAATCCTCAGCCTCAAATGGCTTGCAATCGCTCTTGTCTTCTTTCCTCCTCGTTTCATTGTCAGGGATGTTGTTTTGATGTAGACCTGTCTTTTCCCAGAATGGAAAATACTGCTATAAGAACAGGAACTTCTACCATGGTATCCGCCTCGATGATTTATGTGTTCAGTACCATTTCTTCCATGTGTATGCCATCCATGTTTTTCTTTGCATACAAAGTTACCACCATTAAGACATCCAACACCAGAATCAAAGTCATCTGAAGAGTTGTGTTGTTGATAATTTACATCATAACAATTTTATGTCCATGAAGTTTTCAGAATGCTTCTCAAAATTCAATAACAACTTTGTTGATGATGGTGGAGTAGGAAAATCAAGGCAGGATGGAGCAAAGTCACACTGTGCCATTTACATCCAGTCTGTCCAACTCAGTGAAACAAGGCTTCAACACCTCATGGCATGTCCAAATTCCAACAGGACTGCACAGGAAGGTATTGGTGTTTTCTCTGTAATATTTATGTGTTCAAGTTAAAATTTTTTTTTCTTCTGAAATAATATCCAAGTTCTTCGAAGATACTTAACCTATGGCTATCTGACATAAGGTCACCTTAAATCACCTACCCATACTTCTGTTTTAGTTTTTTTAAAAAATATAATTTTATATTTAATCTATATATAATTTTTTAAAAAGAAAGAAAACCAATAATCTTGTGTTGGGATGTACTGAACATTATTTCTTTGTAAATGAATGTTGCAGAAATGAGGACTTTGGGTGATCCCACATTTACTTTCTTTCTATATGTCATACATATAAAATGCACGTGTGTGTGTTTTCTTTAGAGATAGATTCTTGCTAGTTGCCCAGGCTGGTCTCAAACTCCTGGCTTCAAGTGATGCTCCTGCCTCTACCTCCCAAAATGCCGAAATTATAGGCATGTGCCACCATACCTGTACCTCTTTTAAAGTTTTTATATGGCTATCCCCAGAATTAGCCAAGTTTCTTAGATTTAAGATCAAAGTCTTCTTTATTATTCTATGCACTTGTCACTATTGTACTTATCTACTCCACATGAAATATCTAATTTATGAGCCAAATAGCAAAAACAAAAAGAAAATTTCATATCTGAAGAGCATTCTTAAATATCAGCATAAACAGAGACACACATAGCTATCTAAATACTATCAGGCCACTGGGAAGCTGCAACATCTTAAACCTCAACATACATAAAATAGAAAAATCTCTGTATTCTTTCAATGTCTTCATTCAGAAAAGCTGTCCCATTGTGACAAGAAAAGGACTGAGGTCAACCTCCTAAAACTTTTAATAAAAGTAAAAATAAACTGCCATGAAACTTTAGCAATATCTAAACAGTCATTTGAAAATTCTAAAAATCACAGCGCCTCTCCTCCTCCAAAGGAACGCAACTCCTCACCAGCAACAGAACAAAGCTGGACGGAGAATGACTTTGATGAGCTGAGAGAAGAAGGCTTCAGACGACCAAACTTCTCTGAGCTAAAAGAGGAAGTTCGAACCCATCACAAAGAAGTTAAAAACCTTGATAAAAGATTAGATGAATGGCTAACTAGAATAACCAATGTAGAGAAGTCCTTAAATGATCTGATGGAGCTGAACACCATGGCACGAGAACTACGTGACGAATGCACAAGCTTCAGTAGACAATTCGATCAACTGGAAGAAAGGGTGTCAGTGATGGAAGATCAAATGAATAAAATGAAGCAAGAAGAGAAGCTTAGAGAAAAAAGAATAAAAAGAAATGAACAAAGCCCCCAAGAAATATGGGACTATGTGAAAAGACCAAATCTACGTCTGATTGGTGTACCTGAAAGTGACAGGGAGAATGGAACCAAGTTGGAAAACACTCTGCAGGATATTACCCAGGAGAACCTCCCCAACCTAGCAAGGCAGGCCAACATTCAAATTCAGGAAATTCAGAGAACGCCACAAAGATACTCCTCGAGAAGAGCAACTCCAAGATACATAATTGTCAGATTCACCAAAGTTGAAATGAAGGAAAATATGTTAAGGGCAGCCAGAGAGAAAGGTCGGGTTACCCACAAAGGGAAGCCCATCAGACTAACAGCTGATCTCTTGGCAGAAACTCTACAAGCCAGAAGAGAGTGGGGGCCAATATTCAACATTCTTTTTTGTTTGTTTGTTTGTTTTTTTGAGTCGGAGTCTCGCTCTTTCACCCAGGCCGGACTGCAGCAGCACTATCTCGGCTCACTGCAAGCTCCGCCTCCCGGGTTCACACCATTCTCCTGCCGCAGCCTCCTGAGTAGCTGGGATTACAGGCGCCTGCCTCCGTGCTCAGCTAACTTTTTGTATTTTTAGTAGAGATGGGGTTTCACTGTGTTAGCCAAGATGGTCTCGATCTCCTGACCTCGTGATCCACCCGCCTCGGCCTCCCAAAGTGCTGGGATTACGGGCGTGAGCCACTGCACCCAGCCCAATGTTCAACATTATTAAAGAAAAGAACTTTCAACCCAGAATTTCATATCCAGCCAAACTAAGCTTCATAAGTGAGGAGAAATAAAATACTTTACAGACAAGCAAATGCTGAGAGATTTTGTCACCACCAGGCCTGCCCTAAAAGAGCTCCTGAAGGAAGGAAGCACTAAACATGGAAAGGAACAACCGGTAGCAGCCACTGGAAAAACATGCCAAATTGTAAAGACCATCAATGCTAGGAAGAAACTGCATCAACTAACGAGCAAAATAACCAGCTAACATCATAATGACAGGATCAAATTCACACATAACAATATTAACCTTAAAGGTAAAAGGGCTAAATGCTCCAATTAAAAGACACAGACTGGCAAATTGGATAAACAGTCAAGACCCATCAGTGTGCTGTATTCAAAAAACCCATCTCACATGCAGAGACACACATAGGCTCAAAATAAAGGGATGGAGGAAGATCTACCAAGCAAATGGAAAACAAAAAAGGCAGGGGTTGCAATCCTAGTCTCTGATAAAACAAACTTTAAACCAACAAAGATCAAAAGAGACAAAGAAGGCCATTACATAATGGTAAAGGGATCAATTCAAAAAGAAGAGCTAACTATCCTAAATATATATACACGCAATACAGGAGCACCCAGATTCATAAAGCAAGTCCTTAGTGACCTACAAAGAGAGTTAGACTGCCACACAATAATAATGGGAGACTTTAACACCCCACTGTCAACATAGACAGATGAATGAGACAGAAAGTCAACAAGGATATCCAGGAATTGAACTTAACTCTGCACCAAGCAGACCTAATAGACATCTACAGAACTCTCCACCCCAAATCAACAGAATATACATTCTTCTCAGCACCACATTGCACTTATTCCAAAATTGACCACATAGTTGGAAGTAAAGCACTCCTCAGCAAATGTAAAAGATCAGAAATTATAACAAACTGTCTCTCAGACCACAGTGCAATCAAACTAGAACTCAGGATTAAGAAACTCACTCAAAACTGCTCAACTACATAGAAACTGAACAACCTGCTCCTGAATGATTACTGGGTACATAACAAAATGAAGGCAGAAATAAAGATGTTCTTTGAAACCAATGAGAACAAAGACACAACATACCAGAATCTCTGGGATGCATTCAAAGCAGTGTGTAGAGGGAAATTTATAGCACTAAATGCCCACAAGAGAAAGCAGGAAAGATCTAAAATTGACACCCTAACATCACAATTAAAAGAACTAGAGAAGCAAGAGCAAAAACATTCAAAAGCTAGCATAAGGCAAGAAATAACTAAGATCAGAGCAGATCTGAAGGAGATAGAGACACAAAAAACCCTTCAAAAAATCAATAAATCCAGGAGCTGGTTTTTTGAAAGGATCAACAAAATTGATAGACCACTAGCAAGACTAATACAGAAGAAAAGAGAGAAGAATCAAATAGATGCAATAAAAAATGATAAAGGGGATATCACCACCGATACCACAGAAATACAAACTACCATCAGAGAATATTACAAACACCTCTAAGCAAATAAACTAGAAAATCTAGAAGAAATGGATAAATTCCTTGACACATACACCCCCCCAAGACTAAACCAGGAAGAAGCTGAATCTCTGAATAGACCAATAACAGGCTCTGAAATTGAGGCAATAATTAATAGCTTACTAACCAAAAAAAGTCCAGGACCAGATGGATTCACAGCCGAATCCTACCAGAGGTACAAGGAGGAGCTGGTACCATTCCTTCTGACACTATTCCAATCAATGGAAAAAGAGGGACTTCTGCCTAACTCATTTTATGAGGCCAGCATCATCCTGATACCAAAGTCTGGCAGAGATACAACAAAAAAAGAGAATTTTAGACCAATATCCCTGATGAACATCGATGCAAAAATCCTCAATAAAATACTGGCAAAACGAATCCAGCAGCACATCAAAAAGCTTATCCAACATGATCAAGTGGTCTTCATCCCTGGGATGCAAGGCTGGTTCAACATATGCAAATCAATAAATGTAATCCAGCATATAAACAGAACCAAAGACAAAAACCACATGATTATCTCAATAGATGCAGAAAAGGCCTTTGACAAAATTCAACAGCCCTTCATGCTAAAAATTCTCAATAAATTAGGTATTGATGGGACGTATCTCAAAATAATAAGAGCTATTTATGACAAACCCACAGCCAATATCACACTGAATGGGCAAAAACTGGAAGCATTCCCTTTGAAAACCGGCACAAGACAGGGATGCCCTCTCTCACCACTCGATGCCCTCTGTCACCACTCCTATTCAACATGGTGTTGGAAGTTCTGGCCAGGGCAATCAGGCAGGAGAAAGAAATAAAGGGTATTCAATTAGGAAAAGAGGAAGTCAAATTGTCCCTGTTTGCAGATGACATGACTGTATATCTAGAAAACCCCATCGTCTCAGCCCAAAATCTCCTTAAGCTGATAAACAACTTCAGCAAAATCTCAGGATACAAAATCAATGTGCAAAAATCACAAGCATTCTTATACACCAATAACAGACAAACAGAGAGCCAAATCATGAGTGAACTGTCATTCACAATTGCTTCAAAGAGAATAAAATACCTAGGAATCCAACTTACAAGGGATGACCTCTTCAAGGAGAACTACAAACCACTGCTCAATGAAATAAAAGAGGATACAAACAAATGGAAGAACATTCCATGCTCATGGATAGGAAGAATCAATATCGTGAAAATGGCCATACTGCCCAAGGTAATTTATAGATTCAATCCCATCCCCATCAAGCTACCAATGACTTTCTTCACGGAATTGGAAAAAACTACTTTAAAGTTCATATGGAACCAAAAAAGAGCCCACATTGCCAAGTCAATCCTAAACCAAAGGAACAAAGCTGGAGGCATCACGCTACCTGACTTCAAACTATACTACGAGGCTACGTTAACCAAAACAGCATGGTACTGGTACCAAAACAGAGATATAGACCAATGGAACAGAACAGAGCCCTCAGAAATAATACCACACATCTACAACCATCTGATCTTTGACAAACCTGACAAAAACAAGAAATGGGGAGAGGATTCCCTATTTAACAAATGGTGCTGGGAAAACTGGCTAGCCATATGTAGAAAGCTGAAACTGGATCCCTTCCTTACACCGTATACCAAAATTAATTCAAGATGGATTAAAGACTTACATGTTAGACCTAAAACCATAAAAACCCTAGAAGAAAACCTAGGCAATACCATTCAGGACATAGGCATGGGCAAGGACTTCATGTCTAAAACACCAAAAGCAATGGCAACAAAAGCCAAAATTGACAAATGGGATCTAATTAAACTAAAGAGCTTCTGCACAGCAAAGGAAACTATCATTAGAGTGAACAGGCAACCTACAGAATGGGAGAAAATTTTTGCAATCCACTCATCTGACAAAGGGGTAATATCCAGAATCTACAAAGAACTCAAACAAATTTACAAGAAAAAAACAACTCCATTAACAAGTGGGCGAATGATATGAACAGACACTTCTCAAAAGAAGACATTTATGCAGCCAACAGACACATGAAAAAATGCTCACCATCACTGGCTATCAGAGAAATGCAAATCAAAACCACAATGAGAGACCATCTCACACCAGTTAGAATGGCAATCATTAAAAAAATCAGGAAACAACAGATGCTGGAGAGGATGTGGAGAAATAGGAACACTTTTACACTGTTGGTGGGACTGTAGACTAGTTCAACCACTGTGGAAGACAGTGTGGCGATTCCTCAGGGATCTAGAACTAGAAATACCATTTGACCCAGCCATCCCATTACTGGGTATATACCCACAAGATTATAAATCATGCTGCTATGAAGACACATGCACACGTATGTTTATTGCGGCACTATTCACAATAGCAAAGACTTGGAACCAACCCATATGTCCATCAATGATAGACTGGATTAAGAAAATGTGGCACATATACACCATGGAATGCAGCCATAAAAAATGATGAGTTCATGTCCTTTGTAGGGACATGGATGAAGCTGGAAACCATCATTCTCAGCAAACTATTGCAAGGACAAAAAACCAAACACCACGTTCTCACTCATAGGTAGGAATTGAATAATGAGAACACTTGGACACAGGAAGGGGAACATCACACACAAGGGCCTGTTGTGGGGTAGGGGGAGGGGTGAGGGATAATATTAGAAGATATGCCTAATGTAAATGACAAGTTAATTGGTGCAGCACACCAACATGGCACATGTAATACATATATAACAAACCTGCACGTTGTGCACATGTACCCTAGAACTTAAAGTATAATAAAAAATTAAAAAAAAAGAAACTGCTGAAACTACTCATTACACAAATCAAACATAGCTTACAGTTTTGGCTGAAGAATACCAACAATAGGAGAGGGTTTGGAGTAGGTAGGAAAATACCACCAGCTGAAATACTTTAACCAGTTATGTCATTTGTTTGAACCAAAGTACTGAAGAAATGCCTGTGTCTCTTTTTAAGTACCTTATTGAATTGTTCACTACTATCAATTCACTTCAGAGACAATTCTTGCCAATTTTAATAAACTTCTGGGGCAAAGTTATAAAAAATTGTAATTCCAAAATGGACACTTGAAATATCTAGGAACTTCTACACAAAACCTAGAAGATGATCTTCATATCTTCAGTCACCCACAGGGTTGGGCAGCAGGAGAAACTTCTGACTAAGCAACTGCTCATGCCCTAGGGGGGAAATAAAAGAGCTCTGATTCTCTCTTCTGAATTTGTTTTGTTCAATCTCAGGGTCTCTCTGTTGATCTCTTATTCTGGGGCTACAGGAACAAGTATCCCTGCTCTGTTAAACATTTTGACTGGCATATTTACCAGGGTGTTGAGTAATTGCTATACTTGGGAAGGAGTTCAGAGCGTAGTTTTTGACTCTTTCTATGCCTGTGCTTTTTATGGTATATAAAATTTATTCTGTTTGGAGTTGAAAATTTTGACTACAACGTATGCAAATAAATTAGGAAAAGTATTTCAATTCGTATGATAGGCATGAATAAATGAACTTCCTCTGACACTAGACATTTTCAACACTATTATAGTCTGCATTTAAAGAGGTACAAATAACAGTATCGTATCCATTAATATTTACATATTAGGCACTCATTTCTACATGGCACTGAGCTAGGAGCTGTGAAGCATTAGAAATTGTGTATCTCAAGGTCCTCACTCTCAAGGAATTGAAAGTTTGATTGATTAGAGAAGACTTAAAAATTTCACAAACATTGGAGAATTCACTACATTTTAACTTGGAGCTTACTTTCCCACTTTCTTCCCTGTTATGCCTGATGGGAAGAATGCTACTACAGAATATTGCAAAACCATATGACCACCTCTGTTACACATCTATAAATGCTTTCTTCATCTGGCATTTCAGCAGTACTCTTACTTAATTCTAATCAATTTCTTTTCCCAGTTCTTATAACAACTATTTCACATCTTTATCACTTTTCTTGGGTCCTCTTCTTTGCCTTAATTCTTTGTGATTTTATTGCCATTTATTTCCTGACTTAGGTTTATCAATGCATCATCTTATCCTGTATTAAAGGAACATACTTTTTCTGAATTCTAATTATCAGCTGATAGTTTCATCATTTACTCAGTTTGATCATTTACTCATCATTTCATCATTTACTCAGACAATCAGGCAGGTAATCTTGATACCATCTTTGACCTCCACTTTTCCTGTTCTCCATGTCTGAGTAGTATAAGCGATGCTGTCCATTTAGGATCTGAGGGTAAAAAAATTTACATGGGACCAGACAAAAAAGAAGGATTGGAATAATGTTTAGCTGTGTTGACAAAATTTGTTCTGGAAACCGATGTATGAATGTTCTTGCCTTTGTTTCTTTTTTTTGAGTGTTTTTAGCTGTGAGTAACTGTTACATGAATGTTCTTTGCTTACAGTCATCTCCTGAGGTGGGAGTTGTTTATTTCTATCCCGATGACCTGAGGTTCTCTCCATGTCTGGACTTGGTTATAATTAACTTGATTCATATGAGTCATATTAGTCTTTTTTATTGGCCTCTGTGCCTCTGTTTCTTTATTCTGACTTAAGTCACCTATGTTGCCTTATTCCAGCCTCTATATTCCCCTTGTAGTTTTGTTTTTGTTCCTCTGATATTGGCTTTGATATGATTTTTGTTTTTGCTCTTGGATATCCTTTAAAGGTCTTCTTCTCCCCCATGCCCACTAACTTGTCTTCATGCCTCCAGTCTTGCCCATCCCTTCAGCTTTCACATTAGTACTCTCCACCTGCAATTTCTTGTTCATGTAACATAAGATCTTTCACGTCAGTTTCTACTTGCATCTCCGCCTGCTCTCCAAATGCACAATTTTCCTGCTGTATTGTACTATTCACTGTGGCCCAGCAAGTTTGGATTTGGCACCATTTGAGAGAGTCCAGGAGTGGTCTATTCTTTCTCATCTGAAGAAAAACCAGTAACAATACAAAAGCACATTATAATGATGAACAAAGAACATTGAAATAATTTTAAAGAAATGTAAAAACCACAACAAAACCATAAAATGCGTGGGTAATCAAGTGATGCTATAAGGGTAATGAAATATCAATTTCAACTATCAAATGGATATACAATTTTAAAATAACAAACCTAGTGTAGATGATGTTTGATTGTGGGTAATCTCACAGACATATCATGAACAATTGTCTTCTCTCTTGCATCATTAATTTTCTCTCACTATACAGAAGAAAAGAACTTAGAATAGCTCAAAGAATCTTGCCAGAGAAGAACAAAGTTAGAGACTCTAATTATTTGATTTCGAGAATTACTACAGAGCTACAGCAACCAAGACAGAGTGGTACTGACATGAAAACCGACAAATAGATCCCTGGAACAGAATGAAATTCCACAAATAGACATAAATGTACAAGCAACTGATTTCTGAAAAGGCTGCAAATTCATTTCAATTCAATTCAATTCAATGGGTAAAGAAAAGTCTTTTCAACAAATAGGCCTATAAGAATTGGTAAATATAAAGGGAAAAAGGAACTTTGACATTCATCTTATGCTGCACCCAAAATTAATTTGAATGAAATGTGAACCTAACATAAAAACTAAAATTGTAAAATTTCTATAGGAGAAAGCTTCTTTCATAAAAAAAAAAGCTTCTACAATATCTTCACGATCTGAGGGTGGGCAAAGATTTCTTAGCAAGGACGCTGAAAGCACTAAATGTAATAGAAAGAAAAATATATTTACCTTGAGGGGTGGAGGAAGATGGTTGAATAGAAGCCTACACTGTTTGTCCTTCCCACAGGTACAGCAAATTTTAACAACTATCTGCACACAGAAAAGCATCATCACAAGAACCAAAAATCAGGCAAGCAATCACAGTATCCAATTTTAACTTCATATTGTGGAAAGAGGCATTGAGGAGGACAGGAGAGACAGTCTTGAGTTGCTGACGCCACCCGTCCCATCCCTCATCCCCTGGCAGCAGCTGTATGGCATGGAGAGAGAATCTGTGCACTTTGGGAAGGAGAGTGCAGTGGCTGGGGGACTTTACATTGAACTCAGTGCTGCTCTGTCACAGTGGGGAATAAAGCTGTGCTGGGCTCAGGCAGCACCCGTGCACAGAGAAAGCATTTGGACCAGCTATAGCCAGAGGGGAACTGCCCATCTCAGTAGTGGAACTTGAGTTTCTTGGCAAGCATAGCCACTGGGGGCTAAAGTGCTTTGTAGTCCTAGTTAACTTGAAAGGCAGTCTAGGACACAAGCAATTCCTAGGCAACTTCTGGTGCTAGTCTAGGCTTAGAACCAGTGAACTAGGGTGGCATGTGACCTAGGGAGACACCAGCTGGCTCAGCTAAGAAAGTGCCTGCACCATCCCTCCCCCAACCCCAGGTAGTGCAGCTCACAGCAACAAAAGTGACTCCTTCCTTCTGCTTAAGGAGAGGTGAGCAAACAGTAAAGAGGACTTTGTCTTGCATCTTGGACACCAGCTGAGCCATAATAGGATAGGGCACTGGGAAAAGTTGTGCAGCCCCCATTCCAGGCCCTAGCTCCTCCATGACATTTTTAGACATTCCTGGATGGGCCCAGAGGAAATGCACTGCCTTGAAGAAAAGGACCCAGTCCTATCAGTACTCATTATTTGCTGACTTATGAAGCTTTGGGCCCTGAGTAACCAACAACACCCAGGGAGTACACCATGGGTCTTGACCTCTGAGATGTGCTGGCTTCAGGGGTGACACAGCACATTCCTAGGTGTGGTGGCTATGGTGAAAGACTCTTTCTATTTGAGAAAAGCAGAGGGAAAAGTAAAGGGAACTTGACCACAGTGGGGTAAAACAAAAAGCAGACTCTTGGGATTCCTGAGTTCAGGCCTAGGCTCTTGGACAGCATTTCTGGACCTGCCCTAGGCCAGAGGGGAGCCCACTTCCCTGAAGGGTGAGTCCCAGGCCTGGCAGCATTCACCACAAGCTGACAGAACAGCCCTTGGGCTTTAGGTGAACATTGGCAGTGGCCTGGCAGAACCCCCTGTCAAATGATGGTGGTGACCACAGGGAGAGTCTCCTCTGTCTTTGGAAAGTGGAGGGAAGAGTAGGGAAGGACTTTGTGTTGTGGTTGAGTAACAGCTTAGCCACAGCAGAACAGAACATCCGGTAAATTGCTAAGATTTTTGACTCCAATCCCTGGATCCCATACAGCATCTCTGGTCAGGCCCAGGGCCTCAGGTAACTCATGAAGGGAAGGGCCTTGGGGAAGGCCCAGTGTTTTGCTGGCTTCAGGTCTGACCTAGCACACTTCCAGTGGTGGTGGCCACAAAGGTAATTGCATCACCATACCCCCAGTACCAGGTGGCTCAGCACAAAGAGAAAGACTCTATTTGTTTGGAAGAAAATAAGGGAAAATAACAAGAGTCTCTGCCTGGTAATCAGAGAATTCCTCCAGGTCTTATCCAAGACCACTAAGGCAGTACCTCTACAAGTCTGCAAAAACCAGAGCGTTATTGGGCATGGGGGCCAAGTCCCTTTGAATACCTGGAAAGCCTTCCCAAGGAGGACAGGTACAAACAAGCCCAGACTGTGAAGACTAAAATAAATACCTAACTCTTCAATGCCCAGACACTGACTAACATCTACAAGCATCAACACCATTCAGGAAAACATGACCTCACCAAATGAACTAAATAGATCATCAGGAACCAATCCTGGAAAAACAGACATATATGACCTTTCAGACAGATAATTCAAAATAGTTGTGTTGAGGTAACTCAAAGAAATTCAAGATAACACAGAGAAGGAATTCAGATTACTATCAAATAAATTTAATGAAGAAATTGAAATAATTAAAAAGAATCAAGCAGAAATTATGGAGTTCAAAAATGCAATTGACATGCTAAAGAATGCATCAGTCTCTTAATAGCAGAATTGATCTGGCAGAAAAAAGAATTAGTGAGTTTGAAGATAGGCTGTTTGAAAATACATAGTTAGAGGAGACAAAAGTAAAAAGAATAAAAACAATGAAGCACACCTACAGGATATGGAAAATTGCCTCAAAAGGGCAAATCTAATAGTTACTGGCCTTAAATAGAAGACAGAGAAAGAGATAGGAGTAAAAAGTTTATTCAAAGGAATATTATCAGAGAACTTCCCAAACCTAGAGAAACATATCAACATTCAAGTACAAGAAGATTATAGAACACCAATCAGTTTTAACCCAAAGAAGACTATCTCCAGGCACTTAATAGTCAAACTCCCAAAGGTTATGGATAAAGGACTTTGTGTTGTGGTTTGAGTACCAGCTTAGCCACAGTAGAACATCCAGTAAATTGCTAAGGTTTTTGACTCCAATCCCTGGATCCCATACAGCATCTCTGATCAGGCCCAGGGCCTTAGGTAACTCACGACCACAAAGGGAAGGACTTTGGGCAAGGCCTAGAGCTGTGCTAAAAGCAGCAAGAGAAAAGACATAAATAACATAAAATGGAGCTCCAGAATGTCTGGCAGCCAACTTTTCAGCAGAAACCTTACAAGCCAGGAGAGAGTGGCATGACATATTTAAAGTACTGAAGGAAAAAGCTTTTACCCCTATAATAGTATATCCAGTGAAAATATCCTTCAAGTATGAAGGAGAAATAAAAACCTTCCCAGACAAACAAAAGATGAGGAATTTAATCAACACCAGACCTGTCCTAAAAGAAATGCTAAAGGAAATTCTTCAATCTGAAAGAAGAGGACATTAATCAGCAAGAAGAAATCATCTGAAGGTATAAAACTCCTTGGTAATAGTTAAGTAAGTCGAAAAACACAGAACAGTATAACACTGTAATTTTGGTGTGTAACCTACTCTTCTCTTAAGTAGAAAGACTAAATGATGAACCAATCAAAAATAACTAAAACAGTGTTTCAAGTACAATAATACAAAGAGGAACAACAAAATGTTAAAGAGCTGGGGATGAAGTTAAAATGTAGAGTTTTTATTCGTTTTATTTTTGTGTTTGTTTATGCAATCAGTGTTGTTGTCATCAGTTTAAAATAATGGATTATAAGACAGTATTTGCAAGCCTTGTGGTAACCTCAAGTTGAAAAACATACAATGGATACACAAAACATAAAAATCAAGAAATTAAAGCATACCAACAGAGAAAATCACCTTCACTAAAAGACAGGAAGGAAGGAAAGAAAGAGGAGAAGAC
Source organism: Homo sapiens (assembly GCF_000001405.40). Classification (NCBI taxonomy): domain Eukaryota; kingdom Metazoa; phylum Chordata; class Mammalia; order Primates; family Hominidae; genus Homo; species Homo sapiens. The sequence continues at coordinate 158,456,800 of NC_000004.12, read as the reverse complement.
CACAAAACAACCAGAAAACAACAAAATGGCAAAAGTCCCTACTTATCAATAATAACATTAAATGTCAAGGGACTAAACTCTCAAATCAAAAGACATAAACTGGCTAAATGGATGAAAAAACAAGACCCAAGGCTCTGTTGCCTACAGAAAACATACTTCATCTATAAAGATATACATAGACTGAAAATAAAGGGATGGAAAAATATATTCCATGCCAATGGAAACTAAAAAAGAGCAAGAGTAGCTACACTTATGTCACACAAAATAGATTTCAAGACAAAAACTGTAAGAAGAGACAAAGAAGGTCATTGTATAATAATAAATGGGTCAATTCAGCAAGAGGATGTAATAATTGTAAATATATATGCACCCAACAGTGAAGCACCCAGATAAATATACAAAGCAAATAGTATTATTCTTTAACTTTACTTTAGATTTGGGGATACATGTGAAAGTTTGTTACACAGATAAACTCGTGCGACAAAGGTTTGTTGTGCAGATTATTTCATCACCCAGGTATTAAGTGCAGTACCCAATAGTTATCTTTTCTGCTCCTCTCCCTCCTCCCACCTTCCCCCTTCAAGTAGAGTCCAGTGTCTGTTGTTCCCTTCTTTGTGTTCATGATTTCACATCATTTAACTCCCACTTATAAGTGAGAACATGCAGTGTATGATTTTCTGTTCCTGAATTAGTTTGCTAAGGATAATAGTCTCCAGTTCCATACGTGTTCCCATAAAAGACATGATGTTATTCTTTTTTATGGCTGCATAGTATTCCATGGTATATATATATACCACGTTTTCTTTATCTAATCTGTCACTGCTGGGCATTTAGGTTGATTCTGTGTCTTTGCTATTATAAATAGTGCTGCAATGAACCATTGCATGCGTGTGTCTTTATGGTAGAATGATTTATATTCCTCTGGGTATACACCCAGTAAAGGGATTGTTCGAATGGTAGTTCTGCTTTTATCTCTTTGAGGAATTGCCATACTGTAAAGCCAATATTATTAGAGCTAAAGAGAGAGAGAGACTCCAATACAATAATAGTTGGAGATTTCAACATCCTACCTGCAGCACTGGACAGATCTCCATGACAGAAAGTCAACAAAGAAACATTGGATTTAATCTGCACTATAGAACCAATGGGTCTAATAGATATTTACAAAACATTTAATCCAATGGCTGCAGAATACACATTTTTCTCCTTGGCACAGAGATCATTCTCAAGGTTAGATGACCATATGTTGTCACAAAACAAGTCTTAAAACATTCACAAACACTGAAATGATATCAAGCATCTTCTCCAATCTCAATGGAATTAAACTAAAAATCAATAGGAATTTTGGAAACTATGCAAACACATAGAAATTAAATAACAGGATCTCGAATAACCAGTAGGCCAATGAAGAAATTAAAAAAGAAATTTTAAAAATTTCTTGAAACAAGTGGTAATAGAAACACAACATACTAAAACCTATGGGATTCAGTGAAAGCAGTACTAAGAGGTAAATTTATAGCTATAAGTGCCTACATCAAAAAAACTTCAAATAAATAAGCTAATGATGCATCTTAAAGAAATAGAAAAGCAAGAGCAAATTGAAATGAAAAAGACAATACAAAAGACCAATAAAACAAAAAGTTGTTCTTTTAAAAAGCTAAACAAAATTGACAAACCTTTAGCCAGACAAACTAAGAAAAAAAGACAGAAGAGCCAAATAAATAAAATGAGAGATGAAACTGGAGACATTACAACTGATACCACAGAAATTCAAAGGATCATTAATGGCCACTATGAACAACTATATGCCAATAAATCGGAAAATCTAGAAGAAATGGACAAATTCCTGGACACATACAACTTACTAAGATTGAACCATGAAGAAATCCAAAACCTGAATAGACCAATAACAAGTAACAAGATTGAAGCTGTAATAAAAAGTCTTCCAGTAAAGAAAAGCCTGGGACTCAATGGCTTTACTGGAAAAACCTAAAGGCCACCAAAAAACTGATAAACAAATTCAGTAAAATTGCAGGATACAAAATCAACATGAAAAAATTGGTAGTATTTCTATATACCAAAAGCAAACAATCTGAAAAAGAAATTAAAAATGTAATCCCATTTACCATGGCCACAAATAAAATTAAATGTCTAGGAATTAACTTAACCAAAGAAGTGAAAGTTCTCTACAATAAAAAGTATGAAACACTGATGAAAGAAATTGAAGAGGACAAACAAAAAATGGAAAACTATTCCATGTTCATGGATTCAAAGAATCAATATTGTTAAACTGTCCATACTACCGAAAACAATCTGCAGATTCAATGCAATCCCTCTCAAAATACCAATGATATTCTTCATAGAATAGAAAAATACAATCTTAAAATTTATGTAGAATCACTAAAGATCCAGAATAGGGAAAGCTATTCTAATCAAAAAGAGCAAAACTGGAGGAATCACAGGTCCTAACTTCAAATTATACTACAGAGGTATAGTAACAAAAACGGCAAGGTATTGGCATAAAAACAGACACATAGACCAATGGAACAGAATAGAGAACTCAGAAACAAATCCACGCATTTACAGTGAACTTGTTTTCAACAAAGACGCCAAGAACACACATTGAGAAAAAGACAGTCTCTTCAATAAATGGTGCTGGGAAAACTGGATATCCATATGCAGAAGAATGAAACTGGACGCTCATCTCTTGCCATTTATAAAAGTAAAATCAAAATGAATTAAAGACATAAATTGAACACCTCAGCCTATGAAACTACTACAAGGAAACATTGGGGAAAAATCTTCAGAACATTGCTCTGGGCAAAATTTCTTGAGTAATACCCCACAATCACAGGCAACCAAAGCAAAAATGGACAAATGAGATGACATCAAGTTAAAAATCTTCTGCACAGCAAATAGTCAATAAAGTGAAGAGACAACTCGTAAAATGGGAGAAAACATTTGCAAACTACTCATCTGACAAGGCATTAATAACCAGAATATAAGGAACTCAAATAACTGTAGATGAAAAAATCTAATATTCTGATTAAAAAATGAGCAAAAAATTTGAGTAGATGTTTCTCAAAGAAGACACATAAATGACAAATAGACATAAGATAAGATGCTCAACATCACTGATTACCAAAGAAATGGAGATCAAAACTACAATGAGATTTCATCTTATCACAATTAAAATGGCTTTTATCCAAAAGTCAGGCAGTAACAATGTTGGTGAGGATATGGAGAAAAGGGAACCTTCATAAACTGTTGATGTGAATATAAATTAGTACAACCACTGTAGAGAACAGTTTGGAGAGCCCTCCAAAACTAAAAACAGAGCTACCATATGATCCAGCAATCCCAGTTCTGTGTATATGCCCCTCAAAAAGGAAATCATTATATCAGAGAGATACCTGCAGTCCCATGTTTCTTGCAGCACTGTTCACAATAACTAAGATTTGGAAGCAACCTAAGTGTCCATCAATAGACGAATGGACAAAGAAAACGTGGTACATATAGACAGTAGATTACTAGTGTGCATTTGCAACAATATGGATGGAACTGAAGGTAATTCTATTAAGTGAAATAAGCCAGACACAGAAAGACAAACACTGCATGTTCTCACTTATTTGTGGAGTCTAAAAATGAAAACAATTGAACTCATAGAGATAGAGAATAGAAAGATGGTTACCAGACACAGGAAGGGGAACATCACAAACCGGGGCCTGTTGTGGGGTTGGGGGAGTGGGGAGGGATAGCATTAGGAGATATACCTAATGTTAAATGATGAGTTAAAGGGTGCAGCACACCAACATGGCACGTGTATACATATGTAACTAACCTGCACGTTATGCACGTGTACCCTAAAACTTAAAGTATATAAAAAAAAAAAAGAAACATGGTTACCAGAGACTGAGAAGGGTTGTGGGCAGGGCAGGGGGAAGTGGGGATGATAAATGGGTGCAAAAAGTATAGTTAGAAAGAATGAATAAGACCTAGTGTTTGATAGAACAACATAGGGGCTATGGTGAATAATAATTTAATTAAACATTTTAACTAAAATAGTATAATTGGATTGTTTGTAACACAAAGGATAAGTGCTTCAGGGGATGAATACCCAATCTTCCATCATGTGATTATTACACATTGTATGCCTGTACCAAAAGTATCTTATGTACCTCATAAATATATACACCTACTACATACTCTCAAAATTTATAAAGTTTCGTAAAATAAGAAATTGATCTCATTGAAAGTCATATGTAAAGAACTACAGCACAATAATAAAAAGCTAAGCAGCTTGAAGAAAATAGGCAAAATGCTTGAACAGACATCTGTAAAGAGGATATTCAAACAGCCAATAAGCAAGTGAAAAGGTACTCAGAATCATTAATTATCAGGAAAATGCAGATTAAGTCCATAGCAAATTACCATTTTACTCCCACTGGAACAGCTGAAATTAAAGAGATCGATAACAACCAATATTAGTGATGAAATTGCACAACAGGTAATTCTCACTTTGGAAAACTGGTTTTTTTTTTTAAATTTTACTTTAAGTTCTGGGATACATGTGCAGAACATGCAGGTTTGTTACATAGGTATACATGTGCCATGGTGGTTTGCTGCACCTATCAACCCATCATCTAAGTTTTAAGCCCTGCATGCATTAGGTATTTGTCCTAATATTCTCCCTTCCCTTGCTCCCCACCCCCCGACAGGCCCTGGTGTGTGTTGTTCCCCTCCCTGTATCCATGTGTTCTCATTGTTCAACTCCCACTTATGAGTGAGAACATGTGGTATTTGGTTCTCTGTTCCTACGTTAGTTTGCTGAGAATGATGGCTTCCAGCTTCATCCATGTCCCTGCAAAGGACATGAACTCATTCTTTTTTATGGCTGCATAGTAGTCCATGTAATCCAATGAAACACTAATTAGGAACAAGAAAATATGTGCCACATTTTCTTTATCCAGTCTATCACTGATGGGCATTTGGATTGGTTCCAAGTCTTTGCTATTGTAAATAGTGCTGCATGTGTTTGTATTGTAAATTTGTGCTGCATGCACACGTATTTACACATATTGTAAATACGTGTGCATGTGTCTTTATAGTAGAACAATTTATAATCCTTTGGGTATATACCCAGTAACGGGATTACTGAGTCAAATGGTATTTCTGGTTCTAGATCCTTGAGGAATCACCACACTGTCTTCTACAATGGTTGAACCAATTTACACTCCCACCAACAGCGTAAAAGCATTCCTATTCCTCTACAGCCTCAACAGCATCTGTTGTTTCCTGACTTTTTAATAATTGTCATTTTAACTGGTATGCAATGGCATCTCATTGTTGTTTTGGTTTGCATTTCTCTAATGAACAGTGATGATGTGCTTTTTTTTCATACGTTTGTTTGTAACATAAATGTCTTCTTTTGAGAAATGCCTGTTCATATCCTTTGCCCACTTTTTGATGGGATTGTTTTTTTCTTGTAAATTTGTTTAAGTTTCCTGTAGATTTTGAATATTAGACCTTTGTCAGATGGATAGATTGCAAAAATTTTCTGCTATTCTGTAGGTTGCCTGTTCACTCTGATGATAGTTTCTTTTGCTGTGCAGAAGCTCTTTAATTAGATCCCATTCGTCAATTTTGGCTTTTGTTGCAATTTCTTTTGGTGTTTTAGTCATAAAGTCTTTGCCCATGCCTATGTCCTGAATGGTATTGCCTAGGTTTTCTTCTAGGGTTTTTATGGTTTTAGGTTTTTAAGTTGTTCTTTAAAAAATTAAACATAAATTTATCTTATGACCCAGTAATTCTATTCTTAGGTATTTACCCAAGAGAATTGAAAACACATGTCCATAAAAAGACTTGCATAAGAATGTTCATAACAAGATTATTCATAATAGCCTAAACTAGAAGCAATGTAACTATTCATCAACAGGAAAACAGATAAATAAATTGTGGAATAGTAATCCAATGAAACACTAATTAGGAACAAGAAGGAAGAAACTACAGATACGTGAAACAACATGAAGGAACTTCAAAATTCTTTTGCCCAGTAAAAGAAGCCAAACAAAAAAGATTACATATTGCTTGGAAGCAACATATGTCAATTCTGTTGATATTCCACTGGTCAAAGCAAAGGTGGCTGTATCTACATTCAACAGGGCAGGGATGTATATCCCACAGGAGAAGCATGGAATATTTTTAAAAATAATTCAATTCATCACACTTAGATTATGGTATAGGAGAACTCTCCAATTGTAGAAATTATCATTTCATATTTTGAAGATATTTTTCCCTAGGTTTTCATTTATCCTTTGACTAGATTTTGAAAATGTGGACTAGTAATGTTTTTTAGTTCTTGTTTTCTATAAGTAAATCTATTAAAATTTTTATGGTTTTACAGAGATTCTCCCCACGTTAATACTGTACTATTAAAAATTCTCCCATATTTTTGGTAGTTTATCTGTAACTTCATTTTATATTTAAATCTTTGATCTATTATGGATCCACCTGGAATTTAATCTATTTTGGATCCACCTGCAATTTGTGTGGTGGTGGGATGAGAAGTGACTTTGTTTTTTATGAGTCTTTTGTATGTTTTGCATTTTAATAGATTAGTTCAGCCTATTTGCATTAATTAGATTTTAATTATGATTGCACTTACTTCTACCATAATACTTTATGTTTCTGTTTTTATGGATTCTTTTGATTTTCCTTTTTAATCTTTATAACTGATCTGTGTTTATTTTAATTTGTATATTTCTTCTGATAATTTGGCAGTTTCATATTTTTTTCCTGGTGTTTACCTTTCTACCCAACCTTTATTTAAAATGTAACTTTTTCCAAAGCTTTTGTTTATTTTAATTACTTTTCTGGGGATACGGAGTGATATTTCAATACATGTATACAATGTGTAAGGAGCAAATTAGGATAATTATCATTTCTTTGTGTTGGGAACATTCAAAATCCTCTCTTCTAGCTTTTTGAACATGTAAAATAAATTATTGTCAACTCTATTCAGTCTACAGTGTCACAGAACTAGTTAAAATATTTAATCCACTATTTCTTTAGCCAATATCCATGGCTATGAGCTATAACGTAATTCCTCCTTTTATACTTCACTGCCAGTTTTAATAGATTTTATGATTTTCCTTAGTATCTCTTATAACTTTAAATATACTTTTATCTTTATTACTTGATTCGATAGTTTTTAACATATATTTTGATGCATGCTCAGGTGTGGAAAGTGAAGAAATCAACATATGTATGCTATTTCCTACCTTTTCTCATCACTTCAATTATGATTTTCATTTGTTACATTATTTCTAGATTATCAGGATTTTTGTCTTATATTTGTCCTTTAACCATAATCTCCCTATTATTTTGAGACTTGGTCTTATAAAGTGACATCAATACTCAATGCCAATCTTTTTGGAGTAATCTACTCATTCATTAATTGTTTGGCTGAAGTTTATCCTCTTGTAGTTTCTCTTTTTTAGAAACAGTTTTGCTCTGTTGCCCAAGCTGGAGTGCAGTGGAGGGATCTCAGCTCACTGTAACCTCCGCCTCCCAGATTCAAGCGATTCTCCTGCCTCAGCCTCCCAAGTAACTGGGATTACAGGCACCCACCACCATGCCTGGCTAATTTTTATATTTTTAGTAGAGACAGGGTTTTACCACGTTGGCTAGGCTGGTCTCGAACTCCTGACCTCAAGTGATCCCCCCGCCTGGGCCTCCCAAAGTGCTGGGATTACAGGTATGAACCACTATACCTGGCTGAAACAAAAGTCTTTTTGGAGACAGAATTCCTTTCTTGTAGCCCAGGATGGAGTGCAACAGCATGATCTCGGCTCACTGCAACCTCTGCCTCCTGGGTTCAAGTGATTCTCCTGCCTCAGTCTCCCGAGTAGCTGGGATTACAGGTGTGTACCACCATGCCCAGCTAATTTTTGTATTTTTAGTAGAGACAGGATTTCACCATGTTGACCAGGCTGGTCTCGAACTCCTGACCTCAGGTGACCCACCTGCCTCGGCCTCCCAAAGTGCTGGGATTATAGGTGTGAGCCACCATGCCTGCCCCTGTACACATTTTTTAACACTCACTTATGAGTGAGAACATGCAATATTTGGCTTTCTGTGTGTGGCTCATTTCACTTAAGGTAATGAACTTCAGTTCCATCCATGTTGCTGCAAAAGACACAATCTCATTCTTTTTTATGGCTGAATAGTATTCCATTGTGTGTGTGTGTGTGTGTATATACACACATATATATACAAATATATATACATACATATATATACACATATACACATATATACACACATATACACATATATACACACATATATAAACATATATATACACATATATATATACATATATGTATACATATCACATTTACAAAAAATCAATTGATCCACTGTTGGACACTAAGGCTGCTTCTATATATTTGCTGTTGTGAATAGTGCTGCAACAAACACACAAGTGCAGGTGTCATTTTGATATAATGATTTCTTTTCCTTTGGGTAGATACCCAGTAGTGGGATTGCTGGATCAAATGGTAGTTTTATTTTTAGTTCTTTGAGAAATTTTCATACTGTTTTTCATAGAGGTTGAGCCTTCACATCTTTTTGTAACCTTTTTGTTTCATGATTTGGAAATGCAGAATTCTCTAGTTTGATCCAAGATAGATGCATATTTCTATTTCTTATATTTCTTACAGAAGACAAAATGCACAATTTATTTCACCATGATTAAATCTGGAGTTCCTCTAGGCCCATCTTCATATAACCTATTCTACAAAAGTGCTCAGTGGAACAAAAAGGTCTTAATGTTACCATGGTTCCCCCAAGTTGGACAGTAGTTGTTTCTAAGTAGGAAATTCTTTTCCTCTTTCTTCTGTATGTATGCAAATACCTAAATCAATATTTATGTGTATTTTTACTTAGAAAATAAATGAAAAAACTGTAAAATATTGACTGTGACCATTTCTTCATGATTAGAACAAATGAAGTGCAAAATTTTGTAGGTATACCAGATTCTAAGAAAATATTAACCATCTAGCAGGTGACTAATATCAAATGGGGAAAGAGATAGATAGGAAAGTCAAGGTGTAAAACTGAAGTCCACAGATAGGCAAGTTGGGGGATAAATGGGTGATTATTGTGAGAGGAGAGATGAGGTGAAGAGGCTTTGTTTACCTTTGAACTAGCATTTCTGGGCCATGGTGAAAAATTACACATGAGCATTTTGGTCTAGTTTAAGAGACAATGTAACAAGCATGCCATCTATCTGGAAAATCCAGCATGGAAAATTATTATTCATTCTTTAAAGTATAGTGCGAATGGTACCACTTCTCTTTACCTTTCTAGCCACCACCGTCTCTGTATTCCACTCTGGTTTCCTCTTATTTATCTTTTGGCTTCCCCTGGCTGTTCAAATATGTATCTATTATAGTACTTAACAGGTACATTTAAATATGTTTGTTTCCCTTTTTAGATTATGAACTCTTTGATGGTTAGGATTTAATGTTACACTTTTCAATTCCTCGCACACAGCTTGACATTTACTAAGTTTTTAATAAAGTTCATACATCTATTGAACATGGTATTTTATATAGTATTAAAATACTATATAATCCATCATGTCCTGGCATGACGGATGTCTTATGAGTTTGATGATGGCTAGTTCAAAGTTTCCAGTACATCAATTTTAATTTTTGTAGTGATATTTGAAATATCTGTATACATTTAGAGTTTCTATTATTTATATACTTAGAGCTATTTAATATAATTACAGGTATTTTAGTTATAAAGACATGTCTCACTCATTGCAAGCCCTTTTGACAATTCTGTGGAAAAATTCTAGTTATAAGGAAAGTTATAGAAAATAAAATTATGGCATGTAAAACTTTCATTGCTTGCCCTTCATGCAATTTTCAATTAATCTGAGGAATTGTGGTTTCACTCAACATGGATTAACCTAAGTTTCCTCAGGCTGTGTCTAACTCACGGCAACAGATGAGTTGCAGAATGATCCTAAGAGTTACCTTCCAATGTTCTGATAATCTGCATTCTGAACACACTGTGTATATTGGCAAAGATGTGTGACTTGCTTTACGCTCTCCTAATAAATAAAATTTATTGAATGCTTACTATTGCCAGACACTGTGCTAAAAGTTTTACACACAAATTGTCAACTCTGATTCCTCATTTTACTGATATGAAACTTGGGGAGGTTAAGTAGTGTGCTCAACCCCACCATACTGGCAAGTGGATAAACTGACAGTGTGTCCCCAAAGCCCATATTCTTAGATACTAAGCTATTCCACCTCCCTGGAGGATGAATACAAAATGGCTACTGAATTGGACTCAAACGGTTAAAAATATGTTTAGTCATACTTATGATTCTGCTTATGAAATCTCAAAGTCAGCCCTGAAGAGACTCAGAAGTTTCTTGGCAAGTGATATAACTTAGAAATTTTGCAATTACTATGCAGAGTATCACGTAGCCAGTCTTGAACTCCTCTGACCTGTGTGCTTGAAATTTCAATCCCTTGGGAAATGGCTCAGGATGTTTATAAATTGGAAGAAGCTTCAGTAGTATGGCCTTTTATGACCCATTTTTCTGCCTCTATTGGAATAATGGATATGAGGCTGGGAAGTGCCAAAAAGTTGAAGACCACTTAACAGCAACCTTGTTGCTGGGCATAGAGAGTGGGGTGTGTGTGTAGGTGTTATGAAATTCTTTAATTTTCATTAAAAAACACTTATAAATGTCCAGTTCAAAACTGAAAATCTAGCCATAAATTTAACAAGGACATTTTTACCTGTTTGGTTTTGTAAATGTCAATAGAGTTTCAGAGTTCGAAATGGTTCAGATGTTTATAGGAGGCAGGTATTAGCTTGCATATATTTATATTTGTAATAGGAAAATTAAATTTTTTAAAACATGGAAACAAAAATCTCCTAGACTACTGAAATCCTAGAGAGTTAATATGAACATATCGGTATAAATTTTTGTATTTTTACACATTTTAAACCTGAAATATAATTTTTTGATGTAACATCAAAGTAAGAAACTAATCAGGCAAATAAACTGATTATATCAAAAAATACAGCATTCGCGCATGTTGGCTCACAACTGTAATCCCAGCACTTTGGGAGGCTAAGGCAGGCAGATCCTTTGAAATCAGGGGTTCAGACCAACCTGGCCAACATGGTGAAACCCCGTCTCTACTAAAAAATACAAAAATTATTCGGGCATGATGGCGCACACCTGTAATCCCAGCTACTTGGGAGGCTGAGGCAGGAGAATCACTTGAACCCGGGAGGCAAAGGTTGCAGTGAGCCGAGATCACGCCACTGCACTCCAGCATGGTAGCAAATATTTTGTTAAAAACAAAATATGTCTTATGCCTGTAATTCTAGCACTTTGGGAGGCTGAGGCGGGTGGATCATCTGAGGTCGGGAGTTCAACACTAGCCTGACCAATATGGTGAAACCCCATCCCTACTAAAAATACAAAAATTAGCTGGGCATGGTGGCACATGCTTGTAATCCCAGCTACTCGGGAGGCTGAAGCAGGATAATTGCTTGAACCTGGGAGGCAGAGGTTGCGGTGAGCAGAGATTGCACCATTTCACCCCAGCCTGGGCAACAAGAGTGAAACTCCATCTCAAAAAAAAAAATGTATATATATATGCTAACACATGGGCTATAATGAATGACCCTGTATATTCTCCTTCTCATTCTTTTTATTTTACAATATATGCTATGCCTACACATAAAAGAGAAATCAACAGAGATGGAGGGAGAAGGGCATGGGATATTGGAGCACATCTTGCTTTCAGATTGACACAATGCTTCGGGGGTGTGAAAAGCAGCTGGGAGAAAGGTGAATTCCCACTTTCCAGGCCTCATTTTTGTGGGGCAAAGGATGAACAGCAACTCCTGCTGCTGGCAGGAAAGTGGGTACTTGATCTGAAAGAATGCCAATCCAGTGAATCAGATAGTATAAAACCTACTACACTTAGATCAGAAGATACTTTCACATGTAAGTATGTGGAATGACTGTGGAGTACCCATTTGTAGGAGAATTATTAAGCCCTACATTAGATCTGCTATAATAATGGAATTTTGCTATTGGATCTACAATATTACTAGATTATTTTTCTGAGCCAGGAGCACCTATTGACTATAATGAATGTTCCCTCTGCATTCAGAATGTGTGAAAGAGATCCAGGCAAGGTTTCACTTTTCACCTATTCTAGCCAATTGTCACAAATAGGTATTTAGGAGTTCCTCTAATGCATCACCATAGTGATGGAGCTGAGGGTGGAATCGAAGATAGATCAGTATATAAAAATTTGAATCATTCAATCAGTTACCACTTGCTCAGCACCTATAATGTGTGCCTTGATGCAAGGGAAGATTTCATTCTTGAAACCATCTGTGAAAACTGAAAGATGCAGTTTAGTGAAGCAATTAAGAATTTGGGTTCAAATCTTGGTTGCAGCACTTATTGGTTGTTAATCTTAGGCAAGTTTTTCAGCCTTTCCATACTTTGCTTTATTTGCAAAATGAAGAAACACACTTGTTCTGTTACAACATGTGTTTCTATAATGTGAATTGGCTCATTCATGACTGTTAAATGAGGAGGGGATACTGTCAGGGTAACACAGTAACTGTAGGTTCATATGAGGTTTTTCTCTGCACGTTCATGGTTTGCATCATTAAATACCAGTAGCTAAACACAAAGTATATTGAAGCCCTAGATGCAGCAAATTGTGGGGGAATGCAGGGCTGTGAATGATGCAGAGTAATTGCCTGCCCACTCTTCCCCTTGGGTCAGTCTTACCACATGATCTGACTGGAGGTGATTGTTTCCATGCTTCTTCCTGACTTTTGTTACATATGGTCTTGGCAAGCAGCCTCCATCCTCTCTTGGAGTCAAGCAGACTCCACATTTTAAAAAAGGCAAAGTCTTGTGTTTCCTATAATATTTCTTTTACATGATTGAGAAGTAGGAAAACTACATCTAAAGTGTAATTTCTTTAATTATTAGGTATTTATCATGTTTTTAATATGAGCTATATTTAAGTAATTAATGCTGTGCTTAGAAAGCTGCGTAAGTTTTGAATGGTCTGCTCCTAACCCTATCTTCACCATTAACCTTGACAGTTTTAGTACAAAATTTTGCAGAATGTGATGCTTTTTAGGAATGTGTATATTGCATTATGGTGGAAAAACCTAAACACTTATGTTTAAATGTTAGATGAAACTGATACTCAATAAAATTTGCTTTTATAAAAGGAAACATTTAACTAAATTTCCCTGACCACACGATGTGCTGAATCAAAGCTACCTAAACTTACACTGTTGCCTAATTTGGGGAAGGGGAGGAGTGCACATAGAAGACATTGTGTATCTCTGTATTATAATTTCCTGCTGGATGGATGTAAGTCTCTTGTTTTAACACCACCAATGATTTACCATCTTCAACAGTCAATTTTCTTATCTGTAAAATGGAGGAAATAAAACCAATTCCATACGAGTATTTTGAGAATAAAATGAATAATGTTATTCAGTTGTTCTTTCACTTTTTCCACTGGTGGAATGCCTAGAAATATATTTTTGTTTTTTTTTACAAATGTTTTGTAATGTTTTGTTTTTACAACATTACCATGAAATGTTGATATATAAAATAAAATGGCATATAATTTTGTGGTATAAATAACTCACAAGACATCACAGTGTCCAGTGGTGGTAGGCACAACTGGTTAGGCAACATTTATAGAAGACAAAACTTGAGAAAATTCTGTCCATTTAACTCAGCTTCTTGGGAAAAGAAACCCTATGGGTCTATTTTTGTGGTTTTTATAACCTTAGTCATTTCTTAGAGTTTCAGGGTTTTTTGAGAATTAGTGTGATGTGTAAAATGCAGTCAGCACTGAACTTGGAATGTAGTACTTACTCTTTTACTCAACAGCTACTGAGCACCTGCTGTGTGCCAGGCACTGGTCTAGGTACTGGAGCAGCAGAGGTGAGCAGGACAGATCCCCTGCCTTCAAGGCTCTTGTGTTATTTTGAGGGAGGCAAACGATCCCAAACCAGAGGGAGGTAAGAGTGAGAGAGGAAAGTTAGGAAGGTGCTGATGAGTTCCTCAGAGAGATGAACTGATGATAGCCTCAGCCAGGGTGGTGGCTGCAGCAGCTGTGAGTAGTGAGACTCAGAAAATGCTTCGAAGGCAGAGGTTACAGAAATTATAGTTAGATTAGAATGCGAAACAGGGAGTGAAAGAAAGAGAAATCAGAAATGATTTCTAGATTTTTGGCATGATCCACCTTTAAAAGATGGTCTGTCAATACCCAAAATACTTTATTTTCTGATGATATCTCTTCCTCCTTTTTGCCCCCTCACTTAGACCTCAGAGAGTCAGTGTCCCAGGGATTCCTTCTGGACACCACAGTATCCACTTGTGATACTCCGCCTGTGTTTCCTCTTTCTCAAAGGGCCACGGGCTCTCAAATTACTTCTTCCATTTTGGGATTGCCCTCCACTTGAGACTCTAATTCCTGTAGCTTTCAACCCAATGATGATAACTTAATCAGATATCAGCTGTTTCCTCATTGCCTTCTTTGAGCTTTCCCTAAATAATTTGTTTCTGAAAAAAAATTAGTGAGCAATATAGAATTTATTGATATAGGCTATATCATAGGTGAGTTGGAGAAGAGAGGTTACATTGCATACATCTATGGCAAAAAACCTAAAGTATATCTTAAATGTTCTTTTCCTAAGTTTTCTTTGCCACGAAACCATCATTGTCCCTTTGCTCTCCCTCCCTTAGTGCCCAGTTTTATAACTTTAGTCTTCTTCCTTCCAGAGTTTTTTTCTGGATTTTGAAATTTTAGTTTGTTCAGGAAGCAATTCAGCTCTTCCTCAATTCCTACATGTTCACTTGCATATTAATTTGGGGGCCCAGCAAAATGAACAGTCATGTAGTTACCAACGTGTAAGCTCCCCACCACCAAAGGGTTATAAAAAAAGATTTCCTTTTTTTTAAAAGATACTTATCTGTCATGTATAATTCACAATATGGGGCAAAACATCAATAGATTTAACTCTCTCAAGGAATATTTACCTTTAAGCAAATGCATAATAATGAAATTAAATAAATGAAGTTTACTTGGTGCAGGGCAGTTTCCAGTTTGTGTCTGTGTGTTTGCAGAGTCCTTTACTTTCTCTTTTTTTGAGACATGGTCTCACTCTCTAACTCAGGCTGGAGTGCAGTGGTGCTATCTCGGCTCACTGCAGCCTTGACATTCTGGGCTCAAGTGATCTTCCCACCTCAGCCTCCCAAGTAGCTGGGACTATAGGCACACATTACCACACCCAGCTAATTTTTAAATTTTTTGTAGAGTGGGTTTTGCATTTGAACTCCTGTGCTCAAGCGATCTTCCTTGGCCTCCCAGAGTGCTGGGATTACAGGCGTGAGCCACCACATCCAGCCATCTATTTCTAAATCTCTGTTTTCTTACCCAACTATAGGCATATCATGGAAATATTGCAAGTTCTGTTCCAGACCACTGCAGTAGAGCAAATATTGCAATAAAATGAGTCACATGATTTTTTTTTGTTTCCCAGTACATATGTGTTAGCCCAATTCGTGTGGTTGTAAAAAAGTCCCTGAGGTTGGATAATTTATAAAGAAAAGAGGTTTATTTGGCTCATGGTTATGCACACTATAGAAGCATGGCACCAGCATCTGCTTGGCCTCCGGTGAGGCCTCAGGAAACTTTTACTCATGGCAGCAGGCAAGGGGAGCAGTGTAACACATGGTGAGAGAGGGAGGGAGAGAAAAGGGGGAGACGCTGAACTCTTTTTTAACAAGATATCATGTGAACTCATAACCTTGGGGAGATCACCAAGCCATTCATAAGGGATCCAGCCCCATGACCCAAACACCTCCTGCTAGTCCCCACCTCCAAAACTGGGGATTGCATTTCAACATGAGTTTTGGAGAGGACGAACATTCAAACTATATAAACATATGAAAGTTATGTGTCTCTTATACTGTAGTCCATTAAATGTGCAATAACATTATGTATAAAAATGTACATATCTTAATATAAAGATATGTTATTGCTAAAAAGTGCTAATGATCATCTGAGCTTTCAGCAAATTGTAATCTTTTTGCTGGTGGATGGTCTTATCCTGATGTTGATGGCTGCTGATTGATCAGGGTGGTGGTTGCTGAAGATTACAGTGGCTGTGGCAATTTCTTAAAATAAGACAACAATGAAGTTTGCTGCATCAATTGATTCTTCATTTCACGAAAAATTTCTCTGCAGCTTGCGATGCTATTTGATAGAATTTTACTTATGGTAGAATTCCTTTCAAAATTAGAGTCAATTATCTCAAACTCTGTCATTGCTTTATCAACTAAGTTTATGTAATATTCTAAACCTTTTGTTGTCAGGTCAACAATATTCATAGCATCTTCACCAGCAGTAGATTCTATCACAAGAACCACTTTTTTTTTCTCATCCATAAGAAACTCCTCATCTATTCAAGGTACATAATGAGATTGCAGCAATTCAGTCACATTTTCAGGCTCCACTTGTAATTCTAGTTTTCTTGCTATTTCTACCACATCTATGATTACTTCTTCCACACTTTTGAGTCTTGAACCCCTCAAAGTCACTCATGAGGATTGGGGTCACCTTCTTCTTCTTAAACTCCTGTTAATGTTATTTTGACCCCCTGTCATGAATCACAAATGCTTTTAATGAAATCTAGAATGGTGAATCCTGTCCTGAAAGTCTTAAAATTTTGTTTGCCCAGATCCATCAGAAGAATCACTATCTGTGGTAGCTATAACCTTACAACATGTATTTCTTTAGTAATAAGACTTGACAGTCAAAATTACTTCTTGATCCATGGGCTGCAGAATGAATGTTGTGTTAGCAGGCATTAAAACAACATTAATCTCCTTGTACCTCTCCATCAGAGCTCGTGGGTGACCAGAGGCATTGTCAATGAGCAGTAATATCTTCAAAGGAAATCTTTTTTTCTGAACAGTAGGTCTCAAGAGCAGGCTTAAAATATTTAGTAAACCATGCTGTAAACAGATGTGCTGTCATCCAGACTTTATTCCATTGACAGCATGAGCAAAGTAGATTTAGAATAATTCTTAAGAACTCTATGATTTTGGGAATGGTAAATGAGCATTTGCTTCCACTTAAAGTTACCAGCTGCCTTAGTCCCTAAAAGAGAGTTGGCCTGTTGATTAAACTTTGAAGC
This sequence comes from Homo sapiens, assembly GCF_000001405.40. Classification (NCBI taxonomy): domain Eukaryota; kingdom Metazoa; phylum Chordata; class Mammalia; order Primates; family Hominidae; genus Homo; species Homo sapiens. Next base: position 158,439,496 of record NC_000004.12, on the reverse strand, counting down.
CAGACATCGACTTCTCCTCTCTAGCTATAAAACTTATACATGGCATCTTCTTCCAATAGAAGGTTGTTTCATCTACATTGAACATCTGTTGTTTAGTGTAGTCACTTTCATCAATCATCTTAGCCACATCTTCAGGATAACTTGCTGCAGTTTCTCCATCAGCATTTGGGGCTTCACTTAGCACTTTTATGTTATGGAGATGGCTTCTTTCCTTAAACCTCATGAAGCAGTTTCTGCAGCTTCCAATTTTACTTCTGCAGCTTCCAACTTTACTTCTGCAGCTTCCTCACTTCTCAACCTTCATAGACTTGAAGAGAGTTAGAGCCTTGCTCTGGATTAGGCTTTGGCTTAAGGGAATATTGTGGCTGGTTTGATCTTCTATCCAGACCACTAAAACTTTCTTCATATCAGCAATAAGACTGTTTAGCTTTCTTATCATTTGTGGGTGCACCAGAGTACTACTTTTAATTTCCTTCAAGAACGTTTCCTTTGTATTCACAACTTGGCTAACTGTTTGGTGCATGAGGCCTAGTTTTTCACTTATCTCAGCTTTCAAAATGCCTTCCTCACTAAACTTGATCATTTCTAGCTTTTGGTTTAAAGTAAGGGATGTGCAACTCTTTCTTTTACTTAAACACTTAGAAGCTATTTTAGGGTAATTAGCCCAATTTCAATATTGTTGTGTCTTAGGGAATAGGGAGGCCCGAGGAGAGGAAGAGAGATGGGGCAACTGTCTATTGGTGGAGCAGTCAGAACACACACAACATTTGTCAATGTTTGCTGTTTTATATGGGTGTGGTTTGTGATGCCCCAATACAATTATAATAATAACATCAAAGATCACCACTCACAGATCACCATAACAGATACAATAATAAAAACATAAGGCTGAGTGCAGTGGCTCATGCCTGTAATCCCAGCACTTTGGGAGGCCGAGGCAGGCGGATCACTTGAGGTCAGGAGTTTGAGACCAGCCCAGCCAACATGGCGAAACCCCGACTCTACTAAAAATACAAAAATTAGCCAGGCATGGTGATGCACGCCTGTAATCCCAGCTACTCAGGAGGCCGAGCATGAGAATCACTTGAACCCAGCAGCTGGAGGTTGCAGTGATTGTGCAACTGCACTCCAGCCTGGCCAACAGAGTCTCAATAAATAAATAAATAAAATACATAAACAGAAGAAAAAGAAAAAGGATGAAATAATGCAAGATATACCAAAATGTGACACACACAACTTGAGCACGTGCTGCTGGAAAAATGGCACTGACAGACTTGCTCAACAAAGGGTTACCACAAACCTTCAATTTGTAGAAAGGGCAATATCTGCAAAGCACAATAAAATGAAGTGCAATAAAGCAAAGTATGCCTGCACTCTAAGTCTTCTACTGTGATAAGTGACTGTGAGACTGGCCTTGTTCATGGGTGATAGGTCTCTAGTGGGCAAAGAAAAATAACGGTTGGCTGTAGCAGCCATCCCACCTATTATTAACTATCATTTTCTTCCTGAAGTTTTCTCTTCTTGTGTATACAAAAGGGATTCCTCAAGCTACTTCAGTACACAACTACCCATAAACAATTGACCAAACTTTTTTAAAAGTTTTAATTTTAATCTGTTTGCTATTTTTATGCTGCGTATTGAGAAATGTCTATTCAGGTCCCTAGCCCATTTTTAGTTGTGTTGTTTGTTTTTGTCTGTAGAGTTGAGCTCCTTGTGTATTTTGGATATTAGCTCCTAATCAGATGTATGGCTTACAAATATTTTCTTCCCAATCCACTGGGTGTCTTTTCATTCTGTTAATTGTTTCCTTTGTTGTGCAGAAGCTTATTTTGATTTAATTCCATTTGTCATTTTTGCTTTTGTTGCCTGCACTTTTGGGGTCAAATGTAAAAAATCGTTGCCCGGACTAATGTTGTGTAGTTTTTTGCCCTATGTTTTCTTCTCGTAGTTTAAAATTTTCAGGTCTGATGTTTATATCTTTTATCCATTTTGAGTCAATTTTGGATATGGTATGAGATAAAGGTCCAATTTCATTCTTCTGCATATAGATATCCAGTTTTCCTAACACAATTTATTGAAGAAACTGTCCTTTTCCCATTGGCATATTCTTGACAACTTTGTCACAAGTCAATTGATCATACATACCTGCACTGGGTGTGATCATTTATAAGCTCTCTACTCTGCTCCATTGGTCAGAATCTATTTTAATGCCATTACCATGTTGTTTTATTATTGCTTTGTAGTACTGTTTGAAATCAGATAGTGTGATGCCTCCAGCCTTATTTTTGCTCATGATTGTCTTGTCTATTTCTTTTGTTTTTTTCTGATTCTATATGAATTTTCTGATTTTTTTTGCTATTTGTATGAAAAATGACATTGGAATTTTGTTAAGAATTGCAATAAATTTGTAGGTCTCTTTGGGTAGTATGGACACTTTAACAATATTAATTATTTGAATTCATGAACATGAGATATCTGTGTCTTCTTCAATTTCTATCATTAATGTTTTATTGTTTTCAGTGTACATGTCTTTTATCTCCTTGGTTATATTTATTCCTAAGTATTTTATTTTTCTGTAGCTATTGTTAATGGGATTATTCTCTTGATTTCTTTTTCAGAAAGTTTGTTGTTAGTGTATAGAAGCACTACTAATTTTTGTATGTTGATTTTGTATCCTGAAACTTTACTGTATTTATTAGTTCTTTTTTTTTTATTATTATTATTATTATACTTTAAGTTTTAGGGTACATGGGCACAATGTGCAGGTTAGTTACATAAGTATACATGTGTCATGCTGGTGTGCTGCACCCATTAACTCGTCATTTAGCATTAGCTATAGCTCCTAAAGCTATCCCTCCCTCCTCCCCCCACCCCACAACAGGCCCCAGAGTGTGATGTTCCTCTTCCTGTGTCCATGTGTTCTCATTGTACAATTCCCACCTATGAGTGAGAGTATGTGGTGTTTGGTTTTTTGTTCTTGGGATAGTTTACTGAGAATGATGATTTCCAATTTCATCCATGTCCCTACAAAGGACATGAACTCATCATTTTTTATGGCTGCATAGTATTCCATGGTGTATATGAGCCACATTTTCTTAATCCAGTCTATCATTGTTGGACACTTGGGTTGGTTCCAAGTCTTTGCTATTGTGAATACTGCTGCAATAAACACACGTGTGCATGTGTCTTTATAGCAGCATGATTTATAGTCCTTTGGGTATATACCCAGTAATGGGATGGCTGGGTCAAATGGTATTTCTAGCTCTAGATCCCTGAGGAATCGCCACACTGACTTCCACAATGGTTGAACTAGTTTACAGTCCCACCAACAGTGGAAAAGTGTTCCTATTTCTCCACATCCTCTCCAGCACCTGTTGTTTCCTGACTTTTTAATGATTGCCATTGTAACTGGTGTGAGATGGTATCTCATTGTGGTTTTGATTTGCATTTCTCTGATGGCCAGTGATGGTGAGCATTTTTTCATGTGTTTTTTGGCTGCATAAATGTCTTCTTTTGAGAAGTGTGTCTGTTCATGTCCTTTGCCCACTTTTTGATGGGGTTGTTTGTTTTTTTCTTGTAAATTTGTTTGAGTTCATTGTAGATTCCGGATATTAGCCCTTTGTCAGATAAGTAGGTTGCAAAAATTTTCTCCCATTTTGTAGGTTGCCTGTTCACTCTCATGGTAGTTTCTTTTGCTGTGCAGAAGCTCTTTAGTTTAATTAGATCCCATTTGTCAATTTTGGCTTTTGTTGCCATTGCTTTTGGTGTTTTAGACATGAAGTCCTTGCCCATGCCTATGTCCTGAATGGTAATGCCTAGGTTTTCTTCTAGGATTTTTATGGTTTTAGGTCTAACATGTAAGTCTTTAATCCATCTTGAATTGATTTTTGTATAAGGTGTAAGGAAGGGATCCAGTTTCAGCTTTCTACATATGGCTAGCCAGTTTTCCCAGCACCATTTATTAAATAGGGAACCCTTTCCCCATTGCTTGTTTTTCTCAGGTTTGTCAAAGATCAGATAGTTGTAGATATGCGGCATTATTTCTGAGGGCTCTGTTCTGTTCCATTGATCTATATCTCTGTTTTGGTACCAGTACCATGCTGTTTTGGTTACTGTAGCCTTGTAGTATAGTTTGAAGTCAGGTAGCATGATGCCTCCAGCTTTGTTCTTTTGGCTTAGGATTGACTTGGCTATGTGGGCTCTTTCTTGGTTCCATATGAACTTTAAAGTAGTTTTTTCCAATTCTGTGAAGAAAGTCATTGGTAGCTTGATGGGGATGGGATTGAATCTATAAATTACCTTAGGCAATATGGCCATTTTCACGATATTGATTCTTCCTACCCATGAGCATGGAATGTTCTTCCATTTGTTTGTATCCTCTTTTATTTCATTGAGCAGTGGTTTGTAGTTCTCCTTGAAGAGGTCCTTCACATCCCTTGTAAGTTGGATTCCTAGGTATTTTATTCTCTTTGAAGCAATTGTGAATGGGAGTTCACTCATGATTTGGCTCTCTGTTTGTCTGCTATTGGTGTATAATAATGCTTGTGATTTTTGTACATTGATTTTGTATCCTGAGACTTTGCTGAAGTTGCTTATCAGCTTAAGGAGATTTTGGGCTAAGACAATGGGGTTTTCTAGATATATAATCATGTCGTCTGCAAACAGGGACAATTTGACTTCCTCTTTTCCTAATTGAATGCCCTTTATTTCCTTCTGCTGCCTAATTGCCCTGGCCAGAACTTCCAACACTATGTTGAATAGGAGTGGTGAGAGAGGGCACTACTGTCTTGTGCCAGTTTTCAAAGGGAATGCTTCCAGTTTTTGCCAATGCAGTATGATATTGGCTGTGGGTCTGTCATAGATAGCTCTATTATTTTGAGATACGTCCAATCAATACCTAATTTATTGAGAGTTTTTAGCATGAAGGGTTGTTGAATTTTGTCAAAGGCCTTTTCTGCATCTATTGAGATAATCATGTGGTTTTTGTCTTTGGTTCTGTTTATATGCTGGATTACATTTATTGATTTGCATATGTTGAACCAGCCTTGCGTCCCAGGGATGAAGCCCACTTGATCATGGTGGATAAGCTTTTTGATGTGCTGCTGGATTCGGTTTGCCAGTATTTTATTGAGGATTTTTGCATCGATGTTCATCAAAAACATTGGTCTAAAATTCTCTTTTTTGGTTGTGTCTCTGCCAGGCTTTGGTATCAGGATGATGCTGGCCTCATAAAATGAGTTAGGGAGGATTCCCTCTTTTTCTACTGATTGGAATAGTTTCAGAAGGAATGGTACCAGTTCCTCCTTGTACCTCTGGTAGAATTTGGCTGTGAATCCATCTGGTCCTGGACTCTTTTTGGTTGGTAAGCTATTGATTATTGCCACAATTTCAGAGCCTGTTATTGGTCTATTCAGAGATTCAACTTCTTCCTGGTTTAGTCTTGGGAGTGTGTATGTGTCGAATAATTTATCCATTTCTCCTAGATTTTCTAGTTTATTTGCGTAGAGGTGTTTGTAGTATTCTCTGACGGTAGTTTGTATTTCTGTGGTATTGGTGGTGATATCCCCTTTATCACTTTTTATTGCATCAATTTGATTCTTCTGTCTTTTCTTCTTTATTAGTCTTGCTAGCGGTCTATCGATTTTGTTGATCCTTTCAAAAAACCAGCTCCTGGATTCATTAATTTTTTGAAGGGTTTTTTGTGTCTCTATTTCCTTCAGTTCTGCTCTGATTTTAGTTATTTCTCGCCTTATGCTAGCTTTTGAATGTGTTTGCTCTTGCTTTTCTAGTTCTTTTAATTGTGATGTTAGGGTGTCAATTTTGGATCTTTCCTGCTTTCTCTTGTGGGCATTTAGTGCTATAAATTTCCCTCTACACACTGCTTTGAATGCATCCCAGAGATTCTGGTATGTTGTGTCTTTGTTCTTGTTGGTTTCAAAGAACATCTTGATTTTTGCCTTCATTTCGTTATGTACCCAGTAGTCATTCAGGAGCAGATTGTTCAGTTTCCATGTAGTTGATCGGTTTTGAGTGAGTTTCTTAGTCCTGAGTTCTAGTTTGATTGCACTGTGGTCTGACAGACAGTTTGTCATAATTTCTGATCTTTTACCTTTGCTGAGGAGAGCTTTACTTCCAACTATGTGGTCAATTTTGGAATAGGTGTGGTGTGGTGCTGAAAAAAATGTATATTCTGTTGATTTGGGGTGGAGAGTTCTGTAGATGTCTATTAGGTCCGCTTGGTGCAGAGCTGAGTTCAATTCCTTGGTATCCTTGTTAACTTCCTGTCTCGTTGATCTGTCTAATGTTGACAGTGGTGTGTTAAAGTCTCCCATTATTATTGTGTGGGAGTCTAAGTGTCTTTGTAGGTCACTCAGGACTTGCTTTATGAATCTGGGTGCTCCTGTATTGGGTGCATATATATTTAGGATAGTTAGCTCTTCTTGTTGAATTGATCCCTTTACCATTATGTAATGGCCTTCTTTGTCTCTTTTGATCTTTGTTGGTTTAAAGTCTGTTTTATCAGAGACTAGGATTGCAACCCCTGCCTTTTTTTGGTTTCCATTTGCTTGGTAGATCTTCCTCCATCCTTTTATTTTGAGCCTATGTGTGTCTCTGCACGTGAGATGGGTTTCCTGAATACAGCACACTGATGGGTCTTGACTCTTTAGCCAATTTGCCAGTCTGTGTCTTTTAATTGGAGCATTTAGTCCATTTACATTTAAAGTTAATATGTTATGTGTGAATTTGATCCTGTCATTATGATGTTAGCTGGTTATTTGGCTCATTAGTTGATGCAGTTTCTTCCTAGCCTCGATGGTCTTTACAATTTGGCATGATTTTGCAGTGGCTGGTACCGGTTCTTCCTTTCCATGTTTAGTGCTTCCTTCAGGAGCTCTTTTAGGGGAGGCCTGATGGTGACAAAATCTCTCAGCATTTGCTTGTCTGTAAAGTATTTTATTTCTCCTTCACTTATGAAGCTTAGTTTGGCTGGATATGAAATTCTGGGTTGAAAATTCTTTTCTTTAAGAATGTTGAATATTGGCACCCACTCTCTCCTGGCTTGTAGAGTTTCTGCCGAGAGATCCTCTGTTAGTCTGATGGTCTTCCCTTTGTGGGTAACCCGACCTTTCTCTCTGGCTGCCCTTAACATATTTTCCTTCATTTCAACTTTGGTGAATCTGACAATTATGTATCTTGGAGTTGCTCTTCTCGAGGAGTATCTTTGTGGCGTTCTCTGTATTTCCTTAATCTGAATGTTGGCCTGCCTTGCTAGATTGGGGAAGTTCTCCTGGAAAATATTCGCAGAGTGTTTTCCAACTTGGTTCCATTCTCCCCGTCACTTTCAGGTACACCAATCAGACATAGATTTGGTCTTTTCACATAGTCCCATATTTCTTGGGGGCTTTGTTCGTTTCTTTTTATTCTTTTTTCTCTAAACTTCCCTTCTCGCTTCATTTCATTCATTTCATCTTCCATCATTGATACCCTTTCTTCCAGTTGATCGCATCGGCTCCTGAGGCTTCTGTATTCTTCACGTAGTTCTCGAGCCTTGGCTTTCAGCTCCATCAGCTCCTTTAAGCACTTCTCTGTATTGGTTATTCTAGTTATACATTCGTCTAAATTTTTTTCAAAGTTTTCAACTTCTTTGCCTTTGGTTTGAATTTCCTCCTGTAGCTTGGAGTAGTTTGATCATCTGAAGCCTTCTCTCAACTCTTCACAGTCATTCTCCGTCCAGCTTTGTTCCGTTGCTGGTGTATTTATTAGTTCTAACAGCTTTTTTGGTAGAATCTTTATGGTTTTCTATATATAAAAGCATGTTGTCAGGAAACAGTGACAATTTCACTTTTTCCTTTCCAATTTGGGTGCCTTTTATTTCTCTCTCTTGCCTAACTGCTCTGGTAAGAACTTCCAATACTATGCTGAATAGAAGTGGCAGGAGAGGGCATCCTTTTCTTATTCTGGATCTTAGGAGAAAGAGTTTCAATTTTTCCATGGAGTATAATGGTAGCTGTAACCACATAATCTTAATGTCTGTTATCAGTTGCATGATTTCAATCTTAGAATGATTTTAGGAATGTGTTCCCAGATACCTTATAGAGTTGCACCAATGATTAGCTGAAGCCTTTTCTATCTAGTGTTTCAGACAGGCTTCACAATTTGCTTTGTGTGTGACTGAATTTTATATGTATTTAATTATGACTACCTCGACCATATCATGTCAGGGTCTTTTCAGTTGCTTGAACTTGTATTCCAAGAAAGAGTTATTCAAAATTTAGTTTTTAATAGGCGTTGCTTCAAATGAAAGCTAAGCATCTTCCCTGGAAGAGCTTGGCTTGATGTGAGCAGCTTCATCTTCTGATTGCTGGATCATACGATAGTTCTATTTTTAATTTTTTGAGGAAGGCTTCATATTGTTTTCCATAATGACTGTACTAATTTACCTTTCCATCAGCAGTGTACAAGTGTTCCCTTTTCTTCATATGATTCCAACACATATTATCTCTCATCTTTTTCCTAATGGTCATTCTAGGAGATGAGGTAATTTCTCACTGAGGTTTTGACTTGCATTTCTCTGATGTTTAGTGATATTGAGCCCTTGAACCTGTTTATCATTTGTAGATCTTTGAAGAAATGTCTCTTTAGTTCCTTTGCCCATTTTTTATTTGAGTTTTTGCTTTCTTACTATTGAATTGAGTTCCTTATATATTTTGGACATTAATGCTTTATCAGAGGTATAGTTTGAGATTTTTTTTCCATACTGTAGGTTATCTCTTCACTCTGTTGATTGTTTCCTTTGTTGTGCAGAAGACTGTTATTTTGATGTAATCTCATTTGTCTATTTTTGTTTTTGTTGCTGGTGCTTTCTGAGTCATATCCAAAAAATCATCTTCCAGACTAATGTCATAGAGCTTTCCCCTAGATTTTCTTACAGTAGTTTTATAGTTGCAGGTCTTAAGTTTAAGTCTTCATTTTTTTTCTCTTTTTTCCCCAATTTCAGTGACTTCTATTCTTAATTTAATTACGTTCTTCTTTCTGCTTGCTGTAATTTCCTTTTCTTCTAGTTTCTTAAGATGAAAGCATATTCATTTGAGACTTTTAATATAAATATTTAACACATATACCCTATAACTAATGATTTGTCTGCATTCTAGAAATTTCAACATATTCTTTTCGTTTTTATAAAATTTATAAAATTCAAATTTTCTAATTTTTCTTGTGACGTCTTCTTTGGCCAATGGGTTATTTTGAGGTGCATTAATTTTTAAATATTTGGAGGTTTTCCAGATGTCTTTCTGTTACTAAGTTATAGTTTAATTTCATTGTGAATTTTCATATATTATTGGATGATTTCAATTCTTTTAAATATGAGATTTATCTCAGTAACCCAAGAATATGGCCTATCTTAGTCATTATGTCATTTAAACATGAAAAGAATGTGTATTTTAATTTTGTTGGGTGTAGTTTTCTATAAATGTCAATGAAGTTTTCTGGCAGTGTGGTTGAGTTCTTTCATATCCTTGTAATTTTGTCAATATGTTCTATCAATTAATTTTATGAAGAGTATTGCAATCTCTAATTGTAATTGTGAATTTGCCCATTTTTGTCTGTTAGTTCTATCAGCTTTTTTTTTTTGGAGTTCTATTATTAGGTGCATGAATACATAGGACTTTTATAGTTTCTTGATGAATTCATCATTTGCTCCTTATATAATATCATTCTTTATCCCTGGCACATTCCTTGTTCAGAAATCTACTTTGTCAGTTATTAATACAGATAATCCAGTTTTGATTGGTCATTGCCTAATATATATTCTTTGTTCTTTTGCTGTTAACTGGCGTATTTATATTTAAAGTGAGTTTTTGGTAGACCACATCTAGTTGGGCCTTAATTTCTTAAATAATCCAATTTGACCATCTATACCTTCTAATTGGAATATTTACATACAATTTGTATTTGTTGTGTTTATTGATATGGTTGGATTTAAATCTTACCATTTAAACATTTTTTGTCATTCTTTATCTCTTTGTGTAAATATACATTTCCATGTAGTAGCATACTTTTTTTTTTCCTACTTTAACAACCTGAGTTAGCAATTCTTTTAGTACAGGTCTGCTGTCGTTGAATTTTGTTTTTGTTTGTCTGAAAGCCTGTATTTTGCTTTCCTTTCCGAGACATATTTTAACTTCATTTGGAATTCTGGGTTGACCATTTCTTATTTTAAGGATGTCCCTTTGTTGTCTTCTGGGTTGCATAACATTTGACAAAAAATGTGGTATAATTCTCATGTTTGTATGTAATGTTTCTTTTTTCTCTCAGTGCCTTCAGTATTTTCTGTATATCTTTGGTTTTCAGCAGTTTGATTGTGATGTATCTGAAAATGTCTATGTGTGTTGCATTTATTCTGTATGGAGTTCTCAGAGCTTCTGGGATCTATGCTGTGTTTCATTAATATCAGAAAATTCTAAGCTACTGTTTCTTTAATTGTTTCTTCTGCCATATACTTTTTCTATTCTTCCTTTGAATACCCAATCTCCTGTATGTTAGACTATTTGATACATCATAGCCCTTATACATTCTGTTCTTCTACACTCTTTTATCTTTTTGTATTTCAGTTCGGATAATATTTAGTGACATATCTTCAAGTATACCAATTCTTTCCTCAGCTATATCTAGTCTGCTGATAAACCTATAAAAATTTTTCTTCTTCTACAATGGTGCTAACCAATAGAATCTTGTGGGCTGATGAAAAAATTCTTGTCCAATACAGCATCTACTAGCCACATGTGGCTTGAAATGTGGCAAGTGTGACTGAAGCAATACATTTTAAATATTATTTTAGTTTAATTAATTTAAATTTTGATTAGAAAATACCCACATTTATTAGTGGTTATTATATTGAACAGCACAGATCTATGATACCATGTTTTTATTTCTAGCATTTTTAAAACAATTATTTGTTCAATTTTTTTTAAAATTCTTCATCTGTTCAAGTATGCTGTTCATGTTTTCCACTTCATTCTTTAACATATTAGTCATAGTTATTTTTAAGTCTTTGTCTAATGGTTTCAACATCTAGGTTATTGCTGAGTCTGGTTCTGTTGACAACAGGTTGTTTTTTTTTTCTTTTTTTTCTTTCTTTTTTTTTTTGTGTATCTCATTATGTTTTATTTAAGGGCAGATATCCTGTGTTGGGAAAAACAGAGATTGAGATAAATAGAACTTATGCCCCAAAATGGGGATGCCTATTCTTTGGGCTGTCAGTGTGAAAAGTTGAGTCAATATAATCAGGAGTTGAGCTGTGCCTGCTTTACTCCCAATTTTTTTTGTGTGCACTCAGTGAAGGCCAGTGGAATAGAGCTTGTCAGTAAGAAATCCTCTTGGGTTTGTGGCTTTCAGTTATTTTAAGTGATCACGCTTGTATCTAATCAGTTTTTAAGAATTTGTTAAAATTTTTGCTGATTTCTTCTCATCTGCTGTTACGATGGTTAACTCATCCTTTCGTGAAGTGCCAAAGATAAAACAGTTTTCGGGTCTCCTCTCTCCTTTTAAGGCCTGCTTACTCATTGGAAATTACTTCACTTGATTGCCTTGTGTCCTCATATATCTGATGGGCATAAGAAAGATTTTTTTTTTGGTAAATTATCTAGTTTCTTCTGTTGTTGTTATTAGGTAGGAACAACATTTTTTTGTGGAGTTCTACACCCTAAGTGGAAACAGAGTTAGCCCTCTAAGGAAAGCCATGGTGATCTATGACATCTTGGTAGGAGAAAATGTATGCCTTGATGAGAAAGGTAGTACCTTGTTTACAAACAGTAGTAGAGAAATAGGTATCTCGTAATGAGTATAGGGAAATGGGTAGTAATCATTAAAGAAATGTTAGAAATTAGTAGAACTTCCAAATGTACATAGAAAACTATGGAAAGAAAACATTTAACAAATTTTTAAAAATAAGAACTAAGAAAAAAAGGAAACATAAATTGCATGAGAAACATAAGAAAAAATGTTAGACACAGAAGACTAGTAAATGAGTCATTACTCTTAATGTAAATGGACCTGAATTAATCTATTAAAAGACAGAGACTGTCAGATGGGCCAATAAAATCCCCACTATGTGACTTTACAAATATATACTTTAAGTAAAGGGAATATGAATAGAAGGAGAATGGCATGTTAGGAAAATACAAAAAGAAGTCAGAAATGGCAATATTGATGTCAGATGAGAAGAATGTCAGGCTAAAAGCGGTAAACAAAGTAAATTGAGACATTATATGATGACAAATACAAAAATTTAATTAGAATATTGTGGCAGGGACTATATGTCCTCTAAAACCTATTACATACGAACACAACCACTGGATCAAAGAAAGTATCAAATGGAAAATTACAAGGCAGCAATATAATGAAATGCTAAGAATGCAGATTCAGAGCCATTTGGCCTAGGTTCTAATTCTGATTCTGCCACATATCAGCTATAAGACCTTAGAGGATTTTCTTACCCTTTCTGTGTCTCAGTTTTCTCATCTGTAAGAATAGAAATGATAATAGTACCTACACAATAGAATTTTCATTAAGAAATGTGAATTAATGGCCATAAAAGTTTTAGCACAGTGCTTGGCACATTGTGAACTATGAATCATGTAATGGGACAAATACTAGAAATCAATGGAAAGTTGGAGACTATCGTGGGCAGAGTGGCACTCCAGACATCTATGCTGCTATGCCTAGAACCAGTGAATATGTTGTGTTACATGGCAAAAGGGAGTTTGAGGGTGCAATTAAGGTTAAGGGCCTAAAATAGAGAGATTATCCTAGATTATCTGAGTGGGCCCAATTTAATAACAGGAGCTGATGAAAGGAGATAATTTTTCTCTAGCTGGAGTTAGTGAGATATAGCAGAAAAAGAAGCCAGAGAGATTCTGGGCATAAAAAGGATTGATGTACCACTTATTGCTGGTTCTAAGATGTAGAAGTCCGTGTGCAGGAACCAGACAGAGGTGTCTAGAAGCTATAGGAAGCCCATAGCTGACAGTAAAGAAACTGATACTGCAGTTCTTCAACCATAGCCCTAAAAATCATATGATTATATCCATCAATGCTGAAAACATATTTGATAAAATTCAACACTTGTTTGAAAACCACATATCCTACAAAGGAGTATACAAGAGATATATCTGGAATATATAAAGAACCCTCAAGACAAACAATACAATTAAAAAATGACAAAAAGACAGGAAGAGATTTCAGCAGAGGATATATAGATAGTAAATAAGTACATGAAAGGATATTCAACATCATTAGCCATTAGGAATATGCAAATTAAAACTATAATGAGATATCATTACAAACCCATCAGAATGACTAAAATAAAAAATAGTGGCAACTCAATATGCTGGCAAAGATGCAGAGGAACTGGATCACTCATACATTGCTGATGGGAATGTCAAGTGGCACATCACTCTGGAAAACAGTTTGGCAATTTGGCAAAATGAAGCATACAACTACTATATGACCCAGCAATTGCACTCCTGGGTATTTATTCTAGAGAAGTGAAGAATGTATGGTCATGTAAAGATCTGCACATACATATTTATTGCAGCTTTATTTGTGACAGCCTCAAACTGGAAATAACCCAGATGTACTTCAGTGGGTGAATGGTTAAACAACCTGTCGTATATCCATGTCATGGAATACTACTCAGCAATAAAAAGGAATAAATTATTGATACATGCAAGAACCTGGATGAATCTCTAGGGAATTATCCTGAGTGAATAAGACTAATCCTGAAAGATTACATACTGTATGATTCCATTCATATGCCATTCTTGAAATGGCAAAAATTATAGAAATGGAGAATAGGTTAGTGGCAGGGGCTACAAAGTGGGTGGGGACAGGTGTGAAATGATATCTCTACAAAAGGGCAACATAAAGAATCCCTGTGGTGACGGAAATGTTCTCTATCTTGGCTGCATCAATGTTAATGTCCTGTTTGCCATCTTGTTTTACAAGATGTTACTATTGAGAAGAACTGAGTAAAGGGCACAAAAGATATTAAATTTATGAATATATTTGTGATATATATTAGTAAAAAATTCTATTAAAAATGTGGCATGGTCAGGCATGGTGGCTCACACTTGTAATCCCAACACTTTGGGAGGCCAGGATGGGAGGATTGCATGAGGCCAGGAGTTTGAGGCCAGCCTAGTTAACATAGCAAGACCCCCCATCTCAGAAAAAAAGTGTCATATTGAGCCCAGTAACATAGAAAATGAATAAAAAACCAGTTCTATGTGGGTTTATCACATTTTGAGAGGAAAAATCTATTAAAATCATGTACTACATTTACAAATTTCAAAAATATCAATATGATCATCTCAATAATAACCTAAAAATAATTTGATACAATTTAGTAGCTATTCCTAACAAAATAAAATGAAAATAGAAGGGAAATTATCTTAAGGTGATTCATACTATTTGCTAAAATATGAGTATTACTTGAAATAGCAAAACTGAATTCATTTCCATTAAAATTAAGTGTTAGCTGGGATGCTTGCTATTGCCATACTACTTGTCCTTGTTATTTACAATTGTCTTGGTGATTTTAGCAATTTCAATAATTGAAGAAGGAGGAGGAGAAGGCAAGAAGGAGGAGAAAGAAAAGCAGGAGAAGGAAGAAAGAAAAGAAAAGAATAGCTGGCATATATTTTGGGAGAGGAGAACTATAGCTAGTTTTTTTTGTTGTTGTTGATGGTATGGATATATCCCTGGCAAAATGAATGTGGGTAGAGGGACAAGAAGTCCACTGGAATTAAAAAGAAAATACAATAAAATGGCTAAATACTACCTAAATTTGAAAACAAGCATTGTTCTCCACTGTAGTAATAAACCCCTGTATAGTAAATTTTTAAAATTATAATAGTATGGTGGCTCATGCCTGTAATCCCAGCACTTTGGGAAGCTGAGGCGGACAGATCACTTGAGGTCAGGAGTTCAAGACCAGCCTGGCCAACGTGGTGAAACCCCGTCTCTACTAAAAATACAAAAATTAGCTGGGTGGTGGTGGGCACCTGTAATCCCAGCTACTTGGGAGGCTGAGGCAGGAGAATTGCTTGAACCCGGGAGGTGAAGATTGCAGTGAGCCAAGATCGCACCACTGTACTCCAGCCTGGGCAACAGAGTAAGACTTCATCTAAAAAAAAAAAAAAAAAAAATATATATATATATATATATATATATATATAAAATATTAACAAAGCTGTGAAATACTTAAGAATAAATTTAGTAAGTGACAAAGCTATTGCTTCAGGGACAGAGGGTGAATTATTTAATAAATGGTTCTCATACAATTGGAAATTAATTATATAATAAATTTATAAGTGTAAGAAATAAGATAAAACTCCCACATTAAAATCTAGGCTACATGCAGTCTAGGTTTGTGGAAGACCTTCCTAAGCAAGTCTAGAAACTTAGAAACTATACAAATAAAGGTAGATATATTTTACTAAAAGACATGAAAAATATATGGCAAAAAACACAATTCACAAAACAAATAACAATATAAATACTTTTCAATTAATATAACAAATAGAAAACTTAACAATATGACAAACTTATTTAGGCAATTAATAAAAGAGCAAATCCAAATGACCAAGAAGAGCTGAGAGGAAGACCAAGCTCACTAATGATCAGGAAAGGGCAAATTTAAACTCACGAATAAATATTATTTTCCATCTACCGGATTGGCTAAAATTAAAAAGGCTGTTAACACCAGCTGCTTCTGGGATACAGGGAATGTGAATTTTAAAATGTGAATTCTCAAACATGCTTATGAAAATATTTATTTGATAACTTTTTGAAAAAGCAACTGGGAAACATCTATTAAAATTAAAACACACACACACACATGCATTTTAACCCAGTGGTCCTTCACTTGAAAAACATCCCATGGAATTATATGCCTCAGCACGTAAGAATATATTTCCAAAGATTTCTATTGCTGCATCATTTGTTGTGATAAAAATAAATAAGCAAATGAATAGAATAAATGAATACATAAGTAAATAAGCAAAAGTAAATGTTCATCAAAATGGAATGTTAGCTATACTAGTAGACATAGTAAAATTTTTATGAGGTGTTGTTGAGTGAAAAAAGCAAGAAATGTGTGTATTGAGATGGTTATTATTTTTCCTAGGTGTTATCACATACATGCTAGATGTATACACGTGCATACGTGCATATTAATATGTGTATATGCTACATCTGTGTATGTTTATATACTTGCATGTCTTACAGAAACATGAAAAACATGAATGATAAATTCTAACTTAATATCAGTACCTCAAGGGTGTATGTGATGTGGGTTGGAGTATAGGGATGACAGGGGGATAGGAGAGTATAGCAAAATTTTAAAAATAGGAAATGATTTAAAAAAGAATGTTTTAAACTTGTATGAATAATATCATCCCATTCATGCATTTATTTAAAATTATATATATTCATGTAACATTTAAAAAGTAATATCCAGAAAAAGACTTTTACAAGCATGTTCATAGCAGCTTTATTCTCAATACCTCTGAACTTGAAATAGTATGAATATCAAAGGGGGATTGTATAGTCATGAGATGGAATTCTACTCAACAATACAAAGGAATGAACTGCTGCTATATAACATGGAAAAACTGCATAAAAGTTTTATGTGTAGCTAAAAACGACATAAAGCAAAACTGTAAGAATTTCATTCTGGCATGCAGCAAGGTGGTGACATAATTTGTGTAGCTCAGTGCCAAACAAAAATGTGCAAAAATGGAAAAAAGTGCCTTTAAGTACTAGGATAAAACCTTTTCTTTCTTTTACAGTTTCTCTCTTGACATGTCATAGTAGTTTTACTTGCTATTTAATATTGTTCCAACAAATTGAAAAATTAAAGTTGTTAAATTTAATTTAGTATTAAGTGGTAAAAATTATTGTTCATCTTTTGTACAACATAAGTTTTACATGCAAATATAGAACATTTAACTTTTATGCAGAATAACTGAACTTACACAGTTCATACTGTCTTAGTCCATTCAGGCTGCTATAACAAAATACCTTTAACTAGGTAATTTGTAAACAATAGAAATTTATTGCTCACAGTTCTGGAGGCTGGGAATCCAGGATCAAGGTGCCAGCAGATTTGGTATCTGGAGAGGGCTTTCTCTCTGCTTCAAAGATGACTCCTTCTAGATATGTCCTGATGTGGTAGAAGAGACAAACAAGCTTTCTCGGGCCTCTTTTTTAAGGGTAATAATCCCATTCATGAGGTCTTAGCCTTCAGGACCTAATCACTTTCCAGTTGCCCCACTTCCCAAGACCACTGCACTGGAGATTAAGTTTCAACATTTTGGGGGGACACAAGTATTCAGAACACAGCACATATTGTGTAGTTCATACACGCATATGTATTTTTTTCTTATTCAAACAGTGGAAATACTGCACAAAACTAATTCTACTGTTTTTATTTCACTTCTTGATACATGAACATTCTACTACCCTCTCTACTGGTGGCTTAGTGATGAGTAGGTAAGGTCTGAAGAGAAAAGGAAATATGGGTTACATTTGCCCTATCTTTCCTTTCCTTTCATAGCATCATTTCCTACGTAAGTGGTTGGCCAATACAGGCAAAGAACACAAGTAGCAAAGTATATGATAGGGTTCCTAAGTAGGAGTTTTTTAAAGAAAATCATTGCCTTTTTTCTGTGCTTGAAAGAAATTTTGCTTGGAATAGAATGTGTAGCTTCTGAGGTTATTGGCACCAATACTTATTCATAGAGGCAACTCGCTTAGCTCACTTTGAGTCTCGATGAACTCCCATCTATCATTTGTGCCCTGGAATTCTGTCTTGATGTGGTACTGTAAAGTCCATATGTGAATGGTATGGCAAGGAACAGCAGACAAACACATTTCTCCATTGTCCAATCAGACTCAATTTGTGAAACACAAGTTCAATGATAAAATTATTAAGAATTTCAAGACAGCAGTAATAGCAAATGTAAGTGCCCTTTTGAGCATAGTTATATGGGTATATTTTTCAGTTATATGGGTGTATACATTTCTCAAAATGCAACAAATTTCAAATCTGTGCAATTTATTTTATGTAAATTGTAACTTAATAAACAGTAAAACAGTATGTTATACCCTTCCCCTACCTCCAGTCTCCTTCTAAATGTAAAATGCGAAAAACTTTTAATATTTTTAATTGACTTTACTTTTCTGGTGAAAATCATATACTAAAAAAAATTAAATTTGAAGTTATTAGCCTCCTCCCCTGTTTCCTCCAGCTCTATGACCTACTTCAATAGTTAATTAAAAGTGGCAAAACTATTACATAGACACAGAGGGTAATATTTTGTCTTGTTCCACATTTTTTAGTAAAAAAAAGCATGGTTATCTCTCTGAATAGTATAATGCATGAAGAAGATTGTAATGATCAGTCTATAATTTCAACTAAACAATGACGTATTGCTTGCTTCTTTTATGACTCATAGAATATGTAATTTATCTGCAATTCATAAGAAATTTACATTCGTTTTTCTCTATGATGGTGTAAGGCTCTAGAGAGAAAAAGCTTTGATAGGAATCATGATATTTTCCCTCAATGCACTCATTTGCCCTGGTCAAGGATGTATTTTTAAAGATATTTCTCTCTAAGCCATTATAATCATTTCATTGAGAAGAAATAAAGCTTTGTACTGCTGAGACGTTTGTTCACATTTACTTATCATATTTGCAATGAAATAAAAAGTTTTAACATAATTTCTATTTTTTTTACCATTTTTCCAATCACTAATCTTCAGCAAGAGAGTGAATTATTCTCAAGTCTGTCTGTGATACAGAAGCTAACATACTGTTTATTTCTCAGTTCACAGAGGCATGGTTTGATAGAGGTATTTTATAAAAAGACTTATGAATACAGTTTTTCCATCTTAGTGCTGTGTTATTTGTTCAGAGCTAATATCATTACTTTGGATATTTGCTACATTTCAAAGGAATAATAGTTTAAAGAAAATGCTACAAGTGGAAAAGATTAAAGGCATGAAAAAGATTTATTGAAAGCATATGGTTGTCCAACAAATTTTTTGATGCCCAGGTGCTGGAGTGTCGGGCACTGTGCTGAGTGCATGGTGGGGAAGCAGCAAGAAGTAAATGTAGCCCAGTATGCTCACTGCCTTCAGCCCTGGAAAGAAAGGTTCATTGGTCAAGGCAACTGGTCTACGAGCTCTGACTGCGACCATGCTGTCCTGTAGGCTTGGGGGATGAATATCTCAGCATACCTGAACCCCTTCCCATACACCAGTACAAGGCTTGCTTTGACACAGGAGTTGAACGGCACTGCTATAGAGTTCTCGCTCTTAAATAAAACCATTTCATAGCTGCAAGAATTAGGTAACTCTCAAGATTAGGCTAGGGATACAGTCTGGGAAGCCAAGAACATCTATAAACCCATGCAGAAGAAGAGCACAAAACATGAAAAACACTTTTTGAATCTCGAAAATCTTTAATTGAATTACTGTTGCCTGAATTACTCTTATTTGCTACCAACTGAATATGTTCCTCCTTTTGGTCTGTTGATCATCATGGCGGATAGGAGGCAGGACTAGATTGCAGCTCCAGACAGAGCAGTGTGAGGGGGGCTCACATCATGAATTTTAGCTCCAGATCTACTGCAAGAAAAAACCAGCAATCCCAAGAGGACCCACAGACCCTCTGAAGGAAGCAGACTGCTCCTTCAGGACCTGGGAGACCCCCCAAAAACTGAGTGCCCCAACCACGTTAGTGGGAAAGGGAGACCTTCCTCTCCCAAACACACACTCCCATGGGAGGAGCTGAAGGTCTATTTGTGGGAGAAGTTTCTGACTTTATCTGGAGCTGAGTCAATTTAGAGAGCCAAGTGAAATACAGCAGCAGAAAGGCGCTGGGAGCTTGCTGGGTCCCCTAGCAGCCCATTCCTACCTGGCACCACAGGGATCCAATAGGAGAAGACCAGGGGGTAAAACTCCACTGGG
Source organism: Homo sapiens (assembly GCF_000001405.40). Lineage (NCBI taxonomy): Eukaryota > Metazoa > Chordata > Mammalia > Primates > Hominidae > Homo > Homo sapiens. Next base: position 158,419,457 of record NC_000004.12, on the reverse strand, counting down.
AGAAGCAAATCTCTAGCTGAACTTTGTAGCAATTTGAGTGGGGTGGGAAGCCTCCTGGCCAGAATTTGGGTGAGGGCCCAAATCCAGTGTGCAGACTCCACGGGAGGGGGAAGAACCAAGCCCTTTTCTTTCGCAGCTGGGAGGTAGGTGGCCAGGGGCAGGTTTTCAAACCTGTATCACTCTCCACCTGAAAATGGACTAAAGGCTGTTGTGGGAGGCATTGTGGGAGTGAGACCCACCCTTTAGTTTGTGTGGCAGCTGGGTGAGCCTGTGACTGCCGGCTTTCCTCCACTTCCCTGACAACCTGCATGATTCAGCAGAGGCAGCCATAATTTTCCCAGGTACACAACTCCAGTGACCTGGGAATCTCACCCCCATCCCCCACAGCAGCCACAGCAAGACCCACCCAAGAAGGGTCTGAGCTCAGACACATCTAGCCCTGCCCCCACCTGATGGTCCTTCTCTACCCACCCTGGTAGCGGAAGACACAGGGCATATACTCTTGGAATATCTAGGGCCCCACTCACCACAGGTTCCTCTCCATACTACCACAGCTGATGGTCTCTGGAAAGCGCCACCTCCTGGCAGGAGGCCAACCAGCACAAAAATAGAGCATTAAACCACCAAAGCTAAGAACCCTCACAGAGTCCATTGTATTCCCCTACTGGCCACCTCCACTGGAACAGGCACTGGTATCCACGGCTGAGAGACCCATAGATGGTTCACATCACAGGACTCTGTGCAGACAACCTCCAGTATCAGCCCGGAGCTGGGTAGCTAGACCCAGAAGAGAGACAACAATCACTGCAATTCAGCTCAGAGGAAGCCACATCCATAGGAAAAGGGGGAGAGTACTACATCAAGGGAATACCCCATGGGACAAAAGAATCTGAACAATGACCTTCAGCCCTAGACCTTCCCTCTGACAGAGCCTACCCAAATGAGAAGGAACCAGAAAACCAACCCTGGTAATATGACAAAACAAGGCTCTTCAACACTCCCCCAAAATCACACTAGTTCACCAGCAATGTATTCAAACCAAGAAGAAATCCCTAATTTACCTGAAAAATTCAGGAGTTTAGTTATTAAGCTAATCAGGGTGAGACCAGAGAAAGGTGAAGTCCAATGCAAGGAAATTCAAAAAATGATACAAGAAGTGAAGGCAGAAATATTCAAGGAAATAGATAGCTTAAAGAAAAAACAGTCAAAAATTCAGAAAACTTTGGACACAGTTTTAGAAATGCGAAATGCTCAGGGAAGTCTCAGCAATAGAATTGAACAAGTAGAAGAAAGAAATTCAGAGTGCGAAGACAAGGTCTTCAAATTAACCCAATCCAAAAAAGGCAAAGAAAAAAGAATAAGAAAATATGAACAAAGCCTCCAAGAAGTCTGGGATTATATTAAATGACCAAACCTAAAAATAATCAGTGCTCCTAAGAAGAGAATTCTAAAAGCTTGGAAAACATATTTGGGGGAATAATTGAGGGAAACTTCCCCAGTCTTACTAGAGACGCAAACATCCAAATACAAGAAGCACAAAGAACACCCAGGAAATTCATTGCAGAAAGATCTTTGCCTAGACACATTGTAATCAGGATATCCAAAGTTAAGATGAAGGAAAGAATCTTAAGAGCTGTGAGACAGAAGCATCAGATAACCTATAAAGGAAATCCTATCAGATTAACAGCAGATTTCTCAGCAGAGACCCTACAAGCTAGAAGGGATTGAGGCCCTATCTTCAGCCTCCTCAAACAAAACAATTATCAGCCACGAATTTTGTATCCAGTGAAACTAAGCCTCACATATGAGGGAAAGATACGTCTTTTTCAGACAAATGCCAAGAGAATTTGCCATTACCAAGCCACCACTACAAGAACTGCTAAAAGGAGCTCTAAATCTTGAAATGAATCCTGAAAACACATCAAAACAGAACCTCTTTAAAGCATAAATCACACAGGACCTATAAAACAAAAACACAAGTTAAAAAGCCAAAACAAAAAACAAAAAAACCAAAGTAACAGGCAACAAAGAGCACAATGAATGCAATGGTACCTCACATTTCAATACTAACGTTAAATGTAACTCGCTTAAATGCTCCACTTAGAAGATACAGAACCGCAGAATGGATAAGAACTCACCAACAAACCATCTGCTGCCTTCAGGAGACTCACCTAACATATAAGGACTCACATAAACTTAAAGTGGTGGGAAAAGGCATTTCATGCAAATGGACACCAAAAGTGTGCAGGTGTAGCTATTCTTATATCAGACAAAACTAACTTTAAAGCAACAGCAGTTAAAAGAGACAAAGAGGGACATTATGTAATGTTAAAAGGCCTTGTCCAACAGGAAAATATCACAATCCTAAACATATATGCACCTAATACTGGCGCTCCCAAATTTATAAAACATTTAATAACAGACCTAAGAAATGAGATAGACAGCAACACAATAATAGTGAGGAACTTCAATATTCCACTGACAGCACTAGACAGGTCATCAAGACAGAAAGTCAACAAAGAAACAATGGATTTGAACTATACCTTGGAACAAATGGACTTACCAGATATATACAGAAAATTTAATTCAACAAACGCAGATTCTATTCATTCTATTCAACAGTATGTGGAACTTTCTCCAAGATAGAACATATGATAGGCCATAAAACAAGCCTCAATAAATTTAAGAAAACTGAAATTGTATCAAGCACCATCTCAGACCACAGTGGAATAAAACTGGAAATCAACTGCAAAAGGAACCTTCAAAACCACACAAACACATGGAAATTAAATAACCTGCTCCTGAATGAGCGTTGGGTCAAAAACAAAATCAAGATGGAAATTTAAAAATTCTTCAAACTGAAAGACGATAATGATACAACCTATCAAAACCTCTGGGATACAGCAAAGGCAGTGCCAAGAAGGAAGTTCATAGCCCTAAACACCTAAATCAAAAAGACGGAATGAGCACAAGCTGACACTCTAAGGTCACACCTCAAGGAACTAGAGAAATAAGAACAAACCAAACCTAAACCCAGAAGAAAGGAAATAATCAAGATCAGAGCAGAACTAAATGAAATTGAAACAAACAAAAAAAATACAAAAGATAAACGAAACAAAAAGCTGGTTCTTTGAAAAGATAAACAAAATTGATAGACCATTGGAAAGATTAACCAAGAAGAGAGAAAATCCAAATAACTTCACTAAGAAATGAAACAGGAGATATTACAACTGACACCACTGATACACAAAAGATCATTCAAAGCTACCATGAACACCTTTACACACATAAACTAGAAAACCTAGAAGGGATGGATAAATTCCTGGAAAAACACAACAGACCAATAACAAGCAGTGAGATTGGAATGGTAATTTAAAAATTACCAGCTGGGCATGGTGGCTCATGCCTGTAATCCCAGCAATTTGGGAGGCAAAGGTGGGCAGATCACCTGAGGTCAGGAGTTTGAGACCAGCCTGACCAATATGGTGAAACCCCGTCTCTACTGAAAATACAAAAATTAGCTGGGTGTGGTGGTGGGCTCCTGTAGTCTCAGCTACTCGAGAGGCTGAGAGAGGAGAATTGCTTGAACCTGGGAGGAAGAGGTTGCAATGAGCTGAGACCGTGTCACTGCACTCCAGCCTGCATGACAAAAAAAAAAAAAAAAAAAAAAAATTACCAACACAAAAAGTCCAAGACCAGATGGATTCACAGCAGAATTCTACCAGACATTCAAAGAAGAATTGGTACCAATCCTTTTGACACTATTCCACAAGATAGAGAAAGAAGGAACCCTCCCTAAATCATTCTATGAAGTTGGCATCACCCTAATACCAAAACCAGGTAAGAATCAAAAAAGAAAACTACAGACTGATATCCTTGGTGAACATAGATGCTAAAATCCTTAACAAAACACTAGCTAACCAAATCCAACAACATATCAAAAAGATAATCCACCATGATCAAGTGGGTTTCATACCACAGTTGTAGGGATGGTTTAACATATGCAAGTCAATAAATGTGATACACCACATAAACAGAATTAAAAACAAAAATCACATAATCATTTCAACAGATGCAGAAAAAGCTTTCGACGAAATCCAGCATGACTTTGTGATTAAAACGCTCAGCAAAATTGGCATACAAGGGACATACCTTAATGTAATAAAAGCCATCTATGACAAACCCACAGCCAACATAATACTGAATGGGGAAAAGTTGAAAGCATTCCCTCCGAGAACTGGAACAAGACAAAAATGCCTACTCTCACCACTCCCGTTCAACATAGTACTGGAAGTCCTAGCCAGAGCAATCAGACAAGAAGACATAAAGGACATCCAAATCAGTAAAGAGGAAGTTAAACTGTCACTGATTGCTGACAATATGACCATTTATCTTGAAAACCCTAAGGACTCCTCCAGAAAGCTCCTAGAACTGATAAAAGAATGCAGCAAAGTTTCCGAATACAAGACTAATGTATACAAATCACTAGCTCTTCTATACACCAACAGCAACCAAGCAGAGAATCAAATCAAGAACTCAACCCCTTTTACAATAGCCGCAAAAAATTAAAATACTTAGTAATATACCTAACCAAGGAGTCAAAAGACCTCTACAAGGAAAACTGCAAACCACTGCCGAAAGAAATCATAGACAACACCAACAAATGGAAACACATCCCATGCTCATGGATGGGTGGAATCAATATTGTGAAAGTGAACATACTGCCAAAAGCAATCTACAAATTCAATGCAATCCCCATCAATATACCACCATCATTCTTCACAGAGTTAGAAAAAACAATTCTAAAATTCATATGGAACCAAAAAAGAGCCCACATAGCCAAAGCAAGACTAAGCAAAAAGAACAAATCTGGAGGCATCATACTATGTGATTTCAAACTATAGTATAAGGACATAGTCACCAAAACAGCATGGTATTGGTATACAATTAGGCACACAGACCAATGGAACAGAATAGAGAACCCAGAAATAAACCCAAATACTTGCAGCCAACTGATCTTTGACAAAGCAAACAAAAACATTAAGTGGGCGAAACGACACCCTTTTCAACAAATGGTGCTGGGATAATTGGCTAGCCACCTGTAGGAGAATGAGATTGGATCCTCATCTCTTACCTTATACAAGAATCAACTCAAAATGGATTAAGGACTTAAACCTAAGACGTGAAACTATAAAAATTCTAGAAGATAACATTGGAAAAACCCTTCTAGACATTGGCTTAGGCAAGGGTTTCATGACCAAGAACCCAAAAGCAAATGCAATAAAAAGAAAGATAAATAGCTGGGACCTAATTAAACTAAAGAGCTTTTGCATGGCAAAAGGAACAGTCAGCAGAGTAAACAGACAACCCACAGAGTGGAGAAAATCTTCACAATCTATACATCGGACAAAGGACTAATATCTAGAATCTACAGTGAACTCAAACAAATCAGTAAGAAAAAACCAAACAATCCCATCAAAAAGTGGGCTAAGGACATGAATAGACAATTCTCAAAAGCTATACAAATGGCCAACAAACATAGGAAAATATGCTCAACATCACTAATGATCAGGGAAATGCAAATCAAAACCACAATGCGGTACCACATTACTCCTGCAAGAATGGACATAATCAAAAAATTAAAAAAACAGATGTTGGCATGGATGTGAACAGGGAACACTTCTACACTGCTGGTGGGAATGTAAACTAGTACAGCTGCTATAGAAAATAGTGTGGCGATTCCTTAAAGAACTAAAAGTAGAACTACTATTTGATCCAGCAATTCCACTACTGGGTATCTACCCAGAGGAAAAAAATTCATTATTTGAAAAAGATCCTTGCACACGCATGTTTATAGCAGCACAATTCACAATTGAAAAATCGTAGAACCAACCCAAAGGCCCATCAATCAACAAGTGGATAAAGAAACTGTGGTGTATGTATGTGTGTGTGTGTATGTACGTGTGTGTGTGTATGTGTGTGTGTGTATGTATATATATATATATATATATATATATATATATATATATATATATATATATGATGGAATACTATGCAGTCATAAAAAGGAATGAATTAATAGCACTTGCAGTGACCTGGATGAGATTGGAGACTATTATTCTAAGTGAAGTAACTCAGGAATGGAAAACCAAACATCATATTTTCTCACTGATATGTAGGAGCTATGCTATGAGGATGCAAAGGCATAAGAATGATACATTGGACTTTGGGGATTTGGGGGGAAGAGTGGGAGGGAGGTGAGAGATAAAAGACTACAAATATGGTGCACTGTATACTGCTTAGGTGATGAGTGCACCAAAATCTCACAAATCACCACTAAAGAACTTACTCATGTAACCAAATACCACCTGTGCCCCAATAACTTACGGAAAAACAATTAAAAAATATGTTCCTCCTTCTGTTTGAGAATTAAGCTATATATTTGAGGGCATTTCTCCTCATATTCTGATCAGTAACTTGGTTTTTTGGCAGAACAGTTTATATTGTTGTCCTACCCCAGGACCCAAATTTAACATTTCCAGATCCAAATACATTATTCTCCTCCCTAAACCATCTCTTCCTTTTCTCTTCCTTAACTCTATTTTACCATCCTCTCACAATCAACATTTCAGTCATATTTGACTTCTTTCACATGTCTCTTTCTCCCCAAACTCAAGAGTTCTGAAGATTTTATCTACAAAGTGCCTCAAGAATCTCTTTTCCACAGCTACTGTACAGCCTTATGCTAGGTCTTCATTATTGTCCTCTGACTATTGCAACAGCATACAACTTTTCTTCCCTTCTTTCATTCCTCCCTTTTCTCCTCATCATATATAGTCTCAGCCAGTTTGGTCTTCTTAAAATGCAGTCTTGAATCTATAAGTTTTAAAGAACTCAGTTAACATAATTACTTTTTCAGAGAAACATTGATAAACTGAGAAGACAAATCAGTAGTTACCAATCACTAATCATTTGCCACTGGGTGATTTTTTTTTATCTGACATGGAGCTGGAGAGTAGTCCTGCATCCAGGAGTCTCAATTGTAAATATCCTTCATAATAATGCCAGCCCACTGGGATATAATGTTAAGATAATGTTGGGATATAAGGGGGACATATGGAATTAGAGCTACAAGATTTGTGTCTCTCTGACCCCAAAGAAATGTGCATTTCTAACCTTCTCAAGAGTAGTTCTTCATGACAATTTTATATTTAACATAGTGAAATAAATAGAAAACCATAAAATTACAATCATACAATACACTGGAGTAAATGGGGGGATCTGGAGGAATCTCCGTGGTGCTTAGTGAAAAATTTTATTACATTTATTTTATATGATATATACTTTTTAGTTGTTACCAATTGAACATGATTAAAATTTACAAATAGAATCTTCCAAGGTTTTTAATAAAAAACTCATATTTGCTTCCATGAACATAACATTTTGTTATTAGGTCTTATGTTCTCAATGGCTATAGTAAATTCCTTATTAATGATTTCAGATGATGATTACTTTGTTTATAGCTACCATCAAATAAATTTTGTTCACATAGCCATGTAATTTAAAAAATTAAAACCATTTTTTTCAGCCATTCAAGTTGTTTGTAACAGCTGAAACTGTATTTAAAGAAGACCCCATTTTCTCCCTCAGAGATGAAACTTTGAAATTATCTTTAATATTAATAGATTTTGAATCCACATGAAATTTTTTATGTCACAATTTTAAAATAATGACAAGGCTCTAATTGTCAGAATGTAGGTGCACCTGAAGCTAGCTGGAATCAGAAAAGGAACAAGTTAAGCCACAAACCCATATGTGTTACAAAAACTGAAGGCAGAGATTCAGAGCTACTCCTTGGGTGGTGCCTGCCAAAAACAGTCTCCCTGGCCTCCTGCCATTCTTACCTCCTGCTAGTATACTTACGGCTGCCTGCTGAGCTCCTTGGGCATCTGGAACATGCACTCCTTCAGCAGCTCTGCAGGCACCTTGTCCATTATGAATAGCAATTCATGCTGCAGATGGCTACTGGAAGAGATGCCCAGGTGCTAGAGTACCACACACTGTGCTGAGTGAATGGTGGGGAAGCAGCAAGAAATAAATGTAGCCCAGTATGCTCACTGCCTTCAGCCCTGGACAGAAATGCTCATTGCCCAAGGCAGCTGGTCTAGGAGCTCTGACTGCGACCATGCTGCCCTGCAGGCTTGGAGGATGAATATCTCAGCATACCTGAACCCTTTTCCATATACCAGTACAATGGCTTGCTTTGACACAGGAGTTGGAAGGCACTGCTATAGAGCTCTCTCTCTCATCTAAATAAAACCCTCTCATGGCTGCATGGATTAGGGCATCCTGTCAAGGAATATTTTCTTATGCTGGACTGGATAATTTTGGATCAGTCTCAGGCTTTTCATCCTGAACCTGCAAAAATAAACCTCACTCTCACCTCACTAGAGATGATTCCCTTGATTAAGAATCAACTTCACACCATGGAAATCATGGTCACTCTCATGTTCCCTGATACCTTAACCAAACTGACCTTCAGCACATTCACATATGCATCTTATATCTCTTAATCAGGACAACTTGTGTGGTGCTTGTTCGCGTTGACTCATTTAAGTTGGGCACTATATTTCCCAGGATAAGTTGCCCTGTGTGGCTTATGAAGAACTCAGGTGAGAATCAAAAAGCAAAAGTGAAGTAGTGGCCATTACTCTCTAAAGGTGGTTTTAGTCGTAGAAGGTAATGAAAACATGTAGAGGTGCCTAGCGGGTTCCCACTTGCTCTGGCTCTCTTCTGATTTGTATCTAGCTCCTCAACTGTTGGTCCTGTTGACCAACATCAGCCTCTGGGCAGCCTCCAGATGTTTGTGCACTCTCAGATGTGCTAGCTTCACATTAACAACAGCTGTCTATATACCTCCCTATGAACTCCGCTTCCCAGTCTCATTTGCTGTGCTGGACATGGGTTCTTAAAAGGACTGCCGAGTGTCTTTTCTGATCCTCCAACTCCCTCTTCTGGATCTTCATTTTCCCAGCTCCTCCTACAATTAAGACTGAACTCCTGTGACAAGTGATTCCACAACAATCATGGGGACTCTGCTCCCTGTCCAAATCCGGTCTCACTCATCTTGTTTCCCATGGACCTCTATTTCTCTAACTTTCTGGACTCCATTCTTTGTCCAACCTGTGCTTTTCACCAGAAATACTTTTTTCTCTTCATTAATGATAGAAGAATTCGTATCCATCCTTTGAGGATTTATTTCCATTACCAATTCTAAACTCCACCTGGTCATTCCAACTGGAGACAATTTCTCATTTGAATTCTTGCACATTAACACTTTTTATGGGTTTCCTCTCACGGTGTTTTATAGTAAGTCATTTTGTTCTTCCTAATAGAAAGCAAATCTCTTCAAAGACAGAAATCATGAGTGAAGCCCCTTGTACCCTAACACGATACACCCCTACCCTAACATATTTAGTATTCAACGAATGTTTGTTGACTTGAATTTAAACATACATAAATAAGCTCTTGAGAAAGTTAGTGATTTCGCCTAAGGTTATAAAGGGAATTCAGTTAATATATTAAAAATATTTGAGGAAAGACAGGCGTGGTGGCTCATGCCTGTAATCTCAGTACTTTGGGAGGCTGAGGTGGGAGGATCACTTGAGCTCAGGAGTTGGTGATTGCAGTGAGCTATGATGGCACCACTGCACTCCAGCCTGGGTGACAGAGTGAGACCTTCTCTCAAAAATAAATAAAAATTAAAAGTATTTGAGGACAATTTCGTATTCTTGAACAGGCAAGGATCAATAAAATAATAAATGAACATATGTTCTCAATGTGCCAAACTAAAACTTTTATAATGTAGTTCAGAGAATGCTGAGTGGAACATTTATTTTCCTTTCTTCAAAAACAATGCCAAAATAATTTTGTAATTAAGCTCATGGTCGTTGAGACTCAAATGATTTTCAATCTGTGTTGTCGTTAAACCAGGTGTATTAGTCCGTTTTCACACTGCTGATAAAGACATTCCCGAAACTGGGAACAAAAAAAGGTTTAATTGGACTTACAGTTCCACATGGCTGGCGAGGCCTCAGAATCATGGCGGGAGGTGAAAGGCTCTTCTTACACAGCGCTGGCAAGAGAAAATGAGAAAGAAGCAAAAGCGGAAACCCCTGATACACCTATCAGATCTCATGAGACTTATTCACTATCACGAGAATAGCACGGGAGAGACTGGCCCCCATGATTCAATCACCTCCACCTGGGTCCCTCCCACAACCTGTGGGAATTCTAGGAGATACAACTCAAGTTGAGATTTTGGTGGGCATACAGCCAAACCATATCACCAGGGAACTCATCTATATTTTTCTGCAAGTGAAATTTTACACGAAATTCGAATACCTTAAAATAGATAAAAGTAGTGCAGACAAGGCAGGCGCAGAGGCCAAACCTGTCCTTTGCTTCTTTTTCCCCACCAATCCATGGCCTGTTAGGCACCTCTGGGGAGGTGATCTAACGGGATGATTAGCTTCTTGGTACAAAACTCTTTTGGTTTATTATTTTTCTTTTTTTTTTCTTTCTTTCTTTCTTTTTTTTTTTTTTTTTTGAGACGGAGTCTCGCTCTGTCGCCCATGCTGGAGTGCAGTGGCGCGATCTCGGCTCACTGTAAGCTCCGCCTCCTGGGTTCCCGCCATTCTCCTACCTCAGCATCCAGAGGAGCTGGGACTACAGGCCTCCGCCACCACGCCCAGGTAATTTCTTTTTTTGTGTATTTTCAGTAGAGACGGGGTTTCACCGTGTTAGCCAGGATGATCTCGATTTCCTGACCTCGTGATCTGCCCGCCTCGGCCTCCCAAAGTGCTGGTATTACAGGCGTGAGCCACCGTGCCCGGCCGGTTTATTATTTTTCTTTTGTATTTTATAGTATCCCTTTTCCTCCTTCTCCTAATACCCTAATTCTCCTGCGCTCTCTCCTCCAATTAAGTTTCCTTTGTTTAGGGTTTTTTACTTATCTATATGAAATCTTTTACTTATTTATTTGATTGTGTTTCAGGACCTCCTGAAACACAATTTAAAAATTTCCACAACAGCATTTTTATTTCTGAGGATTAAATCTTGTGTAAATGTGTCCGGAATTGGTGGGTTTGCCCCGCGGGGAGGCAGCTAAGGCCCGGCGAGAAATTGAGCGCCCCGCCGGTGGGCCGGCACTGCTGGGGGACCCAGCACACCCTCCGCAGCCGCTGGCCCGGGTGCTAAGCCCCTCATTGCCCGGGGCCAGCGGGGCGGCCGGCAGCTCAAGTGCGAGGCCCGCCAAGCCCACGCCCACCCGGAACTCCAGCTGGCTCGCAAGCCGCGCAGCCCCGGTTCCGGCTCGCGTCTCTCCCTCCACACCTCCTTGCAAGCTGAGGGAGTCAGCTCCGGCCTTGGCCAGCCCAGAAAGGGGCTCCCACAGTGCAGCCGTGGGCTGAAGGGCTCCTCAAGTGCCACCAAAGTGGGCGCCAAGGCCGAGGAGGCTCCGAGAGCGAGTGAGGGCTGTGAGGGCTGCCAACACGCTGTCACCTCTCATAAAGACATATGTTAGACATGCAGAACCTCAGGCCCCATCCTGGACCTACTGAATTGGAATCTGCCTTTTAGGAAGATTCCTAGGTGATTCTTCTATACTCTAAAGTTTGAGAATCACTGCTTTAGAGGATTTGGGGGATATTAGGATAGAAAAAGGGAGACAATGTGAATTTATATATGATAGGCTTGGGAAATAATATTGAATAAATTATATATGTAAGGAAAAGTTGTGCTGGATGCTCCTTTCCTGTATGATTCTGGGTTAGAGTTGGGCACAGGAGAAATGTATGTGACATTTGGAGGGCAGAGGAGGCAGCAGGCAATGGCACTCAGAAGGTTCATTGTAGGGTTCTATGTATATGGCCAATGATCTGCTGATTTGCTTCTTTGGGGCGGGCAGCAGCAAGACCTGCAGCTTCATCTGCATCAATGTCTGCATCTGTGTCAGATCTTGCTGGGTCCCCTCCTCCAGCTTCTCCAAGTCCAGGGCCAGGCACCTGCGCAGCCCCACAGTGAAAGGCACCAGATTCCTGTAGGTCACCACTGTTGCAGTATGGACAGGGATATTCCTGCATGTTTCTGTTTGTCCTCTTGGGTTTCAGTTTGTTTTTGTGAGTTCCTGTTGGCCTTCGTGGATTCTAGTTTTTCCTCGATTTCTCCAGCTTTGTAGCCAAGTTTATTTTCCTATCTCTTGGCCTACCTGACCTGTAGCAACTTCAGACTCACTGCCAGGTGCAGAGGTAAGAGACTTGCAGAAAGACCTCTCCATCAGCTCTTGCCTGAGGTTCCTGGTTTGTGACTTTTTTTTTTTCTAATTCTCTAAAATGCTTTCTTCTGGAGTTTTATTTCCCCAGCTTCTCAAACAATTTTAAAGTTTAAACTTTTTAATAAATCCCTTCTTCTGTGTCCATCTTTGTGATCCTCCTCCTCTGATTAAGCTCTAATGGATACACTTACTGATTCTGCTAATGATTTCCCACCTTCTTTCAGATGTGGCTGATTGCACGTTACCTTATAGATATGATTTGACTGTGTTACCACCCAGTCTCATCTCAAATTTAAATCCCCACGTGTGAGCGGAGGTGCCTTGTGGGAGGTGATTGGATCATGGAGGCATATTTTCCCCATGTTGTTCTCTGTCTCAGCATAAGTGTTTCCTTATGCCTTAAAAAGGAGATTTACTTTTTCTAAAAGAACTGTCAAAGTTTGATATGCTAAAAATAGTTTTTATTTTTTGGTTTCTTGATGAGGCACACAGGATAGCCAAGATGCTACTTACTGCCTTTCTTTAGTAAATTTCATATAGGTAAGTAGAAAACCCTAACCAAGGAGAACTGAATCAGAGGTGGGAGCTCAGGAGAAGTAAGCTATTAGGAGAAAGAGGAAAAGGGATATTGGGAAATATAATAAGATAGTAATAAACCAAAATAATTTCACACCAAGAAACAAATAATCCCATTAGATCAGCCTCTCATATTTTCCTGTAGCTACATTTTTTGGTTAACCTTTCAAATTAACCAAATGTGAGTTTAACATAATTGGAAGACACAGATTCATTTTTTCCTATTTTAGTTAATGTCAAATTTGGCCAGAAAAATGAGGCCATTCTTACTCCTTCATATGAAATATTCTGTTTTATATCTCAGGAGTCTTCTTGTACCTTAAACTGAGTTATATGGTTGAAAAAAATAGCTTCCCTTCTTCATAATGTAGTCTATTTAATCTGCAGCCCACTATTAATGGCCTTTGGAATTCATTCATCTTTTCCAAATTTTCTTTTCTATCCTTCACTAGGGTATGAAGAAACCCATGTCTTCAGCCGGGCGTGGTGGCTCATGACTGTAATCCTAGCACTTTGGGAGGCCGAGGGGGGTGGATTGCCTGAGCTCAGGAGTTTGAGACCAACCTGGTCTCTACTAAAATACAAAAAATTAGCCGGGTGTGGCAGCGTGCACCTGTAATCCCAGCTACTCGGGAGGCTGAGACAAGAGAATCATTTGAACCCAGGAGGTGGAGGTTGCAGTGAGCAAAGATTGTGGCATTTCACCCCAGCCTGGGTGACAGAGTGAGACTCCCTCTCAAAAACAAACAAACAAAAACAAAAGAAAACCAAACCCGTGTCTTCAGGTGTAAGCTTATTTTATTTTAGTTTTTAGAATAAGTCCTAACTTTTTTTGCACTAGCCTTGTCTATTTCAGGCAGGTGCCCTGGGAATCATACTGTTAATATTTTCCAGATTTTTATACTGGAGTCATACAGAATGTATGAATCTCACTACTTTCAATCAAGGCAACATTGCTGGTGTTACTAGAAGACTTGTTGGTATACCGTGTCCCTCTGCTTGAATGAGGGCTCCATGAAGGGAGAGACTTTGGGTTGTTCACTGTTGTATCCTCAGTGCCCAGACAGTTCATGGCACACAGTAGGTGTTCAGTCAAGATTTCCCCTTTTTTGCCACACATGCTTTTAAATACATAGCCTTAAAACAATTGCTCACAGCTTATTGAAGGGAATCAGGAGATGCTTTGTGGAGGGTTTAATGTTAAATCACCCTTGTATCACGTGTTGCTTCTTAACCTGATTTGTGTGACTCAGTGCAGTGCTCTTAATGTGTCTGTTGCCTGAATTATGACTGTTTGCATTTTTCCCTGTGGTAGGCTGAATAGTGCCCCTAGCCCAGATGTCCATATCCTAACTTGTGGAACCTGGAATGTTACCTTATATGACAGAAGGATTTTGCAGATAGGGTTAAATTGTGATTCTCGAGATGGGAAGATTTGCCTCAATTATGCAGGTGGGGCTGATGTAATTACAGGGACCTTTATAAGAGCGAGGCAGGAGATCACAGTGAGTAGCAGGAAATGTGGCTATGAAAGTGAGAGGTTGGAGTGATGCAGCCACAAGCTAAGGAATGCTGGTGGCATTTGGAAACTGGAAGAGGCACAGAATGGAATTTTCTCCTGGAGCCTCTAGAAGGAACCAGCCCTGCCAGCACTTTGATTTTAATCGTCTGAGACTCCATTTGGAATTCTGACCTCTAGAACTGTAAGATAATAAATTTGTGTTCTTTTAAGCCACTAAGTTTGTGGTGATTTCTTAAAACAGCAACACAAAAATGAATACATTGACAATGTTTTTCATTTGTGGCAAATGGCTTCTTTATTTTGGGGTGATCTTTAAAATTTTTTGCCATTATTTAGCTGTCTTTAAATTTGAATGTGAAATAGAATTTTGTCAAGTTAACAATGCATTATTGATTTTGCTTCTATCTTTGTACATTATTTTGAGATTCTTTAAAGTTTGATGAAGGTAATTTCACAAAAAACTGAATCTAGTTTACTTAGACAACTTAGAATACGTTAGGTAATTTTTAAATTTAGGGACACATCTTTTTATATATTTATAAGTCACTTCCATAATGACTTTTCATTCATTACCTCATTTATTCCTCACAGCAACCCTTCAAAAGTAGTGTTAACCTTCTCTCATTCTACAGGTGAAGAAAGTAGTTTAGAGAGTATAATTTATTTTGCTCAGGGTCATCCAATTAGTAGATAAAAGAGAAGATATTTGACTTCAAATCTGCCTCTGAAAGATAGGCACTTGTTGCATTATTTTATTCTTAGCCCATTGGTAAAAAATATCTTAAATTAGTAAGGTGAGCTTTGCCTATGTTGTCTTTTGTTTGAGAAACTAGAAAGTATTGGCAATTAGAATCTGCATTCTCCCTGTTAGGAGAGAGTGGACAGTCTCTGAACTGGGACCCTCACGTGCCTGTGTTTGTTGAGGTTTGGATTGTATCTACCGGTCTGAGTTAGATTCAAGGATGTCAATAGAGTGTAGCAATAGTCAGCAATTCACATTCATGGAGCAGCCAAGTCAGATTAGATAGTTGATAAGGAACAAGGGAGTTAAGCCATAAGAATAAATATTTACCCATTAGACCAACAAATAAATACATCAATGCCTTGATGACAACTCTGTGAATAAAATGGACAGCATAAATTGATAGACTTTTTAGAGGCCAAGGGGGAGGGGGTATATCAAAATGTAAAATGTGCATGCAATTTGGTCTAACAATTTTACTGCTAGGATTCTTCCAAGTCTTGCAGGACCAGAGCAACATATAGTCTAAGGCTATTTTTTCCCCATGCCTGAGGCAAATCCTATCTGAGTACTCTACCTCAGCGGTTCCCAACCTTTTTGGTACCAGAGACTGGTTACATGTAAAACAGTTTTTCCATGGACCAGGGTGGGGGGTGGTTTAGGATAATTTAAGCACATTACATTTATTGTGCACTTTATTTCTATGTTAATTGTAATATATAATGAAATAATTATACAACTCACCATAATGTAGAATCAGTGGGAGCCCTGAACTTGTTTTCCTGCAACTAGACAGTTCCATCTGTGGGTGATGGGAAACAGTGATAGATCCTCAGGCATTAGATTCTCATAAGGAGCATGCAACCTAGAACCCTCGCTTGCACAGTTCACAATAGGGTTCATACTCCTATGGGAATCTAATGCTGCAGCAGATCTGAAAGGAGGTGGAGCTCAGGCGGTAATGCTTGCTCACCTGCCACTCACCTCCTGCTGTGTGGCTTGTTTCCTAACACACCACGGATTGGTACTGGTCTGTGGCCCAGGTTTGGGGGCCCCTGCTCAACCTGCTGCCCCATGGATTATGAAATTTCTGAATCTGGCTGGCTGGAGCAGGTACTATTCTGGGCCCTGTGAGAGTGTTGGGTGCTGTTCCCTCTACTTCTTTCTGATGGCTCTTTCTCTGGACTTAGATCGTTTATTTATATGTACTCTTTGATTTGCTGAATACTTGAGGAGCCTCTGCAGATTCCCAGGTTTCTGTCTCTGGGAAGTTCTCTTTGCTGCAGTTATCTGTGCTGCCAGTTCTAGCCTTGTTAGTCTCCCTGGAGTCTCAGTTGCATTTCCTCAACTCGGGAAGATGGTTGGGTTTTGCTGAGTTTCCCCTGCCTGCATCAGGAATTCTCCTGAGCAATAAGTTGGGACAACCATAGAGCTCACTTGTCTCAGATGAGACTTTAGACTTAGACTTTTGGGTTAATGCTGGAATGAGTGAAGACTTTGGGGGACTGTTGGAAGGGTGTGATTGTGTTTTGAAATGTGAGGACATGTGATTTGGGAGGGGCCAGGGCAGACTTATATGGTTTGGCTGTGTCCCCACCCAAATATCATCTTGAATTGTAGTTCCCATAATCCCTACATGTCATGGGACGGACCAGGTGGAGATAAGTGAATCATGAGGGCAGTTTCCCCCATCCTGTTCTCATGATAGGGAGTTAGTTCTTATGAGATCTGATGGTTTTATAAGAGGCTTCCCCCTTTGCTGGGCACTCATTCTTCTCCTTGCTGCCACCATGTGAAGAAGGATGTGTTTGCTTCCCCTTCTGCCATGATTATAAATTTTCTGAGACCTCCCCAGCCATGCTGAACTACGAATTAATTAAACCTCTTTTCTTAGTGAATTACTCAGTCTCGGACATTTCTTTAGAGTAGCATGAGAACAGACTAATGCAAGGACCCTCTGTATAATTTTCCATAAAATTTACATCCCCACCAACAGCGTACAAGAATTCCCTCTTCTCCACACTCCTGACTCTTTAGCAGTGAAATAATCATTCCTGCTCATGCCTGTCTTGCAACTATCTCATCTCCATGTGAATATACCTGCTCACTACCTCTCAGTGCTTTTTCAGTCCATCTTTTTGAATCTCAGAAGCCCAAATTCCTGGACTAGTCAAGCATGTAATATTTTATTTTAATGTCCTCACTTTGCCAATGTTCTAGCAAGGTTCATTTAAATTTCAGCAAGAATTCATGTGAGACATAAGCAAGATGCATGTCCAGCTGGTTTTTAAAGATAATTTCTGATTTTTTTTCTCTTTGAAAATTCCTGACTTCTATTTTATCCTCTGAAGACAGAGTTTTCTATTTAAAATATCAGTTTGTGCAGCTGTTGTGTGACTTTAAGTCAAACCTAGTTTCTGTCTTTTACTGTCACTGTAATATACTGCAAAAATTATATTGCTTTTTTAGAGTTTTCCAAGTTTATTTCAGATATGTCACTTTTTCCTTTGTCATGGATTAATGAAGCTGCTTCCTGTTTGGTTTGTGGATTTTATTTAAGAGTGTAATAAGAAAAATTTAAGCAAATTTCTTAAATTAGTTATTGACCTGAGACATTAAAAAGATATTGTTAATTTATAATCTTTTTTGATCATTTTTCCAAAATAAGTGCTGATCTCCCAAAGACATCAAAAACTGCAAGTGTGTGTAAATAAATCTAGTGAGGAATTAATCTTGGCAGGGTATAGTCAGATTTCTATTTGAAAGGCTTCCATTTATTTCCACATGACAGACCTATATCTAGTGAACTTTGATCAAATGCTTGAGGTGAAGTGAATTGAAGGACACCCTCATCAGACAAGCATTTTTTTTTTTAACCTTCCCTATGACACCTGTTAGTTGCATGTAAATCTCCCTTAAGGGATGACGTGTATCTGAAAATACCCACTGGATGTCTAAGCCGAATCATGGTAGTCAAAACTTCTTGGAATGATACATTGAAGACAAATAAAACTCTATCTCTTATGAGCAAATGGTATTTGGAATGGAGTTCCAACATTTTGTTTCTGAAGAAGCACACTTTATTTCATTCTGGTTCTTACAATCTGCTCCCCAGAGAATTTCTTGTAATTTTAGCTCACTGTCTACCAGAAAGCAACTTGACCAGTGAGGAAGAAAAAAAATTCTGCCGAAGTCTTTATCATTTTTAGGTAGAAATTATTTGTTGACTATTGTGGCCAAATTTATGAGTTTGATTTTTCCAAGTAATTAATACTAGATAGAAATAATATAGTTTCTCACAAGCAGTATTTACATAGTTAAAGAAATACATTTCAATATGGTTCCTTAGTGAGAGTTTTATAGTGAGAGAGTACCGCTTCTAGAGCTGGGTCACTGGAGCCCCTGCCCTGTGTACCCTGCCTTCTAGTTGCCACCCTGAACTCCAGTTCCTCACTGGTCAAGGGCACCCACACACCAGCAGCTTCTGTCCTCCTCCCTCCCTCACCCACTTCTACATGCTGTCCTGGTTCTCCAGGACCATAGAAGTCCCTGTGCAAAGGAATGGGCCTGATTTTAGGTCCCAAGGCATCCTCCCCAGATGGATCACCCAAAGTCCAACAGAGCTCCAGTTGTTTACCCCTGTGGCTACAGGGCCCAGCAGCATTTTTGGGGGTATGTGATCAGGACATACAGATATAGACTGGCTTCCCCACGAGCTGTACTGAGGCCCTTCGTGGTACCAGGTGGATCTGGGTGGTGGTAGATGGGGGCTGTGGAAAGGTGTGATCCCTTTTCTCACCCATCACAAGGGGCACGGCTTACACCCTTATAACAAAAGACAGGTTAACAAGACAAAAGCATAAGGATTTATTTAATCAAAGTTTTGCATGACACAGGAGCCTTCAGATATGAAGACTCAAAGACCCAGGGAAAACTGCCTATTTTTGTGCTTAAGTTTGATGAAAAATGGACAGCCATATGGAAATGTGGTTGGACAAAAGTGTATGATTGAGTGGTAATTGACTGAGTGAATGGGGAGACCCCAGCAAGGCCTCTCTGTTCAGAGTCTTCTTGGCCTCTCTGTGTAGCATTCCTTCCTCCTGAGGCACAACCCCTCTGAAATGAGGGTCTTCAAGGTAGAAGGAGAGAGTGATCTTTCTAGGCTTTATGGTTTTCTTTGGGGAAGAGAGGTTCTACTTCTATGGCCTGCCTTTGGGAAGAGGAATTGTTTTCTATGCTTGTTTAGAGGGAGAAGAAGGGGCAAGAAACAGGAAGATGGGAGAAGGTCAGAAATACCTTGCTTCAGAGGCCTTCCAGTTTCCTTCAGTTCAAAGTACTCAGCATGCCAAGGTGCCAAGTTTAAGGGTATTGTGTTTTGAGCCCTGACAGCTATACGGGCCTAGGTACCACAGTTTGCATTCTTTCTGGGCTGCAAATGATGGGGGAAGGACTTGGATGGATGGGAAAGGAAGATGTCAGGAGAAACGGAAGCACATGTTGTTTTCTCCCAACAAGTTTAAATATAGCATATAAAAGGAGTGAATAGCATTGAGTTAAAAAAAATGTCCAGTGGGAAGATGACAATCAAATCAATTGTCAAGGACAAGGGGTCCTTAAATTATATGTACTGGGTTGGGCTGCTGTCTCCTTTTTTTTTTTTCTGTGCTCCTCTGCCTGGGCCTTGGAGATCCTGCCTAGAAATGTTCTTGTCTACCACCTTCTAGTTGGGGTGAGGAAGAGCAGGAGGCAGGCTGAAGGGCCATTCCTGGGTGCAGGTCACCGTCCCACTGGAGCAGACATGAAATAGGCCATTAGTGGTATTGGAAAGCATCACAGAATTTGCTAAAGGCAGTCAAGGGTTCCATGTCCCTCAAATGAGAGAGAACAAATAAGGCTTTATAAGTGCAGGTGCTCATTTCAATTTTCCTGTTGGAAATCAAGGTGGAAGCCCTTCTGTGGTAACAGGGACTGGACTTACTCTTCTGCCTGAACAAAAAAACTGAACAAAATATATGAAACAATGGTTTACCAAGACATGGGACATCAGGTAATAAAAGACAAGAATTCCTGGGAGAGGAGAAACAAATGAGGTGAGGACTAGGATTGCCCCAGTTTCCTCCCAGGAGAGAGTTTCCAGGCCATGCTAGAGGGAAGCAGATCCCAGGAGGAGGAGGTTGGTGGTATCCCTGAGTTGAGGAGACAGAGCTAGAAATTGGGTAGGCTAAGGTGGCAAAGTATCCAGGGGGAGAGGGCTCCAGAGAACTTCAGAGCTCTGCAGCAGGTCCTCTAGTCTTCATCTGAGCATAGGTCAGTGTTTTTGTGGGGGGAAATTATCTGAGGTCAAGGTGGAAAAACTCAAAAGGTTTACAAGGAACAAACCCCGAATGGTCTCACACACTAAAAGACAGATGCTCTCAGATTGAATAAAAAAGCAATGTAGTTGGGATGTAAAATTATACCTTGACAAAGCAAAGTTTAATGTTAAAGATTATTTAAATTAATTTAATACAATCAATTACTACATTTAAATTAAATAAAAATTATTTTAAATCTGCAATGAAAATGATATATGACCATCTGGAAGATTTGCGTACTTTCATAAAATTTGTAGCAAAATTAAAATATATTTGTTTCAATCATTTCTATTTTGACAAAACTAATCACATATGAGCATTAAACATTTAAAAACATTTTTTCAACTCTCATTCAAAATCATGGATGAATACACTACAAAAAATTCTCCATATCATATAATGTCATGGAGCTTACTATAGTGTGGGGGTAACTTTTACTTGTAAAGGGCCTACTGAGTTTTCAGTAGGGTCTGAATTAAATGGTTTGTTAAATTTTTCTGCAGTCATCTAGAGCCTATGCTTATTCTTCTGGACGAATGTGAGTTCATTTGTTGAATTTAATACTCAGATAGGCCAGGACATTTAACATTAGTTGAGAGTTTGCCATAAGCCAGCCACTTTTCTAACATTCTTATAACAACCCAGTGAGACGGATATTGCCATTATTTTCTCATTTTTACAAATGCAGAAACCGAAGTCCAGTGAAGTTAAAGAATTAATTCGAGGTCACTGATAAATGGCCCAGCATGAATTTCATATATTCTGATAAAGAGCCAGTTTGTCTACTACATTATATCATGCCAGTATGGTGGTTTTACTTCAATCTTCCATGGTCATGAGGAAAGTATAAACTTTTGTTTGAATTGAAACAGTAGAGTAAGTGAATTCTGAAGTAATCTCTTTAGAGCAGGATTTTTTCCTGCCCTCTTAGCCAAGTGCTGAGTTGGAAGATGTTTTGCTGGGTCAGCACTAGATTCATAAGTGCCTCAGTAAGGGAGCCAACCAAACCGATCATTACTTTTTATTCAGAACTGCATAAATTACTCCAGAATTCTTTTCTTCCCCATTTGTAATAGATTTCTAAATGTCCATTCAAAGTTATATATATTTATTTCTGTAACAACGCACACATTTATTTCAACATACTCAAAAACTTTTGCTGATAATAGAAGCATGCAGAGTGCTACTTTAGTTTGGGCCTCTGTAATAAAATATCTTAGGGCCGGGCACGGTGGCTCACGCCTGTAATCCCAGCACTTTGGGAGGCCGAGATGGGTGGGTCGCTTGAGCTCAGGAGTTCAATACCAGCTTGACCAACATGGTGAAACACTATCTCTACAAAAAATACAAAAATTAGATAAGCATGGTGGCATGCACCTGTAGTCCCAGCTACGTGGGAGGCTGTGGTAGGAGGATCCTTGAGTGAGACCCTGTCTCACACACACACACACACACACACACACACACACACAGTCTTAGTCTAGCTGTCCAAAACAATAGAAATTTATTTTCTTACAGTTCTGGAGGCTAAAAGTCCAAGATCAAAATGCCTATGGTTTGTGATGAGGGCTCTCTTCCTGCCTGTAGATGCCACCTTCTTGCTGTGTTCTTATATGGCAGGCATAGGGTAAAGTGGGATGGAGTGGAGAGCAAGCTCTCTGGGACCCTTATGAGGGCACCAATGCCGTCAGGAGAGTGGCAGTCTCATGACCTCATGTAAACCTAATTATCTTCCAGAGATCCCATCTCCAAATACGATTATATTGGTCTTTGAGGCTTCAACATGCATTTTGAGTGAACAATGTCTACAATACTGTCTCAGAATTGCCTTCTCATATGAAGTACCTTAATTCAATTAAAACAACTTTTGCCATTTCGATAAAGAATTCCAAAATTAAGATAAATTTATTTTTACTTACATTTTGAAAAATATATTTTTGCTGTCCAATTTTTATTTCAGTGAAAATATTTCCTTTTATTCTACTGCTGTTACAAATAGTGGGTTAGAGAGAAATCATTTAGACATAAGTTGCCTTTCTTTGTATTAAATTTGTTTTATGTTAAATTTTGTGCTCTGAATATCACATGGTAATGTGACTTTAATAAAAACATATTACACCAAAGATAATGCAATGTCTGAAAAATAAATCACACTGGGGAGCACCATCTAGCAATGGAGTCCAGTGACATCTAGAGCATGGACAGTGTGTGCAGTAAATGGTCAAATTATAGATTACAAGTGAGTTTGGCAAATATTTCCATAAATGTCTCTCCTCCTCATAACACCTTTATAGTTTCTAATTCTATCAGAATGTAATATGAAAGTTTATGATGGTGTCTGTTTAAGCACATGTAAGTCCTGCAGGTGCGTAATCACATATTACCCTCATAGCCACCCAGGAGCCACCATTGTAGGGATGATTACACAGGGGCACAGGAATTCTGCAATGTGCTCAACTTCACAGAGTTAATACGCAGTTGGGATGGACTGTCAGCTCAGGTGTTTGACTCTGAAGCTCACACTTTTTACTACTATATTAGAATCGATTCATTCAGATATAAATATTATTCAGGGGCAATTCTCAGATACGCAGGTAGAACTTGACCTACATTGGACCCCCTGTCATGTGAATCAATGACCCTCATTCTTAGCTATTGGCTGACTCCATCCCAACAGCCTGGACAAAGCAGCCAAAGTATTCTGTCACTGTGAGAAACTGGTTGGTTACACTGTTTCTCCGTTCAGATGAATTAGAGCTGTTCACCCCTAAGGTTAGCTGAAAATAGCAAATTGGAAACCATAAAATATCAAGTATCAAAAGGCAAACGGTTTAACTTATTCTGACTTGGAAACTGCTCTGGAACATAGCTCTAAATGACTAAAAATCTTTACTATGTTTGGATGGAAATTTTAAGGCATAAATTTAAGGCTGCTTCTAATATCTATTGCATATGTAAGAGAAAGTGGAGTTTGATTTTTCCTGTTGTCTCAGAATTGTGGCTAAAACCCAAAGCTGAGGACACAAGGCACTAAGTATTCCTAAGCCACTAATAGTTGCCAGTGCATGCTGAGTGGCATTTATCCCTACTACTACCACTAGTTACCATCTCCCCCTGTCCCCTGATTTCCTCCTGCATCCCAGGAACTTGGAGGAACAACTTTCACAATTTGTGGTTGGAGGTCCTCTCTCCTATGTCTGTCCTTGAGAAGGTGGCAGTGGTGCTTTTCCATTAATGGAGCCAAGTGAGTCAGCTTTGATAAAATGCTCATGAAGGTTGGGGGTGTCTTGAAAAAGAGGAGACTGACACCCTTTCCCTTCAAGTACTTACTTAGCTGCAGAATCTGGAGACTTAAAAAAAAATTGTCAGCTTTTTTTAAACCTGAGATAGTTAAGTCTCCATAGAGACTGTCAAAAATTGCCTATGCCAGCTATATTTCAAGTCATGATGATGGGGTATTGGAAAAAGTTTTTAATTAGCAGTAATCACGCCTCGAATAAACCTCATTGGTTATGAGACTGCCACGGTACAAAGCTAGAATCTGGAGACTTCTGTTGCTATATGTATGACATGCTTTTCTTTTCAGCTCTCTTCCCTCATAATAGAAAAGAAGAGGGAAATGCTGGCCCGTGTCTCCTGATTTTGAAGATGTGTTCATGGCAAGGTTGAAGGAGAAAAGGTGTTAAATGGAAGAGCCCTTGGAGACTGAGAGGATATTGGACACATAGGTCTAGTGTGAAACTTCACAAGTACACCCCTTATGTAGAGGCTGACACATCAGGGGAGGCCATCACAACCAGATGGAGGCAGCTTAAACTACAAGAAGAGTAGAGGCCTTTCCCAACTCTATGTCTTCCCATGGAGACAATCACATGAGGAGAGTTTTGTTGCCTCAGCTCCATCATCATCTTGTCCCCGAATCCATGGTAGCAAATGTCCCTGGGCATTTATCCAGAGGAGAGGAAATTTGTATATAAAAGAGACATCTGCACCTCCGTGTTTATTGCAGCACCACTCACAATAGCCAAGATAGGAATCAACCTAAGTGTCCATCAATAGAAGAAGAACCACATGGTGCACCATGGTATGTTATTCAGCCACAAAAAGAAAGAAATCCTGTCATTCACAGCAACATGTGTAGAACTGGGGAATATTATGCTAAGTGAAATAAGCCAGGAATAGAAAGTTAAACCCCAGTATGTTCTCACTTACATGGGGAAGCTAAAAATTAGTTGAACTCTTAGAGGTAAAAACTATAGCAGAGGATACTAGAGGCTGGGAATGGCAGAGGGACATGGGCAATGGAAAGATTTGTTAAAGAATACAAAATTAAAGGTAGATGGGGAATAAGTTCTAGTGTTCTATATAAAGCACTATAGGATGACTATAGTTAACAATAATATAGTTTTAGACAGCCAGAAGGAGGATATTGAATGTTCCCAGAGATGATAAATGTTTGAGATGATGAATATGCTAATTACCCTGATCATGATATAGTATCAAAAGGTCACTATATACTCTGTGAATATTATTTCAATTATGTGTCAATTCAAACAATGAAGTTTTTTAAAAAAGAAGGAATAAAAAGTGTCTCAGAGACAAACCACACCTTCCTCCTTCACTTCAAACACTAAAGCTTGCGTGAGGTAGGGGAAGTGGTAAGAGAGGACAAGAGTTCTGGGTCGAGTGTGACATTCAGATATTAAAAATTTAATGGCATTGGGTCTTTTTTTTGAGACAGGTTCTCTGTCACCCAGGTTGGAGTGCAGTGGCTGGATCAGATCATGACCCACTGCAGCCTCAACCTCCTGGGCCCAAGCAGTCTTCCTACCTCAGCCTCTGGGGCTACAGGTACACTGGGCTAATTTTTAATTTTTTTGTAGAGACAGGATCTTGCCATGTTGCCCAGGCTGATCTTGAACTCCTGAGCTCAACTGATCCTCTCATCTTGGCCTCACGAAGTGCTGGTATTTACAGGTGTGAGCCAATGTGCCTAGCCACATTGAGTCTTAATTATTGGAACAAAAAAGATTGTTGACATTGTTTTAGTAACTAAAAATGACTACAGAATCATCCTAAGACATTGTTAAGGCAGCAGTCACCCAGCTGGAAAAGCAAATTTGATCCAGTGTTGCTGGTGGACATAGTTGAAAGACAAAAATAATTTTGTAATTGAACTCCAACAAATTGTGACTTCTCAATTGGCAGGTATATTTATAAGCAAATTGTTTTCTCCCAGCAAATTTCCATGTCATTTTCTTTATGGGCAAATATTCAGTTGCTTTTTCTCTTATCTCAATCATGGCTCTCCAGTACAATTTTCAGTGATGATGAAAATATTCTATATATGTGCAGACCAATATAGTATCCACTATACCCATGTGGTCATTGAACACTTGAAAATGTGGAAAGAAACTGAGCTTTTAATTTAATTTTAATGTTGATTTAAATTTCAATAATATGTGGCTAGTAGCAACAGTGCTGGTCAACACTCTTGAAAAAAATTGAGAAAAAGCAAAGGTGAAGATGACGGAAAGTTCTATGTTAATAGGTGTTTTTGTATGAATTTATTCTTAAGGGCAGTACAGAAGTATTAATGTATATTAACTTGGCTAGGACTTATTTGAATACAATTTGAGGAAAATCTTTACAGTTTTAAAAATAAGTCACATGTTCAAAAACCCATTTGTTGATAGTGTTGAAAGGATGGAATGCCTAGAATTGACTCTGCAAAACACTGAGGCATAGAAAATCTTTACTCAAAGATCATTTTCCCATGGGTCATTTTTCTGGAAATATTTGCCTTGACCCTCAAGTAAGGTTAAGAGTGAATGCGTCTCCCTTAAATTTATTATGTACCTAAATATTACTGTCTTTCAGCAATTTGGCCAAAGCATGGCTAAATTATGAAGTCAAGAAAGCCAAGATGGCTGAGCCTTTCTAGTGCGTGTGAATTCTTCATAATACCCCTACCAGAATCAAGATGGATATGATGGGGTGCTCTGATCCATTGCAGATAAAAGAGAGCTATGTTCTACTCACTCCTCTTATCAACATAAACCAATAGTCTGATTCTTATTATTTATATTAAGGTAATCCATGTCCTTTTGTTACAGCAAATAGAAAAACAAACTTCTCTAAACTGATGACGTGGGGCGCTATCATGGATTAGGAGGAGCCTTTCACCCTGATTGCCTACTACTGTTAAAAAACTAAAACAGGTGTTCTTGGCTGATGGATTCCAATATTCAAATAGTGAGTATATTTATTCAGGAACTTGGCTGTACATTTTGTAGAGAACTCATTCTGGTTGGCTCAACAGGAAGCGCTAATGCTCCAAGTCAGTTATTGTCAGCAGGTATACCAACTGGCTGCTTGCAGACCAAGTTCTACCAGGAGACTGGTTGCAACAGTGTTTTTTTTTTTTCCCGGAGTTGAAATTTCACTCTTGTCATCCAGGCTGGAGTGCAATGGCGCAATCTCAGCTCATTGCAACCTCCGCCTCCTCTCTCTGTCTCTCTCTCTATATATATACATACATACATACACACACACACACACACACACATATATACACACACACATATATACACATATACACATATATACATATACACATATATATGTATATATATGTGTGTGTGTGTGTATATATATATATATATATATAAAATATATGGTAGAATGATTTATATTCCTGATTCTCCTGCCTCAGTCTCCTGAGTAGCTGGGATTACAGGTGCCTGCCACCATGCTTAGCTAATTTTGTATTTTTAGTAGAGATGGGAGTGTCACCATGTTGACCAGGCTGGCCTTGAACTCCTGACCTCAGGTGATCCACCAGCCTCGGACCCTGGTGATGGAATTATAGGTGTAAGCCACTGTGCCTGGCCCAACAGTGTTTTTATACTTTTGAATGTTTGTATGTTTTCAGTCCCTTTGGCTAAGCAGCTTCAATTTGCCATTGTTCACACCTGGCTCCATTATGCATTTAGTGACACCTGAGGGCTTTTGAGCTGGCAACCTTCTTTCTACCCAAACCACCCTCAGATTCTTTTATGGTCAAGGAAGCTCATTGAAAAGAATTTCTAATCCCAGTCATCTACATTTTGCTCTATGGGGCTCACCTTAGTAGTTATGTAGGCTTTCAAACAAATTCAAAGATTTGAGGTCAATATTGACTCTCCATCAGGCAGTTTTGGAGTCCCCAGTTAATTAGCTTCTGCCAAATGTATGGTTGAAATGAGAGCTGTTGGAGGAAAACCACATATGGGAACGTTATTATATGTTAGTCTAAGTTCTTTCTTTGTAACAAGTTAGATCACAAGATATCTACTTGAACTATGTTAGCTTTTCCTATAAAAATGTTTTTCCTGAAATGAAATTTAATATTGTGTCCTTGGCTTTATAAAGAAATGTTGGATGAAAAAAATTCGTTGATCAATGCCTTTATGTAAAGACACATGGGATATATTACTGTATCACTAGTGTAGTGCTAGAAAAAAAGACTCCTTTGAAATAGTGTGCTTCCTTTTATCAGACAATGAGAATCACCTCACCTGTAATGCTTCCTTTTTTTCCTTGGCTGTCCTGATATTAAAATTAACTCATTACTCCTTCCTTACACCATTACTCTCCTCTTTATGTGCGTTCTCATCTCTTTACCTTTAGTGTTTTGCTGCATGCATGTACATAAATTTGCTTGTAACCAATATCAATAACCTTTTGGAAGTATACAGCTTAAAAACTGCAAATAAATGATCATAAAACATAGCCATATTCACATTTGCCAAATGTGAATTTTAAAGATTCTCCAGCTCTTTTTATATCCTTTCTCTCCTTTTTAAACAAATAGAAAAAAAGTGTGGAAAAATCTAATGTTTTAAAATGCAGACTTTTTGTTCTTTCCAACTTTCATTTTAGATTCAAGGGGTATATGTGCACATTTGTTACGTGGGTAAATTACGTGTTTGGGGGTTTGGTATACAGGTAATTTTGTCACCCAAGTAATCAGCATAATGCCTGATAGGTAGTTTTTCAATCACCATCCTCCTCTCACCCTCCACCCTCAGTTAGGCTTCCATATCTATTATTCCCTTCATTGTGTCCATGTTTGAGCTGAGGTGGTGCCTTTGCACTCTAGCCTGGGTGTACTCAATGTTTAGCTCCCACTTATTAGGAAGAACATGCAGTATTTGATTTTCTGTTCCTGTGTTAATTCACTTAGGATGATGGCCTCCAGTTTCACCCATGTTGCTGCAAAGAATGTAATTTTGTTCTTTTCTGTGACTGTGTAGTATTCCATGGTGTTATCAGTGTCACATTTTCTTTCTTTTTCTTTTTCTGAGATAGAGTCTTGCTCTGTCACCCAGGCTAGAGTGCAGTAGTACCATCTCAGCTCACTGCAACCTCCACCTCCCAGGCTTCAAATGTTTCTCGTGCCTCAGCTTCCCCAGTAGCTGGGAATGTAGGCACGTACCGCCATGCCTGGCTGATTTTTCTATTCTTAGTAGAGATGGGGTTTTGTCATATTAGCCAGGCTGGTCATGAGCTCCTGACTTGAAGTGGTCCGCCCACCTTAGCCTCCCAAAATGCTTGGTTTATAGGCGTGAGCTACTCTGCCTGGCCCAACATTTTCTTTATCCAGTCCACCTGATGGGCATTTAGGTTGATTCCATGCAATTGCTATTGTGAATGGTGCTGTGATGAACATAGGTGTGCATGTGTCTTTATGGTAGAATGATTTATATTCCTTTGGGTATATACTCAGTAGTGAGATTGCTGGGTTGAATGGTAGTTCTATTTTAAGTTCTTTGAGAAATGTCCAGTGACTGAACTAATTTACATTCCCACCAGCAGTGTATAAGCACTCCCTTTTCTCCACAACCTCACCAGCATCTGTTATCTTCAGACCTTTTAATAAAAGCCCTTCTGACTAGTGTGAGATGGTATCTCATTATGGTTTTCATTTGCATTTCCCTAATGATTAGTGGTATTGAGCATAAAATATAGACTTTTTAAAGGAAATAATTAGGAGATGCACAGATCCTGAGTACCGGACATATTCTTTGAAATGGCTATTTGTAATAAGAGAAGATGGACATTTATAGCTGTGAAAACCATAACAATTTGTTAAATTGATGTATATCTATGTAATGGAATACTATTCAGCTATTTCAACTATAGTGTTAAATCTTTTGACGCACAGATAAACCTGGAACCATATATACGAAGGCATTAACGGTAATTGCCTTTGGATAATTGGAATTACATACTTTATTTTTCCTTACTTGTATTTTTTTTTGCTTTTTCTACAATAAACATGCATTGTGCTACAATAAAAGCAAATGGATTTACAATCAACAACTAGTGAGTAGTTTAAGATTTAGTCAAGAGTGTTTGAAATGGTAGGGGAACGTGCACTGTGAAGACAGCTATCTCCTACCAATCTGCCAGAGGAAAGTTGGGCCCAGAGAGGAACTTCAAAGAGCTGCCTACAGATGAGCCCTCGGTGGCCCTTATTTCTTCAGTTTAATATTCCTCTGGGTATCACATAACTCCTCTTGGTTGGTGTCTGCTAATAAGATGACAGAATCAGATAGCCACCTGCTCAGTAAAGTAGCTTTGATTTAGCAGAGGTGGAAATAAACGGATTTTTAAAAATAAATTTGATCTATTAAGTTTTATTCTTGGCTAGATGCGGTGGCTCACACCTGTAATCCCAGCAGTTTGGGAGGCCGAGGTGGGCAGATCACTTGAGGTCAGGGGTTTGAGACCAGCCTGGCCAACATGGTGAAATCCCATCTCTACTAAAAATACAAAAATTAACCAGGTGTGGTGGTGCATTCCTGTAATCCCAGCTTCTAGGGAGGCTGAGGCAGGAGAATTGCTTCAACCCGGAGTCGGAGGTTGCAGTGAACTGAGATCATACCATTACACTCCAGCCTGGGCAACAGAGTGAAACTCTGTCTCAAAAAAAATAAAATGAAATAAAATAAATAAATAAGTAAATAAATTTCATCCATTAAATTTTATTCTCAATGTTGAGAGATTTTCAGAGAGGGGATATAATATAAAATAATACCCGTAAGAGCCATCTCTTTTAAAATATGAGCATTTATGGATTTAGAACAAGAAAATTTATTAATATCTTACAAAAAAACTTGGTACCCAACACAAAGGAGGAGCAACCAAAGTTTCCCTGTAAAGGTTTGTCCTCCAATGTGATTTGGTAAAATCTTTTAATTTTTTTTTAACCTCCTCTTGATTCTTTTAAAGCATGGGAATTTCATAAAATCTCTGCTTCCAGTTCTCCATGTGACAATTTCCAGAGTAGAGTCACTTTTAAAAAACAGGCCTCTTGTCATTTTCTAGAAATGGCAGCTAATCCTGATTCGATGCTCTGGAACATTTGGGTGTTTTTTGAGACAGGTTCTTGCTCCATGGCCCAGGCTGGAGTCACAATTCACTGCAGCCTCCACCTCCTGAGCTCAAGGGATCCTCCTACCTCAGCCTACTAAGTAGCTGGGACTGCAGGCATGTGCCACCGCATCAGGCTAATTTTTTATTTTTTTGTAGAGACAGGGGTCTCACCATGTTGACCCTGCTGGTCTTGAACTCCTGGGCTCAACTGATCCTCCCACCTTGGCCTCCCAAAGTACTGGGATTACAGGCATGAGCCACTGCGCCTGGCCTGGAACATTTAAAAGGTGCCATTTACCCCACAGTCTGTTGGAAAATAAAACATTATTGGGCCTGCGGATGATGTTAGACCGATGTGTGTGGTGTGAAAATTAGGGCAGCCATTTGGAGAACTGCTCTACGCATGTGAACACTGAGGGAAATGTTCACCTTCAAACCTGTGGGGGTACCGCATGTCTGTGGGCTTATGGAGTCATAAATCAGAGAATTAAGTATAACAAAAACCTCAGCCAGAATGAATCGCTCACTGTTTTCAATATGACGATTAAAGTCTACCTTCTATGACAGTATCAATGTGCCTGATCCTCTACTAGGGAAACAAATCCTGAAGAAAGACTGTCCTATTTTGATTTTTATTTCTTATAGTACCTAGCACAGCATTTTCCACGTTGTTCATATATAATGAATGTTTACTGAATTGACTCTATTAATATTTTTCTTTATGCTAATAAGCCTGCTGACTGAAAAAATTATTGGTTCAAAATCTTAAAGAAAGTATATATAAACTTGATAGAATGACACTTTCTTGAGACAGATCCTGATAGTCTAGGTTGTAATCTCTGTGGTTGATACCCTCAGATAAATGTTGAAATTAATTATGGAAATCCCTTGTTAGTGATTGGTTTAGGAAAAGGGATATGATCCAAAACTACTCAATGAGACATAAGAAAAGTCAGTCAGTGGTTTTCAGGGAGGGAGAGTATTTCATGTTCTTATGAAGGAAGTATACTGAGATGTTTCACTTTATTCTCTGGACATTATAACATCTAGACGTGATACTTGGAACTCCTGCAGTATTTGGGGCCGTGAGGAACCAGCCTGAGGGCAAAGACAACACAATGAAGATAGCAGAGAGGTGAAAATAATGTAGGTCTTTGATAACTTTATTATTATTTTTTGGAGAAAAGATCTCGCCCTGTCACCCAGGGTGGAGTGCAGTGCTGTGATCATGGCTCACTGCAACCTGTAACTCCTGGGCTCAAGGGATACTCCTGCTTTAGCCTGAGTAGGTGGAACTACAGGCAAGCACCACCATACCCAGCTAATTTTTTAATTTTTTGTAGAGACGGGGACTCGCTATGTTGCCCCCAGGCTGGTCTCAAACTCTTGGCCTCCAGTGATCTTCCTGCCTTGGTCTCCCAAAGTGCTGGGATTACAGGCATGGGGCACTGTACCCAGCCTGTTGACTTTATTGAGTCACTACATCAAACATCCCTGTGGGCTGTGCTTCCTCAGATTTCTTATGTGACATCAGATATTTCCTATCGTTTAAGCTGATTTGTAGACATTTTTGGTTATCTGCAGTTAAAATGCATTTCACTGAAACAACCTCCACTGTCATCTCAAATAATTAGGAGAAAATATATGTTCTCCTCTGTGTTCTAGATATATAAAGGGACAAATATCAAAAGGCTTTACCTTTGAGAGCCTGTAGGTGAAAAAATAATGTCCCTTTAAAAGAAATGTGGCAGTTTATTGAAAAGGCCCAGGTGTGGCTGGAAACGATCCATTTGTTATTTCAACCCAGATGCTTCTGTCAGTTTCTTCACCCTGGATGCTGGAGTATAGAAAGAAAGGACTTTCGGCTAAATCTGGAGGGAGGGACTGGTGAGGCAAGTTAAATGGAAAAGAAGGTGGACCAAGAAACTGACCATACAGGTGAAAAAATGGTAGCGGTAGATGCCCATGCTGGGAAAGAAAGTGAATCCAGAGGAGGCCAGATGGGCTGAAGAACTGGCAATGGCTAAGCCTTCGGGGATTTGGATGGATGATTATGATGATGATGAGTAGCAATCATGGTAAAAAGGAGTGGAATTGATGGAAGCAGAGCAAATTATGGTCAGGATGGAGGATTCTGGAGTCTTGAAATATAAGTTCAAAAATACTATGGCTATAATATTTATTTGTATTAATTTATGTAACAAATATTTATGCTTATTTACTATTAGAGCTTATAGGATGCATTCTGTCATCATAAGTAGTTAGGACTACCTTCAGTGGTTAAATCAGAGACCAGTGGTCAGCAAACTATTAGAAAATTTTCTTTGTGCAACACAATTGTGATTCTAAAAAATAACTTTTCAAAAAGATATTCTAATCCAAACTTACCTTGGTTCCTCCTCTAATTCCAAAAGGAAATTTCTCATATCCTCTTTGTCTAGGGGTCTTAATTTTTAATGTAATGGAGTCTTCAGTGCCTCAGGCCAAAAATAAAAATCCTCAATTGGTTAGATTTTATATGTCTGATATGGGAAACGTATATTCATATCTTTCCATTTTTTTACCCTTGTTCCCAAGGCACTCAAACTGATCTCAATGTCCCAAACATGTTTAGTTTAACAAAGAAACCTTGATGCAACTGGTCAAGGGACTGCTAACTGGTATAAGGATACAAAATATAAGTCAGGACTAATTCTGACCCCAGGACTTATTGTCTAGTGTGTGTGTGTGTGTGTGTGTGTGTGTGTGTGTGTGTGTGTGTGTGTGTCTGTGTGTGTGTGTGTGTGTGTGTGTATATACATATATATATGTATACATACATATACATGTATATATATATATATACACATATATATATGTATACATACATATACATGTGTATATATATATATATATATACACACGAGACAGAGTCTCCCTCTGTTGCCCAGGCAGTGGCGTGATCTCTTGGCTTACTGCAACCTCTGCCTCTTAGGTTCAAGCGATTCTCCTGCCTCAGCCTCCCAAGTAGCTGGGATTACAGGCGTCCGCAACCATGCCCAGCCCTAGTACATGTATTGATTATACAGCTCCACATCTCTTATGTAGATTATTACAAAAAAACTTCAAATATGTTGTAGCAATGCAAAGTGTATGCATGAGGGTGTGTTTGAGGTCTCAGCTAGAAAGACAAAGTAATGATAGGTTTTAAAATGTGCAAGTACTGGAAGGTTGTATTAGAGTTATGTTGCTGCTGTTGTTAATAAAACTTAAAATAATATTTGACTCAGTAGCTTTTCTACAGAAGTGGTATTTAAGGTTACATTTATTTTTACCCAGCTCATTCTTACGAACTTCTGACTTAACGTGTATGTTAATAATAGAATTTCAACTTCCACAGCAATTTAGAAATACAGTTGTTCCTCAGTAGCCTTGGATACCAAATCTGAGGATGTTCAAGTCCCTGATATAAAATGGTGTAATATTTGTAAATATTCTTCCGTATACTTTAAATCACCTCTAGATTACTTATTATACCTAACAATTACCTACATATCATTTTATTCATGTGGATTCAACATAGTACTTGGCATGTGGCAAATTTAAGTTTTGCTCTTTTGGAACTTTGTATAATTTTTTTTCCCATGTATTTCAACAATTGGTTGAATCCATGGATGTGGAACCCATGGATATGTAGGGCTGACTGTATTCTAAATTAGTGATGATAAGAAATACATCAAATACAAAATTAAAAAAAAACAATATAAATCTCATGCATTTTACATTTTTTGTTTGTAACTGTCTATTCCAGGTGTCCCCAGAGTATTCTCTGATCTTTTCCTTTGCAGATTTTGCAAGCCAACCACTACATAGCAACAGTGATTTCAAAGGTGTTGGCAAAAGCTTTGACTTACGCAAGGGTTTTCTCTCTCAGCAAGGTGATACCAGAAATTCTCTTAACTGCACTTCCTTTATCTCTTTCTCTATATAAATAAATCATACTCATGTTTCTAAATCAGTTCTAATGTTACTTCCTCATAGACTTTCTTAATTCCCTTCCAGCAAAAGTAACCTTTCTCTACAATGCAGAGAAGCTATATCTGCATTCTCAATGATACTGCCCCTACAGGGGTGAAAATTGATTCTTGTCTCACGGAGGGTGAAAAATCTTAGATATTACAATGGTTTGTGACCCTCCAATACTGAATCTTATTACTAAGTATATCATTTCATGGGGTAGAAGGCTGTTAGGAATAAAATTTCTAAAAGTGCTTCTTGGAGGAGTGATAATTAAAAAAAGCTTGAGAAATACTTCTCCCCATTTAAAAGTATGTAATATATTATCTGTGCTTTCCCCTCATCACCTCAACCTATATATCTCCAGTAGGCTTGGAATGTTTTGTGTTTTTGTGTATATAACATTCCTGAGTTCATTGTTTATGATAAAGTCAATAAGCTCCTTCAAGGCAGAGGCCAAGGCTTATTTATGGTTATATTTCTTATGTTCAGTTCATGATATGGTCTCAAAAAATTGTTTATTGACCTAAATATTAATCCTGTATCTTACAGTCCTCAGTGTCTGGCTGTTCATGGTTATAGGTTCCTTTGGGAAAGGACTAGAGGAATTATGACCATGTATCTTTGCTGTGCTGCTGCAGAATCTTTTCTTATGGGGATTTAGTCTCTTTTCCAGGCAGCGAGTTCTGGATATGAAAATTGGCTCAGGTTCTAAAATTGGGCAATGAATTATGACTTTTAATTGGGAAAGCTTCCCGAAGCTTCCCGATTGTCCATCCTTGATTGTAATAGTATAAATCCGTGTTATCCAATGTGGTAGCCACATACGGCTTTTAAAATTCAATTGAGTTAAAATGAAATGAACAATTCTGTTTCTTAGTTCTATTAGCCATGTTTCAAAGATCACTCATTTCCAGGACCTCTCCATTAAATTGCTATCAAAAAGTGAAACCTTGAGCTTGCAAAGCTATGAGTTTTTCCTGTTCAGCCTCAACTAATTTCACAACTTTTAGATGGCAAAGACAGTTTTCCACCTCTGCCCCAAATTGAGTCCATACCTCTGACAATGAAGCTGCTGTTTTTCAGCCTGAGCTGCCCTGGGTGAGTCTCCTGCCACCACCTGCTGCTGACTTACTCCTCTGCTCTAGCAGTTGGTCAAGTATAAATACTTTTAAATTTATTGTCTGCCTTTGGCAATTTTCAATACCTTAAATTAATTGTTTTGACATTTTTTCCTGTTTTATATTATTCTTTGGGGGAGGGAAGTCACTGACCTCTTCATGCCCCCTAAATCAGAGGTCCTTCCAAGGATGTTATGTTTTTCATTGAAACAGCTATTAACATTTCATTAATTCTCAGTAAACATTGGTTAATAATTTCATTCGAGTATTAATAAAGTTTCTATTAAGCATATAAAATGAAATTATGTCACTTCTCTGGCAAAACCTTTTAGAACCTAATCTGAGCAAAATGCTCTGTCCTTTCAGCCGTCTACCAGGCCCACCTGACCCGCGCCACCCCCCTACTCCGCTGCTCTCTGACCATCTTTCCTATTCTAGGGCCATTACTCCTGCTCCAGCCTTACTGATCTTTTTGCTATTTCTCTAAATTCAGGGCTCACAACTCCCCTCAGAATCTTTTCACTCATTGCTCCTTCTGCCTGGAACTTTCTTCCCTACATGGCTCACCCTCTATCTTCTCAGCAGTGACTCTTTCCCTGACTACATTACATAAAAGATCAATGACCCCCTTCCTGGCCTGCCTTACCTTGTTTCTCCATAGCACCTGTTACATCTGCAGAATATGTATTCTTGGATTGTCTCCCCCACTTTAATGCAGTTTCTTGAGGGAAATTTTTGCTCCTGCTGTATCCTGATACCTAGAACATGCCTGGTATGTCCTAGATTTTCAATATATATTTATTGAATTAATTGAAGGAATTAATATGCATTGTTTTCACCAAGGCAAACAGAAATACAACAAAATTGTTAAGAGTGAGCCATACAGGAAAAGATAATACTGAGCCCCTATCTTCCTTCCCCACAAGCTCTCCTCAGGTAAACATGTTTATGTTGGGAGTACTGGTCATATTTATAGGATTTGTCCCCTG
Source organism: Homo sapiens (assembly GCF_000001405.40). Classification (NCBI taxonomy): domain Eukaryota; kingdom Metazoa; phylum Chordata; class Mammalia; order Primates; family Hominidae; genus Homo; species Homo sapiens. The sequence continues at coordinate 158,382,401 of NC_000004.12, read as the reverse complement.
TCACTCAACATCCATTATGGATGTGGATTGTCATGGTAATGGGAAGAGAGAGAAGTGAACTTGCAGAAGATAGTGAAAGATTGTATCATGAGGAAAGTTGTCTTGCATACATAAACCTTAGGAAATTCTTACTCCTTTACCTTGAACTTGAGACACCCTCATTGCCTACTGTCACATGCTGCGAAGTCAATAAATACTCCCAATATTCTGCAATCCGTAGTAGCCTCTGCCTAATTATCTGAAGGTTCCAGAGAGGCCATGGTTCCTGAGAAGAAAGTTTTGGTAATAATAGTAATAATACTGTTAATAATTAATTGTTAATTATTAACAAGGCAATTAATAATATTAGTAGCTAAAATTTGTTTGAACTTACTATCTGCCAGTCACTCTCAGCTTTTTTCATGCATTATCTTATTTAACCCTTCTAACAGTGCAATGATTTAATTGCTATTATCTTGCCTGTTTTTATTTTTTTTTGTTTTTTAGACAGGGTCTTCTTTGTTGCCCAGGCTGAAGTGCAGTAGTGTGATCATAGCTCACTGCAGCCTCAAACTCCTGGGCTGAGGCGATCCTCCCACCTCAGCCTCCTGAGTAGCTGGGACTACAGGCATGTGCCACCATGCACGGCTAATTTTTACTTTTTTTTTTTTTTTCATAAACATAGGGTCTCTTCATGTTGACCAGGTGGTCTCAACTATTGGCCTCAAGTGATCTTCCCACCTTGGCCTCCCAAATTGCTGGGAGTATAGACATAAGCCACTGTACCAGGCCTGTTTTCTGTATAAAGAAATTGAAGCAAAGAGTAGTTATTTAATTGGTACCAGACCATAAAAGTTAAGGTCCAAAATGAGTGGCACAAGAATTTAATGCCACTGAACACAGAGGAAAGTATCTGAACAATAATATCATTAATTTCTCTGTCGCTGTCCCAGGTGAACTTGCTGATTCCTATAGTAAAGCCATGCAGCTATGATCCAGAGCCTCAGAGAATCCCTTTAAAACAATGGCTCTCGCAGGGGCTGTTTTGCCTCCCAAGGGACATTTTGATCATCATACTTGTTGGGGTGGTGGTGCTACTGATGTCTAGTGGGTAGAGGCCAGGGATGCTGCTAAACCTTTTATAGTGCATAGGACAGCAGCCCAAGACAAAGAAACATCTGGCCCATAACATCAGTAGTGCTGAGGCTGAGAAATCCTGCTCTAGACTCTCTTGTTCTTCATTAGGAATCTACATTATCTGCTTTAGCATCTCTAGATTCTGTCCCTTTTCTTGCTTTCTCTGTGCACAGCCTTCAGATTGCTGTTTTAGTTGGACTATTGACTGGATTTATTATGTCTTTGTAAAGGTTTGAATGCTTTTGGCAGCAGGTAACAAAAATGGCAGTTCAAATGAGCTTAATAAGAAAACTTATTATCATTCCCAGGAGCCTATAGGTAGGGTAGGAATGGAGAGGACTATGACCTGTGATCATACTGAAGGAACTTTTGCTCCTGCTGTATCCTGATACCTAGAACATGCCTGGTACATCCTAGACTTTCAATGTTTATTTACTGAATTAACTGAACAAATAAATATGCATTATACTTAGCAAGGTGAAGAGGAATACAACAGATCTGAAAGAGTGAGCCATACAGGAGAAGATAAGACTGAGCTCCTATCCCCCTTCCCCATAACCCCTGATCATATTCCTCTCCATTCCTACCCTACCTATAGGCTCCTGGGAATATATGACAATAAATAAGATTTATTTTTCTTTGTAATTAATTTTTCTTTGCCCTTCTCCATTGTCAGATTGGTCCCTAGGTTGGTTTCCTTCATGACTGCAAGATACAACCAGCAGCAAATGGGGGAACCACTATCATTGTTTATATACAGTAGCAGAAAAAGATAAAATTCTCCCCCTTTTCCCAAACCATGGTATATGCCCCCTTCTTCATTCTGATTGGGCCTAGTGCATATCCAAACTTAGATCAATCATAGTTGGAGTGGAATGCCATATGCAGATTGGCTTACTCTTCAGGACCTACCAATAGAGTTCAGAATAGTGTGGGTGATTAAAATGAGGGTTAGAAAAGCAAAAGGGGAAAATGAATGTTGGATAGGACACAAACTGAATCTACCATACCCCAGCTACTGTCTTGAAGATTGTTTTTTTGTTCCATTCTCTGCTGTTAATGGGCCAGTCCCATCCCTCCCTCACTGTTTCCACTCCTGGCTCCTGGAATCACAACCTGACAATATCATCTCATTTTCCAACAAACCCAGAAGAAATTGCTGGGGATGAAATAATAAAACTCTCGGAGGATTTGAGAATTGAGCTGGGACTTGAAATGTGTCAGAAATTTAGATGGGCAACTTTTGTTTCCAATGCAATAGATTTCAAAACATAAAATGATTATAAAGAGAACTGAGATTTCTAAGAATCCTGGCATAGTACATAAAACGCTTTAAGAGGAAAGAAAATATTTCTATTTTTCCTTATAAAACTGGGCAATAGATTTATTATAGAAATGACTTAATAGTTTAAAAGGCTGTATCAAATTCAGTCAATTTTATGAAGCACATTTTGTAGTAATATATTTTTGTCCGTTTTGTGTTGCTGTAACAGAATACCTGAGACTGGGTAAAATTTATAAAGAAAAGAGGTTAATTTAGCTCACAGTTCTGCAGGCTGGGAAGTTCAAGGGCATAGCCTCGGCTTCTGGTGAGGGTTTTTCTGCTGCATCATACTATGGTTGAGTAGCTCAAAGGGGAAGTAGACACATGTGAAGAGAAGCAAAACCCAACGAGTGTTCTTGCTTTATAACAACCCACTCTTTGGAGAACTAACTCAGTCTAACGCGTTCATTACCAGTGGCACCAAGCTACTTGTGAGAGATCTGCCTCCATAGCCCAAGCACCTGCCACTAGGATCCACTTCAAATACCATCACACTAGGGAGCAAATTTCAACATGAGTTTTGACAGGAACAAACTAACTATATCCAAATGATAGCAGTGTCCCGTAATTACAATGTGTTACATGGCCCAAATATGATCTCTGTGGAGCCTGTCTTCTTGAAGAGAACTTGTACTTTTAGGTAAGAGTGGAGGCTTGACTATGTATATAGAAAGTAAAAAGAAAAGCAACATTAAAACAAAGCAATCTTTCCTTCAGTTGCTGGATGTTTAATTTTACTAATATAAATAAGTTTATTTCCCCTTGACTTTTCCTTCTAGGGACTAAATTAAACTCTTAAAAGAATAAATGTAATACATCTTTAAGCATTATGATTTATGTTGATAGGTTGTTACAATCTACTTTGAAATTTCAAAAGGTGATAGAAAAACCATATCTACAGGTAAAATCCTTCATTTTATAAATTTCTTTGGAATAAACAGAACACGGTTAAGTTCCTGAGTATAGATAATGAATATATCTCACTCCAAGAAGGGCCAGTTCTCAAAATGAGAATATTCTTATTTGTTATTATGTTAAACATAACCTTAATGTTTTTCAGATATTGATTTTTTTTATATATCCACGATCTAGAAACCCACTCACAACGCAAAAAAGGAACAGAAAATGTCTCACTTTTTCTTGGATCACTTTTCTTTATTTTATAATTATACTACTTATTGTTACTTATATCAGAAAATGGGCATAAGAAAGTCAATGGGTGAAATTAAAATGAATCCATTTTGTCTCTTCCTTGCAGCTCTGTCAAATCATATTTTTTCTGAAGATAAATTATTTGTGAAAAAAGTTTTGGAATTTATTTTACATTAGGTCTTATTTTTTCATTGCAACAAAATATGAGTTTTTGAATTTGAAAATTAGACATTGAACTTCCATAATTAAATAACTGTACATCTATGGTTATGATCACTAAAATTATCTGAAAAATTTATAAGAAAGGTAAAATGTAAACATCTCCCTTAAATTTTGTTTTTGTGAAAGTAGTCAAGTCATTTCAGAAAAAAGAGGATCTTGGCCGGGCGTGGTGGCTCACACCTATAAACCCAGCACTTTGGGAGGCTGAGGCGGCGGATTACTTGAGGTATTTTTAGAAGAGACAGAGTTTTAAAAAACTTAGCCAGGCATGGTGGTGGGCACCTGTAATCCAGCTACTTGGAAGGCTGAGACAGGAGAATTGCTTGAACCTGGGAGGTGGAGATTGCAGTGAGCCGAGGTTGCACCATAGTACTCCAGCCTGGGCAAAAAGAGCAAAACTCTGTCTCAAAAAAAAAAAAAAAGTATCTTTAAAAGTAGCTCTTAAACAGTTGGGAGGCACGTTATATGTATATACACACATATACATATACACATATATACACACACATATACATACATACATAGACACACAATTTGGTTTTTAGGAAACCAAGTGTTATGAATTGTGGTTTTTCTTAAAATACAATAAAATTTTACTGTAAGTGCAAAAATTCCTAAATAAACCAAAATCATTTTTCTTTTGTCACAACAAGAATTCTTGCTTCTAAGAAGACAAAAGTCAAGGGAACTTATTAAAAAGTCACATAGCTTCTTGGACACCAGCTAAATGAAACCATAGCTCATGGCATAAAGGTCAGGTCGCTTCCTCTGCTATCAATGTACATTAAAGAACTGAGACACTTCCCACAAGTTTCAATGAAGGCATAGATGTTTCTATTATCTGGATGTATCAGGTGTACATTATTATCATTCTCGGTTATCTAGATGCTTCATTACATTCTAATTGTTTCACTGGGCTCAGCCAAACATTGAATATAATGAAACAAAACAAAAGCACACACACACAAAAAAGAAACAAAAGACTTTGTAATAAAAGAGACATAAAGATAAATTCTATTATCCTGTTATGTGGAAGGATCAGACAGGGATGAAAATATTCTTCACGGTTCTCTGCCTTTGTGTCATGACATAATCACCCAACTCCACGCCAGGCAACAGAGTCACAGCAGAAACAAATATCTACAACAGTGATTAGCAACTAGAATAATCAGGGAAGCTTTAAAAAGTGCCAATTCCTAGGCGCTAGGCCCAGTTAGATGAGCTCAATTTATCTGGGGTGAGGTTTGGGCATCAGCATTTTTTTAAAGCCTCCTGAGTGATCTAATATTCAGTCATAGTTCAGTAGAGACCCGTTGGTCTATAGCTAGTAGAGAGAATGAGATGGAGTTCAAGTAAGGAATGACAATTGCATAGGCCCAGACAATGAGAGAAAACAGGGATTAAAAAAAAACAGGCAGATATTAATAAAGCAATAAAGAACAAGAAATAAAACAACAAAACTTTGGAATTATTCACAAAATGGCAACTGTGTAAACACTTGCCTTGGTCATTAGGGGGTTCTGCAGAGATGCTGTCATTGTCAATAGGACTCTAAATAGAAAAGACTCTTCCAAACCAGGCAATCATTTAGCCAATTCTAAGCATAGATGCCAAGAGCAACAGCCATAATTTATGCATAGAGGCAAAAAGCTTAAATATACCTGCTATGGTTTGAACATGTCCCCCAAATTTCATGTGTTGAAAAGTTAATCCCCAATGCAACAATGTTGAGAGATGGGAAGTTAAGAGGTAATTAGGTCATGAGGGCTTTGCCTGTTATCATGAGGTGGTTATCTAAGGAATGGGTTCCAAATAAAAAGGATTAGTTTGGCCCCCTCCCTACCATGCATGCTTTCCCACCATGCGATGCCTTCCTCCATGTGATGATGCAGCAAGAAGGCCCTCACCAGATGCGGCTCCTTGGTCTTAGACTTCCCAACCTCCAGAACTGTGAGCCAAATTCACTTCTATTGTTTATAAATTACCCAGTCTGTGGTATTGTTATAGCATTACAAAATACACTAAGACAACACCCAACTAGAGGGATTGCAAGTTATACCACTTTCATTTCATTTCATAATCATTTCACGTGTTGTTATTCCAATTAAAATTCTAATGTGACTTTAGATTTTTACTTCTCGTTCAAACTGGGGCCTCTGGATGTTTAGGAAAGGTTATTCTAAGCCTTAGTCCCTTCTTAAGGTCTCTGAAGAGTCAGCTGAAACTTATTTGACCTAGAATTTTTTTTATGAGATTTCCTTGGAGTTAATGTGCTTTTTTCCTGGCATATATCCTAGGACAAATACTTAAGGAAGGATCCTCTGTCCAATTTTTGTTTTTGCATAAATTTTGGATTTTCTATAAAGATTCCCCTTTCACAGCTCTACCTCCCTGGAAGTTACCATTTCTGGCTTCATTCCTTTTTTCATACTCTCTCCTATTCCCACTCTGCCATCCTCATGGAGTGCCTTTTCTCTCAGTTTTCTCTTCCTCATCCCCAGCATGCACAGACACACAGAAATAGAGACTGGAACAATGGTTGCAACCATATTTGTAAGTCTTCTTAACACAAATAATTCAATCTCTATATCTATGCTATTTGTTTTCCACTTTAAAATGTGAAATCTAGGGCTTTCTCTAATCTTCATGTGCTTTGAGGGAAAGAGTCCCCTGGCTTTTTTCTTTTTGCCATATTACCTACAGCCTCCAAATAACAAAAAGTATTGTACCACCTTTTCTTACGCCTAGCCCCCTATGATTGGTTGTGAATTTGAGTAATGAAGGTCTGTGGATTTCTTGCCAGTTAACAAGAAGCTATATTTTTAAAATTACTAGATTTTTACAAAAGGAATAAAAGCACATTATTTAAAATAAAACATCAGTTCTGGACTTTTAAAGATGTTTTTCCTTTTATTATAGTTCTTTGAACATTTTTTCAAAGGAATGCATGTTCATTTTTACAATAAGGGTTTATCTTTAAAAAATGGATGGCTGTTGGCCTATCTTCCCTAGCCTTCAGTTCAGGCATTCAAAGACAATCATTTTCAGATCCTTTGGCTGTTTCTTCTGGTGTTTACTTTAAAATTTCAATGATACTGCCTACAATTATTTTTATTGCTCCATTTAGGACCTCGTCTTTGACTTCCTCTTACGGTAGATGAGGATTCAGCTGTGAGTGCTCCTCGCTTTTTCCCCCAAGGTAGTCATATCATCGTGTCTTTGGTTCTAGACCTTGGTGCTTAGTTCTTTAACTACAGAACCCTCAGAGTTCCGACTGCTCAGGGACACTAGTCAGGGTTGATTTAAGCATCTGACTCTCAGGAATCTAGTAACAAGCCTTCTTTTTCATCCCTACAGTGATCATTAGGCGACAAACAGCTTTCTTTCAAACATTTGATGTCAAAAAGTTTGAATACACCTTCCTTTACTGCACAATGGAACTATTAAATACCTTTTAAAAAGATACTTTCTTTAAGCTTTTATTTTTGGATGCACACAACCATTCTGAAGGGAACTACATTTCCTGACCCAAAAGTGTTTACTTTTCTTGGTATCAGCCTCCAATTATTCTGCAATGATCATTACCCTTTGGGTTGGGGTCACTTCCAGTGATTCCCAGGAGAAGATCTGGCACACTGGTGGCTAGAGAAGAAACAACAAAAATCAAAACACAAAAGTTCACAAATGTCTTTTTTTTTTGAGATGGAATCTCGCTCTGTTGCCAGGCTGCAGTGCAGTGGTGCGATCTCGGCTCACTGCAACCTCCGCCTCCTGGGTTCAAGCGATTCTCCTGCCTCAGCCTCCAGAGTAGCCGGGACTACAGGTGCGCCACCACACCCAGCTAATTTTTGTATTTTTAGTAGAAACGGGGTTTCACCATGTTGGGCAGGCTAGTCTCGATCTCTTGACCTTGTGATCCACTCTCCTTGGCTTCCCAAAGTTCTGAGATTACAGGTGTGAGCCACCGTGCCCGGCCCACAAGTATCTTTTATAGCTAGGCCTCTCACCACAATGGCATATGACTTTCCTGGGTGACCATTAAAAGGGAACTCCTCATTTAAAGCTGCAGGTTCAGACAGGTTTGTTTAGAAACTAGTTTCACTGCCTTATAGAAATGCCTCTACTTTTCCACACAGGCATATACAAGTGCAGAGCTGGGCAACCAACAATTAAGGTGATAAAGTAAAGAATGCAGCATGTTCAGAATTAAGAAACGTATATGTGTTTGACTTAGAATATATCTCTCTTCAGTGGTAAGCTTGAATTTTTTTTATTGGACCAGAGCTTTGCCTCCTCTTCTCTTCCAGAACATTTTCTTCTTAACAATATAAAGCTACATGTCATATTCTGATTACACAGCCCTGGCTTTCCTTATGAGTACGGCTAATAGCTCTAGGACACCCAGAGCAGGAGAGAGACCGGTGGCTTCTGACTTAGTGATTCCTGGCTGGTCCTACTCTCTCATGGCATTGTTAATTCAGATCTCAATATCTTAATCCTCCCTATTAGAGGTATGAATGTTGGAATTAATCTGAATGAGGCGAATTCTCCCTTTTATGGCAGAGAACATGTATTTCTAGTTTGCAAGATGTGGCAGGTGAGAGCATACTGCAAAACCTCACCCCCTTCCCCCTTTTTCTTATTTCCCCTCTACAGCCTTCACCTTTCACACTGCAAGAGCCTCTCAGTGGTCCCCTCCTGGAAGCCCGATATGGTGATGTCTTTCTAAGTCCTTTCAGGCAGAGTTAGGTCCATTCTTTTTGTTTTCTTAACATTTTGTCCATATCTCTGTAATGGGTCTTTTTAATACCACACTGTAATTTATTTTTCTCTGGCTTCTCTATCCACTAGCAGGAAAGGACTTAAATGATTATGTGTTCACTGTACCTAACTCAGTGACTGAGTCAAAAAAAAAAAAAAAAAAAGAGGCTCAATAAGCATTTGTTGAACAAATAAATGAAGCAATTCTAAGATGCAGGCATTGGGAACATTCTGTGATTTATGCTATTTTTTTTTTCTTGGGGCTCAGCAATATATTGTACTTCAGGAGAGTAACTATCTGTGACTAAAAATATAGACTACCAAAGAATTCAACCAAAGTGTTCAGGTTTGTTCTTGAGGAATATTGTTCTTCTATGGACCAAGGTCTTTTTTCAGTGTTTCAGAAATTGGGAGAACAGAGTAATTGTCTGAGCGTCTTTTCCTTTCCCACCAGGCAATGTAAGAAACTTGCTTTTCTTTGTATTGCCAATGATACTCATCAAAGACCAAGGTGACATATCTTTTTCCAAATTTGCCCTTGGCAACTGAGTCTAGCTTTTCTTTGCAGACAAAGCAAAATGAAACAATCTGACAGATAAGGCATGTTATAGATAATAAGAGAAGATTTTCCAAATAGCCTCTAAAATTAGAAGGATTACATTAGCCATCCAGCTTGAAAACTAAATAGTATCGAAAAGTAAATTTGTTAAGTAAAACTGCTGGTGGAAACTGGAGACTGAGGCACCTGACACACTGTATATATGAATTACTAGATTTTAGATTCTTGGCAACTAATGTTTGTTTTATTGTTTAACTATTTATGTTAGTTTCTTAGGGTTGCTGTAGCAAGTTACTACAAACTTGGTGGCTTAAAATAACAGGAACTTGGCCGGGCAGGGTGGCTCACGCCTGTAATCCCAGCACTTTGGGAGGCCGAGGTGGGCGGATCACGAGGTCAGGAGATCGAGACCATCCTGGCTAACATGGTGAAACCCCGACTCTACTAAAAATACAAAAAATTAGCTGGGCGTGGTGGCGGGTGCCTGTAGTCCCAGCTACTCGGGAGGCTGAGGCAGGAGAATGATGTGAACCCGGGAGGCAGAGCTTGCAGTGAGTAGACATCGCACCACCGCACTCTAGCCTGGGCAACAGAGTGAGACTCTTGTCTCAAAAAAAAAAAAGAAAAGAAAAGAAAAAAAATAACAGGAACTTATTCTCTGATAGTTCTGGAGATTAGAAGCTCAAAATTAAGGTGTTTGGTAGGGTTGGTTCCTTCTAGAAGCCCAGAAGGAGCATCTGTTTCCCTGCCTCTCTCCTAGCTTCTGGCGGCTGCTGGCAGTCTTGGTTCCTTGGCTTGTAGACTCACCATTCTGACCTCTGCTCTACCTTCACGCCACCTTCTTCTCTGGGTGCATGTCTCAAATCTCTTCTTTTCTTATATGAACACTAGCTATTGAATGTAGGACCCTCTTTAAATCCAGGATGATCCCATCTGAAGATCCTTTTCATTACCTATGCAAAGACCCTATACTCAAATAAGGTTACATTCACAGGTACCAAGATTAGGATTTGGGCATATCTTTTTGAGGAATACAATTCAATCCCCCATACCACCCATGGATTTATAAAATTTCTGCATTAGTTGCAAGACATGTTAGATTTTGTATGTGTTAAAGATATGATTACAGAAGCAAAATAGAGTGAAAAGTGGAGGTAATAGGAAAATTCCAGGAAATAGCCAATCTTGATTCAAGGGGCTGAATATTTTAGGTAAAACATATTTTATTTTGAAACTTTGTATGATGCTCTGAATAGTTTTTTTAGCCTTAAGAGATACTAAGTTGAGAAAAAGTAATAGCTAGGAGGAGAAGAAACTTATCATCTGACAACCTAGAGAGAGGCAAGACATTACAGGTTCAAAAATATTCTGAAGGTTCGATGACTTGTGAAAATGTCTCAATACTGCAAAATTGCCATGAATGTCTTTTTAAAGTTTCTTACTGTCTAGAATTTGTGCTTTGATTTGTAATTCTACAATTTAAGATATTAATTGGAGCTAGCTAGTTAATATTTATTGAATACTTAGATGTTCAATTATGAAAGACTCAGTAGACGTAATTTGATCTTCTTTACTAACCTCCTTTGGTCAGTGATATTTCCATGTGGAATAAGGTTTTCATTGCTTTAGTCTTGGATTCTTTTAACAATTTAGCCTATGAAGGATCAGTATAGTGAATTTTCAATAGCAATAAAAAATCTGATGTAAATTTTCTTTTTTTTAGACAGTCTCGCTTTGTTGTCCAGGCCAGCTAACTTTTGTATTTTTAGTAGAGACGGGGTTTTGCCATGTATATTTTCTTAAATGTAGCACTTTATGACACTTTTTTCATACAATGAATGATTTGGTGAATTTGTCTAAAATACACTTTCCTACGTTATGAAATAAATACCACAAATATGTTTAACAAAACACATAGTTGATTTCTTAAGATTAAAGTATGATTCTTAAGGAAATTGTATAATAATGAGTCATTGTTTGAATAGATTTGTTATTTATGAAAGTGGTGAATAAGCAACCTTATGAAATATTAAAGATGAAGGTAGTAAAGAGATCATGTGAAGCAGTTTTGGCCCTTTTTATTAACTAAAAACATGTAATATTTACTGCATTGTAAAGAAATCATCGATGCATTTGATATTAGGTTTTTTAACTCATTTGGCCAATTCTGGATCAGAAAATATGAGAAAAAGTAAAATTGGATAAAGTGGAGTTAAAACAAATGTTGTTGAGAAAGAAAGTGGGATCATTGGGATGGGTGTATCAAGTCATCAGAAAGATGAAGCTGCGTGTGTGTCTAGCATGGATCATTGAATTGATTGATCATTGGTTAGAAGAGATAAAAGTATAAATACCCTATCTTCTTACTGCTTTCTTTCTTTTTCTTTTCCAGCTTTTAACATGTTCTAAAAAGTGTTCATATTAATTATTGAAAGCAATATTTATATATGATTGAATTAATATTGAGAGCAAGATTTATGTGGCTGAATGAAAAGTTATAATAATATAGATAAACAATATGGTAAGATTCAATTTTAGCAGAAAGGATGAAAACTCCTTACATTTAAATGTCTAGTTTAGAGATGAAGAGATTGTGAGGAAACAGTTAACCACACCGTGAGAGGCTGGAGGAAGGAACATGGTAGTGAGGAACATTACAAGAGGTTGAGGTGAGGAAGATGGTATCTAAGTGGCAATTCTCTGCAGGTGGGGAGAGAGATGTGCAGTGAGGGGATGCAAAAGCTGTCTTTGGATTCCCAACTGTGCTTTTTCTCCCTTAAACAAAAAAAGTCCAAATACTTACTAGGCTTCCAAAGAAGAGATACAATATTAAAACAACAACAACAAAAAAGTTTTGCTCATTAAGAAGTAGAAGAAAGAGAACATAATTCTTTATCATTACCATGGTGATTTGTGAAAACAGAAATCAGTGAGCCCTAACTTAGGCCAGGGGTGAAAGTAGAAAGAATTCAGGGCTTGTGCTCCAGCCCTAGAGCCATGTCTACTGACTCAGTGGGTGAATGCTGTACACCACCACACTTTTCTGAGCCTCTGTTACACCCTGGTAAAATTAGGGGAATGGTACTGATGACTCTTACGGTGTGTGGCTGAATAAAAACATGAATCAAGTCAAAGCTGTGGAGTTGAATTGATATTTAGTTAGGATGACGATCCCATTACAGTCACTAACTTTTAAAGTTGTTCACCTTTTTGCAGATATCATTTATTGTTTATAATAGTGCCTATGTAAGATAGGATGAGTTATTCAAAATTCATCATCATTATCAGGAAAACTGCTAAAATTTCATGGCTCTCTCATTTAAGAAATGGTCAACATGTTTGACTACTTAACAAGAGTGCATGGAAAATTGCCATAAATGAAGTAAAAGAAAAATCACACATTGTAAAGAAAATGTTTGTGCCTTATGGCTTATGTTAAAGACAAAGGGCTATTGTTTCTAATATATAAAAAAGGTACTAAAAACAGGAAATAGAGAGACCAACAGTGATAGAAAAATGAGCAAAAGATATGCTAGGCAGTTCACTAGAAGAAGCAAAAATTGAGTTTAATGATGTTTAAAGTTATTTAAAGAAGCTCAAACTTACTTTAATAGAAGAAATGTAAATTAAAACTAACTATATTGAGATACTATTTCTCACCTATAATCTTGGCAGCAATCTAAATGTTTGGTAGAATATTCTGCTCGCAAGGCTGTTATGAAATAGACAAACTCAAATGGCACTGGTAGAAATGAAAAATTGTTATATCCCCATATGAAAAGAAGCTTGGCAATATTCTTTCAATTGCAATATTCATTTGCTCTTTGAGTCAGCATTCCCACTTCTAGGACTATAATTCATGAATATACTAGTATAAGTAAAAACAACATTAGCAAAAGGTTACCCATTGTTTTATTTGTGTGATAGAGTAAAGAATTTTATATACATACAATTACAGATATAAACATAAATACAATTACTTATATGTGTAATGACAGCAAAGAAAAAACCCTACAATCCAAATGATATGATACATCTCACAGTGGAATACCCTGTAGACATAAAAAGAAATGAGGAAAATTTTCCATATCCTAAAGTGGTGTGATTTCCAAGATACATTAAATGAATAAAGTAAGGTAAAAATGAATAGTATATATATGACATGCAGACTTTTGTACAGGAAAGGGGGAGAAATACAAATATATGTGTATATTTGCAGAGGGAAATTCTGAAAGGGTAAATGAAAAATGGACATAAATGGCATATAAGGGAGGGAGGGAACAAGGTAGATAAGACAGGGATGGAAGTAAGACTTACCTGAACATATTTTGTAATACAGCTTCAACTTCAGGTACACACTCACAAGATAAAAATTTTTAAAAGCAACACTTAAAAATGGAAACATGCTAAAAATGAATGTTTAAATGCATTTTAAGTTGGAGAAAAATCACTCAAAGCAAAGGATTATTTCAAGTGACTTCAGAACTTATTTTGATTATAGATCCAAAGTGTATTCTACAGACATATATGTTCTACACTCACATATTTTAAAGACATAGACATGAGGGGGGAAGTCAAGATGGCCGAAAAGGAACAGCTCCGGTCTACAGCTCCCAGCGTGAGCGGTGCAGAAGACGGGTGATTTCTGCATTTCCATCTGAGGTACTGGGTTCATCTCACTAGGGAGTGCCAGACAGTGGGCGCAGGACAGTGGGTGCAGCACACCGTGCGGGAGCCAAAGCAGGGCGAGGCATTGCCTCACTCGGGAAGTGCAAGGGGTCAGGGAGTTCCCTTTCCTAGTCAAACAAAGGGGTGACACACGGCACCTGGAAAATCGGGTCACTCCCACCCGAATACTGCGCTTTTCTGATGGGCTTAAAAAACAGCGCACCAGGAGATTATATCCCGCACATGGCTCGGAGGGTCCTATGCCCACGGAGTCTCGCTGATTACTAGCACAGCAGTCTGAGATCAAACTGCAAGGCAGCAGCAAGGCTGGGGGAGGGGCACCCACCATTGCCCAGGCTTGCTTAGGTAAACAAAGCAGCCAGGAAGTTCGAAGTGGGTGGAGCCCATCACAGCTCAAGGAGGCCTGCCTGCCTCTGTAGGCTCCACCTCTGGGGGCAGGGCACAGACAAACAAAAAGACAGCAGTAACTTCTGCAGGCTTAAATGTCCCTGTCTGAAAGCTTTGAAGAGAGCAGTGGTTCTCCCAGCATGCAGCTGGAGATCTGAGAACAGACAGACTGCTTCCTCCAGTGGGTCCCTGACCCCTGACCCCCAAGCAGCCTAACTGGGAGGCACCCCCCCAGTAGGGGCAGACTGACACCTCACACAGCCGGGTACTCCTCTGAGACAAAACTTCCAGAGGAATGATCAGACAGCAGCATTCACGGTTCATGAAAATCCGCTGTTCTGCAGCCACCGCTGCTGGTACCCAGGCAAACAGGGTCTGGAGTGGACCTCTAGCAAACCCCAACAGACCTGCAGCTGAGGGTCCTGTCTGTTAGAAGGAAAACTAACAAACAGAAAGCACATCCACACCAAAAACGCATGTGCACATCACCATCATCAAAGACCAAAAGTAGATAAAACCACAAAGATGGGGAAAAAACAGAGCAGAAAAACTGGAAACTCTAAAAAGCAGAGTGCCTCTCCTCCTCCAAAGGAACGCAGCTCCTCACCAGCAACGGAACAAAGCTGGATGGAGAATGACTTTGGCGAGTTGAGAGAAGAAGGCTTCAGACGATCAAACTACTCCGAGCTACAGGAGGAAATTCAAACCAAAGGCAAAGAAGTTGAAAACTTTGAAAAAAGTTTACATGAATGTATAACTAGAATAACCAATTCAGAGAGGTGCTTAAAGGAGCTGATGGGGCTGAAAGCCAAGGCTCGAGAACTACGTGAAGAATGCAGAAGCCTCAGGAGCCGATGTGATCAACTGGAAGAAAGGGTATCAGTGATGGAAGATGAAACGAATGACATGAAGTGAGAAGGGACGTTTAGAGAAAAAAGAATAAAAAGAAACAAACAAAGCCTCCAAGAAATATGGGACTATGTGAAAAGACCAAATCTATGTCGGATTGGTGTACCTGAAAGTGACGGGGAGAATGGAACCAAGTTGGAAAACAATCTGCAGGGTATTATCCAGGAGAACTTCCCCAATCTAGCAAGGCAGGCCAACATTCAGATACAGGAAATACAGAGAATGCCACAAAGATACTCCTCGAGAAGAGCAACTCCAAGACACATAATTGTCAGATTCACCAAAGTTGAAATGAAGGAAAAAATGTTAAGGGCAGCCAGAGAGAAAGGTCGGGTTACCCACAAAGGGAAGACCATCAGACTAACAGAGGATCTCTCGGCAGAAACTCTACAAGCCAGGAGAGGGGGGGCGCCAATATTCAACATTCTTAAAGAAAAGAATTTTCAACCCAGAATTTCATATCCAGCCAAACTAAGCTTCATAAGTGAAGGAGAAATAAAATACTTTACAGACAAGCAAATGCTGAGAGATTTTGTCACCATCAGGCCTCCCCTAAAAGAGCTCCTGAAGGAAGCACTAAACATGGAAAGGAACAACCGGTACCAGCCACTGCAAAATCATGCCAAATTGTAAAGACCATCGAGGCTAGGAAGAAACTGCATCAACTAATGAGCCAAATAACCAGCTAACATCATAATGACAGGATCAAATTCACACATAACATATTAACTTTAAATGTAAATGGACTAAATGCTCCAATTAAAAGACACAGACTGGCAAATTGGATAAAGAGTCAAGACCCATCAGTGTGCTGTATTCAGGAAACCCATCTCACGTGCAGAGACACACATAGGCTCAAAATAAAAGGATGGAGGAAGATCTACCAAGCAAATGGAAACCAAAAAAAGGCAGGGGTTGCAATCCTAGTCTCTGATAAAACAGACTTTAAACCAACAAAGATCAAAAGAGACAAAGAAGGCCATTACATAATGGTAAAGGGATCAATTCAACAAGAAGAGCTAACTATCCTAAATATATATGCACCCGATACAGGAGCACCCAGATTCATAAAGCAAGTCCTGAGTGACCTACAAAGAGACTTAGACTCCCACACAATAATAGTGGGGGACTTTAACACCCCACTGTCAACATTAGACAGATCAGCGAGACAGGAAGTTAACAAGGATACCAAGGAATTGAACTCAGCTCTGCACCAAGCGGACCTAACAGACATCTATAGAACTCTCCACCCCAAATCAACAGAATAGACATTTTTTCAGCACTACACCACACCTATTCCAAAATTGACCACATAGTTGGAAGTAAAGCTCTCCTCAGCAAATGTAAAAGATCAGAAATTATAACAAACTGTCTGTCAGACCACAGTGCAATCAAACTAGAACTCAGGATTAAGAAACTCACTCAAAACTGCTCAACTACATGGAAACTGAATAACCTGCTCCTGAATGACTACTGGGTAAATAATGAAGTGAAGGTGGAAATTAAGATGTTCTTTGAAACCAACGAGAACAAAGACACAACATACCAGAATCTCTGGGATGCATTCAAAGCAGTGTGTAGAGGGAAATTAATAGCACTGAATGCCCACCAGAGAAAGCTGGAAAGATCCAAAATTGACACCCTAACATCACAATTAAAAGAACTAGAGAAGCAAGAGCAAACACATTCAAAAGCTAGCATAAGGCAAGAAAGAACTAAAATCAGAGCAGAACTGAAGGAAATAGAGACACAAAAAACCCTTCAAAAAATTAATGAATCCAGGAGCTCATTTTTTGACAGGATCAAAAAAATTGATACACTGCTAACAAGACTAATAAAGAAGAAAAGAGAGAGGCATCAAATAGATGCAATAAAAAATGATAAAGGAGATATCACCACCGTTCCCACAGAAATACAAACTACCATCAGAGAATACTACAAACACCTCTACGCAAATAAACTAGAAAATCTAGAAGAAATGGATAAATTCCTCAACACATACACCCCCCCAAGACTAAACAAGGAAGAAGTTGAATCTCTGAATAGACCAATAACAGACTCTGAAATTGTGGCAATAATCAATAGCTTACCAACCAAAGAATCCAGGACCAGATGGATTCACAGCCAAATTCTACCAGAGGTACAAGGAGGAACTGTTACCATTCCTTCTGAAACTATTCCAATCAATAGAAAAAGAGGGAATCCTCCCTAACTCATTTTATGAGGCCAGCATCATCCTGATACCAAAGCCTGGCAGAGACACAACCAAAAAAGAGAATTTTAGACCAATATCCTTGATGAACATTGATGCAAAAATCCTCAATAAAATACTGGCAAACTGAATCCAGCAGCACATCAAAAAGCTTGTCCACCATGATCAAGTTGGCTTCATCCCTGGAATGCAAGGCTGGTTCAATATATGCAAATCAATAAATGTAATCCAGCATATAAACAGAACCAAAGACAAAAACCACATGATTATCTCAATAGATGCAGAAAAGGCCTTTGACAAAATTCAACAACCCTTCATGCTAAAAATTCTCAATAAATTAGGTATTGATTGGACGTATCTCAAAATAATAAGAGCTATCTATGACAGACCCACAGCCAATATCATACTGCATGGGCAAAAACTGGAAGCATTCCCTTTGAAAACTGGCACAAGACAGGGATGCCCTCTCTCACCACTCCTATTCAACATAGTGTTGGAAGTTCTGGCCAGGGCAATTAGGCAGGAGAAGGAAATAAAGGGTATTCAATTAGGAAAAGAGGAAGTCAAATTGTCCCTGTTTGCAGGCGACATGATTGTATATCTAGAAAACCCCATTGTCTCAGCCCAAAATCTCCTTAAGCTGATAAGCAACTTCAGCAAAGTCTCAGGATACAAAATCAATGTACAAAAATCACAAGCATTCTTATACACCAATAACAGACAAACAGAGAGCCAAATCATGAGTGAACTCCCATTCACAATTGCTTCAAAGAGAATAAAATACCTAGGAATCCAACTTACAAGGGATGTGAAGGACCTTTTCAAGGAGAACTACAAACCACTGCTCAATGAAATAAAAGAGGATACAATCAGATGGAAGAACATTCCATGCTCATGGGTAGGAAGAATCAATATCGTGAAAATGGCCATACTGCCCAAGGTAATTTATAGATTCAATGCTATCCCCATCAAGCTACCAATGACTTTCTTCACAGAATTGGGAAAAACTGCTTTAAAGTTCATACGGAACCAAAAAAGAGCCCACATCGTGAAGTCAATCCTAAGCCAAAAGAACAAAGCTGGAGGCATCATGCTACCTGACTTCAAACTATACTACAAGGCTACAGTAACCAAAACAGCATGGTACTGTTACCAAAACAGAGATATAGATCAATGGAACAGAACAGAGCCCGCATATCTACAACTATCTGATCTTTGATAAACCTGAGAAAAACAAGCAATGGGTAAAGGATTCCCTATTTAATAAATGGTGCTGTGAAAACTGGCTAGCCATATGTAGAAAGCTGAAACTGGATCCCTTCCTTACACCGTATACCAAAATTAATTCAAGATGGATTAAAGACTTAAATGTTAGACCTAAAACTGTAAAAACCCTAGAAGAAAACCTAGGCATTACCATTCAGGACATAGGCATGGGCAAGGACTTCATGTCTAAAACACCAGAAGCAATGGCAACAAAAGCCAAAATTGACAAATAGGATCTAATTAAACTAAAGAGCTTCTGCACAGCAAAAGAAACTACCATGAGAGTGAACAGGCAACCTACAGAATGGGAGAAAATTTTCGCAACCTACTCATCTGACAAAACGCTAATATCCAGAATCTATAATGAACTCAAACAAATTTACAAGAAAAAACCAAACAAACCCATCAAAAAGTGGGCAAAGGACATGAACAGACACACTTCTCAAAAGAAGACATTTATGCAGCCAAAAAACACATGAAAAAATGCTCACCATCACTGGCCATCAGAGAAATGCAAATCAAAACCACAATGAGATACCATCTCACACCAGTTAGAATGGCAATCATTAAAAAGTCAGGAAACAACAGGTGCTGGAGAGGATGTGGAGAAATAGGAACACTTTTACACTGTTGGTGGGACTGTAAACCAGTTCAACCATTGTGGAAGTCAGTGTGGCAATTCCTCAGGGATCTAGAACTAGAAACACCATTTGACGCAGCCATGCCATTACTGGGTATATACCCAAAGGACTATAAATCATACTGCTATAAAGACACATGCACACATTATGTTTATTGCGGCACTATTCACAATAGCAAGGACTTGGAACCAACCCAAATGTCCAACAATGATAGACTGGATTAAGAAAATGTGGCACATATACACCATGGAATGCTATGCAGCCATAAAAAATGATGAGTTCATGTCCTTTGTAGGGACATGGATGAAATTGGAAATCATCATTCTCAGTAAACTATCACAAGAACAAAAAACCAAACACTGCATATTCTCACTAATAGGTGGGAATTGAACAATGAGAACACATGGACACAGGAAGGGGAACATCACACTCTGGGGACTGTTGTGGGGTGGGAGGAGGGGGGAGGGATAGCTTTGGGAGATATACCTAATGCTAAATGATGAGTTAATGGGTGCAGCACACCAGCATGGCGCATGTATACATAGGTAACTAACCTGCACATTGTGCCCATGTACCCTAAAACTTAAAGTATAATAATAAAAAAAAAAGACATAGACGTGGAAAGAATTCTAAAACTTCATTCAACTTCACTGTTAGTAGTAATATTGGTAAAATTATTTAAAAATAATCATATATACCTGGTGAGATAAAACACAAAATTTTTTTTGTTAATATTGCTAGGAACTGAGATATTTGGTGTAATCAAAAAAAGAAACAAATACAAGTTCAAAAAACATAAGCAATTTTTTTTTCTTTTTCTGTTTCTTTCTTTTTAAAGATAAGAGTCTTGTTATGTTGCCACGGCTGGTCTTGAACTTCTGAGCTCGAGTGATCCTCCTGCCTCAGGCTCTTAAAGTGCTGAGATTATAGGTGTAAGCCACTGCACCCAGTCTAAGCAAAATTTTTGAGATGTTAAATTTGAATTGTAGATGAATATATGATTTTTATCTTCATAAGTATTTATTTCCAATCTGACCACATAAAAATTCTAGAAGTAATGATAGCCTCATATTCATGAGCTTCCATAGTATTGTGTCAATAAATAACTTTTTTTCATTTTTTTCTTCAACTTTTTTAAGTTCCAGGGTACATGTGCAGGATGTGCAGGTTTGTTACATAGGTAAACATGTGCCATGGTGGTTTGCTGCACAGGTCATTCAATCACTTAAGTATTAAGCCTAGCATGCATTAGCGATTCTTCCTGATGCTCTCCTGTAACCAACCTATAGGCCCCAGTGTGTGTTATGCCTCTCCAAATGTCCATGTTTTCTCATGGTTCAGCTCACACCTATAAATGAGAACATGTGGCGTTTGGTCTTCTGTTCCTGCATTAGTTTCCTGAGGATAATTGCTTGCATCTGCATCCATGTCCCTGCAAAGGACATGATCTCATTCTTTTTTGTGGCTGTATAGTATTCCCCAGTGTATATGCACCACATTTTCTTTATTCAGTCTATCATTAATGGGCATTTAGGTTGATTCCATGTCTTTACTATTGTGAATGGTGATGCAATGAACATATGCATGCATGTATCTCTATAATAGAATGATTTATATTCCTTTGGGTATATACCCAGTAATGGGATTGCTGGGTCAAATGGTATTTCAGCTTCTGGATCTTTGAGGAGTTAACACACTGTCTTCCACAATGGTTGAACTAACTTACACTCTCACCAACAGTGTAAAAGTGTTCCTTTTTCTTTGGAATGTTGCCAGTATCTGTTGTTTCTTGACTTTTAATAATGGCCATTCTGATGATATTCTGGTGTGAGATGGTATCTCATTGTGGTTTTGATTTGCATTTCTCTAATGATCAGTGATGTTGAACTTTTTTTCATAAGTTTGTTGGCCACATGAATGTTTTCTTTTGAAAAGTGTCTGTTCATGGCCACTTTTAGTGGGGTTGTTTGTTTGTTTTTCTTGTAAATTTAAGTACCTTATAGACTCTGGATATTAGACCTTTGTCAGATGGAGAGATTGCAAAAATTTTCTCCCATTCTGTAGATTGTCTGTTCACTCTGATGATAGTTTCTTTTGCTGTGCAGAAGCTCTTTAGTTTAATTAGAACCCATTTGTCAACTTTTGCCAATACATAACATTTTAAATGAAATAAAGTTGAAGTTTAAAGGAATGGATGACTCTAAGTAAGGGATAAGAAATATATAACCCTAGGACATCTTGCGGCAAAAAGCAAGAAGACTTTCAAAGATTAATAAAGTCATGTCATAAAAGGAACAGAAGCCAATATGAAGCAGCTCCCCCTTGCCAAACATGGGAAAATTAAGAAAATGTAATAGTTTTGATGGACTTCCAAGCCCTTTGGGAAGTAGTGACAACATGTCTGATCTGTCCCTCCCCTACTCCCAAGCAGCTTTCTCTCTGACCTGCCTAGAGAGATGGTAATTACTCATTTGAAAACCAAACCAAAACTCACCATAGCCTCCCAACTGCTGATAACAAAGTTAAAAGGCCATGTTTCTGGCTCTCCCTCTCTCTGCCAGGGAAGAAGGGTCCATGGGAAGGGCCTCCCACCGAGCAGGAGTGAAGGAGAACTCTTCTTTCAGATTTACATTTTCCATCACACAGGTGAAATCTTCCCCGGTCTACAAGTCTCAGCAATGGGGCTGTGGAAAAAAGTGGGTTCGTTATTCAGAAATAGACTTTTCTGCTATTTCTCTTCTCCTCTTTGGTATTTCAGTTTATGCATTACTCAAGATGCAAAAGCAAGAAAAGTTAAAAAACAAACAAGCAAAAAAGCCACCTTCTCCTCAGAGCTCCTTTGTGAGATCAAAAAGTTTTCAAGAATGAGCATTGCTTTTGTTGAGTTTGCACAAAAATACTCAGGCCTCCAGGTCAGACCTGCTCTGTTGTAAAATGGAAAGAGGCACTTCCCACTAGGATGCTCTGAAAGACCTCAGGAAAGAAATTGGGAAGACTTTTTTTTTTTTTTTTTGAGACGGAGTCTCGCTCTGTCACCCAGGCTGGAGTGCAGTGGCACCATCTGGGCTCACTGCAAGCTCCGCCTCCCGGGTTCACGCCATTCTCCTGCCTCAGCCTCCTGAGTAGCTGGGACTACAGGCGCCTGCTGCCACGCCCGGCTAATTTTTTGTATTTTTAGTAGAGACGGGGTTTCACCGTGTTAGCCAGGATGGTCTCGATCTCCTGACCTCGTGATCAACCTGCCTCGGCCTCCCAAAGTGCTGGGATTACAAGCGTGAGCCGCCGCGCCTGGTCGAAATTGGGAAGACTTTCAATGGAGCAACTCTTATATTCACAGATGGCAAAAAGTAAAATGATGTGATCTTGGGTAAATTATTTGACCTACCTGAATGTTCAATTCTGTAACTTTGAAATAATATTTGGATGTATCTAAAACTGCTGTGCTGACTGATATCTATTATGGATTGGCTCATTCTGATAAACGCAAGAAGACAAACATGGTAGAAAAGTTTCCATGAGAATTTCAATTCTCAGGGCAGGAAAATTTTACCCACAGGAGCCAAGGAAACATTCGAATCACAAATGGTTGAACCCTGGGAGGACATGAAAAGACTGTTTCCAAAGATAAATTTCTCATAACTAGAACCCTCCTAAATGCTCTGCCAAAAAGTGCTCCATGGTCACGGAAGCTTAGAATAGTCAACAGAGAATAAGCACTCTTGGAAATTCCCAAAGAACATAACTAAAGCTGACTTTGAAATGTTCCATCTTAGCTCAACTTTTTTTTTTTTTAATTATACTTTAAGTTCTGGGATACATGTGGAGAATGTGCAGGTTTGTTACATAGGTATACATGGGCCATGGTGGTTTGCTGCACCCATCAACCCATGATCTACATTAGGTGTTTCTCCTAATGCTATCCGTCCCCTAGCCCCATCACCCCCCGACAGGCCCCAGGGTGTGATGTTCCCCTCCCTGTGTCCATGTGTTTTCTTTGTTCAACTCCCACTTATGAGTGAGAACATGTGGTATTTGGTTTTCTGTTCCTGCATTAATTTGCTGAGAATGATGGTTTCCAGCTTCATCCATGTCCCTGCAAAGGACATGAACTCATCCTTTTTTATGATTGCATAGTATTCCATGGTATATATGTGCCACAATTTCTTTATCCAGTCTATCATTGATGGGCATTTGGGTTGGTTCCAAGTCTTTGCTATTGCGAACAGTGCCACAGTAAACATATGTGTGCATGGGTCTTTATAGTAGAATGATTTATAATCCATTGGGTATATACCCAGTAATGTGATTGCTAGGTCAAATGGTATTTCTGCTTCTAGATCCTTGAGGAATTGCCACACTGTCTTCCACAATGGTTGAACTAATTTACACTCCCACCAACAGTGTAAAAGCATTCCTATTTCTCCACATCCTTGCCAGCATCTGTTGTTTCCTGACTTTTTAATGATCACCATTCTAACTGGCATGAGATGGCATCTCATCATGGTTTTTATTTGCATTTCCCTAATGACCAGTGATGAGCTTTTTTTGTATGTTCGTTGGCTGCATAAATGTCTTCTTTTGAGAAGTGTCTGTTCATATCCATCACCCACTTTTTGATGGGGTTGTTTTTTTCTTGTAAATTTGTTTAAGTTCTTTGTAGATTCTGGATATTAGCCCTTTGTCAGATGAATAGATTGCAAAAATTTTCTCCCATTCTGTAGGTTGACTGTTCACTCTGATGATGGTTTCTTTTGTTGTGCAGAAGCTCTTTATTTTAATTAAATCCCATTTGTCAATTTTGGCTTTTGTTGCCATTGCTTTTGGTGTTTTAGTCATGAAGTCTTTGCCCATGCCTATGTCCTGAATGGTATTGCCTAGGTTTTCTTCTAGGATTTTCATGGTTTTACGTCTTAGGTTTAAGTCTTTAATCCATCTTGAGTTAATTTTTGTAAAAGGTGTAAGGAAGGGGTCCAGTTTCAGTTTTCTGCATATGGCTAACCAGTTTTCATAACACCATTTATTAAATAGGGAATCCTTTCTCCATTGCTTGTTTTTGTCAGGTTTGTCAAAGATCAGATGGTTGTAGATGTGTGGTGTTATTTCTGAGGCCTCTGTTCTGTTCCACTGGTCTATATATTTGTTTTGGTACCAGTGCCATGCTGTTTTGGTTACTGTAGCCTTGTAGTATAGTTTGAAATCAGGTAGCATGATGCCTCCAGCTTTGTTCTTTTTGCTCAGGATTGTCTTGGCTATATGGGCTCTTTTTTGGATCCATATGAAATTTAAAGTAGTTTTTTTCTAAATCTGTGCAGAAAGTCAATGGTAGGTTGATGGAGAGATAGCATTGAATGTATAAATTACTTTGGGCAGTATGGCCAGGACATTTTTGAGGACTTTTTTTTTTTTTTTTTTGAGGATTGGAATTTATGATATCATTGGTTTAACAGCAAGCCTCAGTTGCCAGGAGTCTATTATCGACAGGGTTATTGTGCATTGGAATGGCTTCTCCCAGTGTCTAGAATGTGAAATGTCTCAGATGTGTAATATACAATTCAGAAGTAGGCACCCATGTTTAGTGCATGACATGGTTAGTCAGGTTCACTTCTGTGACTCCAGCACCCAGCACTGTGGCTTGCATGAAGAAGAGACTTAATAAATATTGTTGAATGAAGAAAAAAAAAAGAAAAAAAGTCACAGCTGCAATTGAACCAAAGATATTGACTAGAAAAACTATAAATTCACACTGACACTAACAGAAAGAGCTAGCTCCCTGCCCCTACCTGCAAAGTTTACTGCACCCCCCTCCAAAAAAAAAACTAGTCATTGTCACAATTTGAACTAACTATAGAACCAATTTCTTTGAAAATTGATAAGTAAAAAGACAGACTTTAGTAGTCATCCTGCTCAGCATTCATCACAATATCCAAAGTTCTTCACAGGATAATTCAAGCTAATAAAAATGGAAGGAATGGTGGAATTAGAAAAATCAACATTTTCCACTCCCATTTGGCCAACAATTATCAGTGAATAAACAGTATTTTTTAATGAATTCCTAGCAATTTCAATATCTGCATAGGTGATTCTTCCCACGCCTAGCCCTCTTTATTCTTTGAACTCCTCCATATGCTTCACCTACCTCAGTTATTTACTGCTATAATCAAAATCTGACCTCATGATTACTAAAAACCCTTACTCCTCTATAATCTCAGTTTCAAATATCCCATTCTCTGACCACTACTTTTTATATCTTTAGCTGACTCCCTCTAGTACCCCAATTCCAACAGTCTCCTATCCCATATGGAATTACAAATTTTCGATCCTATTACTGCGTCCCTTATCCCTATGATTTCCTCCTTTCCCTCCTCTTCTAGCTTAAAATATCCCTGAACCTACACTGAGTTGCCACTGTACCCTGTGAAGTAAGGATAAAAACAGGGTACTCCAGCACACTTGGGGCTGGGAGTGGGGGGGTTTCACAGTGAAATGGCCTAAACACTTGCTTGCTCATATCTGAAGCCCTTGGCGGGAAAGCGTCTTTCATTGCTGCCAACACTTTAAATTCAATTATTAGTCAGTGATCTTTCATACTGCTGCCCCTTTTTGATCTCACTGCAGGCACCACAGGGGACCCAATGCCCGCTTGGTCTTTGCCTCTAATGTTGGTGTGGAGCCAACTGTCAACAGTCCCGGAATCTATAACTCTCCTATGAGCACCCCCAGAGGTGAAGGCTCCGGCCACAGAATGTGAGTTAAAAATAGCAGCTTAGTTTTGTATCGTGAGCATAGAGTGTATTCAGCGATTCTTCCGTGCTGTGGGCAATTTTTAGAATATGAAGAACAATTGGAATACTTGACTCTCATTAATCAGAACTCACACAGGCGGCTTGCTCTCTGGGTGTTTAGTTTTTTCCTCAGTAAAACATGGAGGGTAGACCAAGTAATTTCTAGCACTACTACCCCTGAATTCTATGATAGCTTTCCAAGGCTATGCTCTGTTATTTTAGATTTTATTAAAGTCTTTTCTTTGAGTGTAATATCTTCATGCCTATCAAGTCTAATTTCCCTTGCACTCTATACCACTAGGTGTGTTATTTTTTATGGCTGACTCTAATTAGAGTTATTGCTCACCTACAGAAAGGAAGCAAATATTATTAAATGGTTGCCATAAAGGTGCTGTTATTCCAGCATTAAACTACAGAAAAATTTCAGGAAGGTGCTAGAATATAAAGGTAGAAAATAAGAGTCAGAGGATACTCTGCCTTTTGAAAAGATTTGAGTGTGTTGTGTCAATTATGTAGAAAAATTGTGTTAGATGAGGGGCAAAATGCACATTTCAAACATCTCTAGGCAATTTCGAAAATGATTGCACTTACTTTTGTAGTGCAGAATTATATTGAGTGTATTTTTCTTTTTAGTAGGTAGAAAATGAAGTGCAAATAGGCTTTTTAAGGTTGCTGGTGAAGGATTTCTCCTTATCAAGTTTCACTTTCAGTGGTTTTAGTTACCTGAGATCAGCTGAGGTCAGAAAACAGGTGAGTACAGTACAATAAAATATTGAGAGACCACATTCACATAACTTATGCCATATTATTAAAATTGTTCTATTTTATTATTAGTTATTATTGTTCATCTCTTACTGTGCCTAACTTATAAATTAAACTTTATCATAGGTGTGTACATATAGGATAAAACACAGTGTATATGAGATTTAATACCACCTGCAGTTTCAGGTATTCACTGGGGGTCTTGGAATGTATCCCCTTTGGATGAGAGGAAAGTACATGCAAATATGAACTATGGAAACCCTATCTCCTGGCAAAAAGTGCTAAACAGGTAAGGAAGAATAGGTTTAAAAAAATGACTCATTGACTTGTCAATGACTACTTTCTAAGAATCTTTTAGGGGAAAATAGGGCCATCCTGGGTTACATTTTCTGACGATTGGTAAAATACAACAATTCTTCATTATTCTGAGCAGTGTTTAGGACTGGGGCTTTCTTGCTTTTGGGTAGACACTGATTTGATAGAAGTTTTCTATCAGATAACTAGTAATATTTTCTGCACCACTTTATAAAGGTGAGACAGAGAAAGCAAGTTACCTTTTCCTATTTCTAAAATGTCACATAATCTTAGAATAACCCAAGTCACCAGTTGAAAATATGTTGCTCTGAAATTGAAATACCAGTCATACAAATTTGTACACATTCTTAGGCTCAGACTTAAAAGAAATTAAGCCAGGCCTCCAATAAATAAGGCACTACAGAAATAAGGAAAGTGGTTGATTCCTCCTAGCCAAGACGAGTTCCCTGAAAATCCTTGTGGAAAGAATTGAAGGATAAAGGTATTACAAATATAAGGTTAGGAGGTCAGATTAAGATGAATACTTTGAAAAGACTTCCAGATATTTAAGTTCACAAAAATTAAATGATAAAAAGTATGTTAAAGAAAGCCACAGTGATATTTTATACATATAAATCAGCAATCATGGATGGTATACAATTAAGTTTTTCATTAAGATTCCCTGCATTCTTGAGTTTTTAAAGGATTTCTATCTCCCCATTTCAGTGAGATTGTTGTAAATTTCTTTTGCTTTGCCACAGATAATATGATAATGTGCATGATAAACACTGTTTTGATATTTGTCCTTCTTGCAAATGTTTAATGCCATTGTAATTTTAGGACATAGAATTCTTCCTTCTTTATTCCAGGCTTCAACATAATTCCAGAGGTAAAATTAAGGCCTGAGATGCTTTGAATAATTTTTAGTTAAACTGCATAGTGGTAATTCACCAACCTATGGACATATGCAGTGATTCTGTTGTTCTCCTGTCTTTTATACTTTATGCCAGAAGTCATATTGTCACTTGCTCTCAACAATGTTGTGCTCCTGTTCCCCAAACAGGCTGGCGAGTGCATGCTGAGATCCAGGCTCAGTGTCTCTGAGTTTCCTTTTTCTCTTCCACACTATATTGTACAATTTCTATCTTGCAAACTTCCCCCCTTTCTAAGCATAATCTTTAGTAGTTTCTCTCTCTCTCTCTGATGATAAGTATTCCCAAAAGTGATGACTGGCAATTTATATAGCTACGCTTAGTAGAAATTATAACTAAAAATTCCCATATTTGATTGAAGAACTACATTAAAATAGAAACAATAGAATGTACATGTATGCTATAATGTCACGTAAGTGACAGTTGGGAATATGTAATTAAAAGTAATCAAGTTTTATTCATTTCTGCATTGCTCATCTACAGGATCTTGTTACCTGATTCTTTGTACTCTTCCTTCAATTTACTGGGCACCTGATTCCTTTCTGTGCCAGAAGTACTGCCATTATCCTGGAAAAAATTATTGTTAACTTTTACAGCCAGAGATGTCAGATTCACTAAATCATCACTGCCATAAATACCCACCTCCTATTCCCTTAGCCTCCTACACCCATGACTCTATCCTGAAGCTTGTCAGCTGGAATTTCTGTACTTCTGAATGCTAAGTTCTGGTAACTAGGGAAGAAGTTTTAATTTTCGACTGTGATAATGATTTTTTTACATCTTTTAGGGGTATATCAAAATATTTATGGGTAAAATGATATGTCAGGTATTTTACTTTGACATCTGTGGATGCAGTAACTGTAATTTCTTTTGGATGAAAGGATTGAGTGGGTGGCAAGTAGAGAATAAAAGATTGCAGTGACTTGCTAATTGTTCAACCTGTGGCTGAGTACAGGGACTCATTCCTATTTTTGTATATGTCTGGAGTTTTCCATGATTAAACTGTTTTGTAAAGAAACTCCAATATCTTCCTATCATTTCTCCCACTAAACCTTCCAGGCCCTCGACATCTATTTTCCTCCAGTCTATTGACCCATCTGAACAGCACATTTTCTCCCTTTACTTTAGTCACCATTTTCACTGCTTTTTCCTTCCCTATACCCTGCCCTCTGAGCGACTTAAGCAAAATCACAAAATATTCAACATGAAATATTTATTGATCACCTACTATGTGCTAGAGAGTGGGGTGCTGTATAAACAAAACTGATAAGGTTCCATTTCTCATGAAGGCTTATGTTCTAGTGAGAAGAAGGCAGACAGGAATAATGAAATAAGTGAACGGGAAAATATTACAGAGTGATACAAGTTCTAAAGAAGGCAAAATACACTGGCATGATAGGGAGTAACTCCAGAGGCTACTTCAGGTTGATCAGTAAAGTTCTCTCTAAAGGAAATGACATTCCCAGCTGGGACCTGAATTCCAAGGTGAAGTCAGCCAGGAGATCAACAGAGGAATATGGCAGGGACAAGAAATGGCTAGTGGAAGAGTGTTAAGGAAGAACAAGCGAGGTGTGCCTGTTGTCAGTAACAACGTCAGGTCTCCAGAACTTTCTGCAGGAGGCTGCCATCACTAACCCATACCTGTCAACCTAAGCTGGCCCTCAACACTCCTTGACAAACAACTTTCTGGTTCCCATTCTCTCATAGAGTATTTCAAGTCTTCATCTTGTTCTTAAATCCCCACCTCTCTAGAGCCCTCCCCTCTTAATAGATTTCATCACTGTCTGCTTCAGAGAGAATATAGTCTTTAATTTTGGAACTTCCTTAACTTATAAAATTATAGTTACTGCATCCAAACCCACCTTTTCCTTCACTCTTGGAGAAAAGCTAGCAGTCTTCTTGCTCAGTCTAAAAATTCAACTGATGTTGTGGGTTTGCACTCTCTGGGACCTTGACTTTTTCAAATATCTTTCTCTCTTTGAATATTCTCTTTATCCTCTGCTGATTCATTTTGCTTCCTTTTCAATACTTTCCTTTCCTTTCCTTTTCTTTTCAATACTTTCTTACTTGACTATTCTGCCTTATTTTACCAGATTGACCAATCAGTTTTGAAATTCTCCTCTGGCTGATACAACAACTCTTTTGTTACTGTTTTTCTACTTCCTGTCATCTCTTTCCTGGCATTTTTCATAGACTCCTTTTGTCCACCCTTTCTTTTGGTGTCCTCCTGTCTTCTTTTTTCACTTTACATTCTCTCATTATTTGCTTTGATTTATCCCCATCATATTAATTACCATCTTTTTTGTTTTTTAAAGACTCAGCAATGTACAACTGTAGCCCAGGTACCTAAGATCTAGCTTATTATATTGAAATGTCTAGTAAATATCCTAAATAGAATTTCACTGCAAACGTAATGTGTACAACACAAAAGTCACATTCACTTTGAATCCACTCTTTTCTGCATTCCCTGTCTTGATGGAATCACCACCTCATTATTCAACCAAGGTAGAATTCTGGTAGTTTTCTTCAAGTATATCTCTTCCTCTTCCTTACACTTCTCTGTGAGTTTTACTTTTTAAATGTCTCTTGAATACATCTATTTCCCATCACCACTAACAATGTCACTATGCTAGGTTCTTTTCTATTGTATCCATAATTTTCATTGCTGAGTTATTTCTTTTTTTTTTTTTGAAAGACACATCTGATAACATCACCTCCTGCATAAGTTACTTTTGTAGCTCCCCATCACTTTCAGGATAAAATCCAAACTTCTGAACAGGTGTTCAAAACTCTCATAACCTGGTCCCTGACTACTTGCTAGCTTGAGCTTCCAATCACCCCTAACATTCCCCCTATATTCTGGCTTTCCCATGCTGTCAGGCATTTGAACCACAGCAACTACATTTTGAATAGGGGTTGGGTAAAATAAGGCTGAAACCTACTGGGCTGCATTCTCAGATGGTTAAGGCATTCTAAGTCACAGAATGAGATAGGAAGCTGGCACAAGATACAGGTCATAAAGACCTTGCTGATAAAACAGGTTGTAGTAAAGAAGCCGGCTAAAACCCTCCAAAACCAAGATGGCAATGAGGGTGACCTCTGGTCATTCTCACAGCTACACTCCCACCAACGCCATGACAGTTTACAAATGCCATGTCAATGTCAGGAAGTTACTTTATATGGTCTAAAAAGGGGAGGAACCTTCAGCTCTGGGGATTGCCCACCCCTTTCCTGGAAAACTTCTGAATAATCCATCCCTTGTTTAGCATATAATCAAGAAATAACCATAAAAATAGTCAACCAGCAGCCCTTGTGGCTGCTCTGCCTATGGAGTTGTCACTCTTTTATTCCTTTACTTTCTTAATAAACTTGCTTTCACTTTAATGACTCGCCTCAAATTCTTTCTTGCACGAGATCCTCTTGGGGTCTGGATTGGGACCTCTTTCTGGTCGCAGTGCTACTTGCAATTCTTTGACTATGTCCTATACTCCCAATGTCATTGGATAGTGCCTGGAACCTGGTAGGAGCAGCATAAAAATATTTGTTGGTGAAATAATATAAGTATCTTATCAAAAAATGCTTTCCCCCTTCTCCAGCTGGCTAATTCCCACTACACCTTCAAGACTTGGCTCAAGGTTCATCTCTTCCAGGGTCTTTTTACGCTGCTTTGTTTCTTCTTCCTCACTCTCTGTGGTAGGTAGAAAAATACTCCCTCTTGTATGTCCACATCCGAATCCCAATCCCTGGAACCTTAGAATATGTGACATGGCAAAAAGAATTTAGCAGATGAAATTCACGTAGAGGATCTTCATCCTGGGAGATTATCCTGGATTATATGAGTGGGCCCAGTCTAATCACAAGTCTTTAAAAGAAAAGAACTTTCCCTGACTGTGGTCAGAAAGAGACATGAAGATAGAAGCAGGGAAGAGAGATGCAAAGTTTCTATCTTTGAAGATAAAGAAAGAAGCCACAAGACAAGGAATGTAGGAAGCCAGTGGAGCTGAAAAGGAAATGGATTTCTTCCTAGAGCTTCCAGAAAGGAATGCAGCCTGGCAGATGCCTTGATTTTAGCCTAGTGACACCTGTGTGGGACTCCTCACTTACACAAATGTAAGACAATACAGTTGTTTGAAGCTGCTAAGTTTGTGGTTATTTGTTACCAATAGAAAACTGGTACTCTGTTAAAATGCCTGCTGCTTGTCTGTGCTGACTTAACAGCGTAAGGTCACCTACTCTACTACAATAATAGAGCTGATGCACTTGTCTACCTCACTATGCTATGTGAAAACTCAAAGGCATGTGTCAGGTTTGAACACAGTATTTTGGACAAAATAGGTGAGTAGAAAATAAGTGGGCCAAGTGCGGAGGCTCACACCTGTAATCCCAGCCCTTTGGGAGGCCGAGGTGGGTGGATCACAAGGTCAGGAGTTTGAGACCAGCCTGGCCAACAGGGTGAAACCCCATCTCTACTAAAAATAGAAAAATTAGCTGGGCATGGTGGTGGGTGCCTGTAATCCCATCTACTTGGGAGGCTGAGGAAGGAGAATTGCTTGAACCTGCGAGGCGGAGAGGTTGCAGTGAGCTGAGATTGCACCACTGCACTACAGCCTGGGCAATGGAGTGAGACTCCGTCTCAAAAAAAAAAAAAAAAAAAAAAAGAAAGAAAGAAAAGAAGTGAATTGAATTGATTACCATGACATTGATAAGGAAAAAGGGCTGATATAAAATTTTGGAATTGTATGTTACAAATACAAAGCAAAGATGTATACATGATCAGAAATCTAGCATTATATAAGGCAGAGAAATACATTTTTAAGAACACCTATATCAGATGTATGAGGGTTGCTAAAGAATACCTCATTCCTTAAAAATTACTGAAATATTTACCTCACTGACAAGTGCTTAAAATTCCTACATCTGAAATGCATCCCATTGGATTAATGAGTTTTCAAAAAAAAAGTCTCTTTAAAAATGTAAAAATTCCCAAGGTGATAATAATTTGGCAGCATTTGCACCTAAATTTACCAGATTACTTGAGGATAGCTGTTCCTATTGAATATTTGAAAAAACTCTCATGTTGGTGGACCATTTAATTATTTTGATTTGAAGTTTGGGAGGTGTTTGGGGAAAATAACTCTCAAATCATGTTTTTTCTCTGTTTTTACACCACAACAATCAACACAGAAGACTTCTGTGACCAAATGTGTGGGTTTTTTTCCCCCTACACCAAGCAGCAGACACCAGCTGGGTGTCCTCCCATTCAATTCTACCTAGAGATAGTGTCCGATCCCACAGGTTGGGGGCTCAGTCTCCAAGACTGCCCCTCAAACCCCTAGATACCAGTCACAAGTCCAGGCCCCCGGAACTTCTGACAGATCAGCTTCAAGTTTGGGTTCCTATGGCTGACCCCCTCTTTGAGCTCAATTAATTTGCTGGAGAGGCTCACAGAACTCAGAGAAACACTTATTTATTTATTTTTATAAAGGATACTACAAAGGATACAGATGAACAGATGCGCGGGGGTTAAGGGCATGGTGCCTCCTCGCCCTCCCTGGGCGCGCCACCCTTCAAGAAGCCCCGTGTGTTCTGTTACCCAGAAGCTCTCCGAACCCAGTCCTCTTGGGTTTTGATGGAAGCTGCAGGATGCCAGCATTCCCTCCCACAGGGTACAGGGCAAGACCCTCTCTGGGGAGGGTCTTAAGACCAACCATCAGAAAGGTGAGGAAGAGTAGAGCTCTGCCTTGGGGCAAGTGAGAAGTGGGCAGGAGAAGGTCACAGAGTTTCTGATTCAGTAGGTCTGGGGTGGGCCTAAGAGTTTACATATCTAACAAGTTTCCAGGTGATGCTTATGCTGCTCTGAGGATCACTGCTCTAGGGCCAGGGTCAGCAAACATTTTCTGTAATGGTATCAGTCCATTTGGGCTGCTGTAACAGAATACCTTAGACTGGGTAATTGGTAAACAACAGCCTGTACTCCTAGCACTTTGGGAGGCCAAGGCAGGAGGATTGCTTGAGCCCAGGAGTTCAAGATAAGCCTGGGCAACATAATGAGACCTTGTCTCCACAAAAGTAAAAAAATATTAGCCGGGTCTGGTGGCCCATACTCATAGTCCTAGCTACTTGGGAGGCTGAGCAGGAGGATTGCATGAAGCCAGGAGTTTGAGAAAAGCCTGGGTAACATGGTGAGACCTTGTCTGCACAGAAGTGGAAAAAAAAAAAAAAAAGCCAGGCATGGTGATGCACACTCTCGTAGTTCCAGCTACTCCGGAGGCTGAACCAAGAAGATTGTTTGAACCCAGGAGTTTGAGTCTGCAGTGATCTATGGTCACATCACCTTGCCTGGATGACAGAGCAAGATTCTGTCTCTAAAAATAAATAAATAAAATTTAAAAACCTAGACAAAAGAAATTTATTGCCAACAGTTCTGAAGCTTGGGAAATGCAAGATTATGGCACCAGGGGATTTGGTGTCTGGTGAGAGCTCGTTCCTCATAGATGATGCCTTCTATGTGTTCTCACATGTTGAAAGGTACAAACAAGCTCTCTCAGGCCTCTTTTTATAAGTGCATTCATCCCATTTGTCTGGGCTCCACCCTCATGACCTAATCACCACCCAGATGCCTCACCTCCCATCACCACTGCACTGTGGATTTAGTCTCAACATATACATTTTTGAGGGGACACAAACATTCAGACTTTAGCAAATGGCAAGACAGTAAATACTTTTGGCTTTGTGGTTCAGATGGTCTCTGTTGCAACTCCTTAAATCTGCCATTGTAGCAGGGAAAGCAGCCACAGACAAGACATAAACAAATGGGTCCCTAGGTGTGGGGCTAGATTTGGCTCACAGGCTATGCTTTGATAGCCCCTGCTCTAGAGGATGAGACTCAGGTATTTTCTAAGACAGCGGTTTTGACTTCTGACCATTGTCTGTACTATATGAAAACCACTTAATGAGATTTTAAATGATCTTGATTCCCAGACTAATTTAATCAGTGTATCTGGGGACAGGGCCTAGACATTGGTGTTTTTAAAGCTCCAACATTTTTCTGGCATGCAACCAGGTTTGGGAATTATGGTTTGAGATGTTGGCTGATACTTTGATTTCTGATTCTGGCTTATTCTTGACCAGATTCATTGGAATCTCTGCCCCTTGACTTGTTGAATCTGGTTCCTTTAGGGAATATTAACCAAATGTAAACCACATTAGGTGGAGAGATTGTGAAAAGATATAGAAACTACACTAAGCATGTAAGACGTAAACTTTTAAAGTTAGCTAAATTGGTATATGATATGTAACTCTTCAACAAGTAAAGGTGGGGCAAGTCCTGGTGGTTTGGGGCCTGTCCAGCTGACCATATTATCTCAGGGTGGTCAGCTCTCCAAAGGCTCCTCTCACTTCTTCAACTATATTGAATAGGTTAGAATTGAGGAGACTAAAGTAGTTTTGGGAGAACCAAAAATGACGGGCATAATAAACACACAGGAAACAGGATAGTTCAAACCATCGTGAGTACTTACGTAAATCAGCCTGTTATCTCCTATATGGAGAAAAGAGACTGTGAATGTGTGCCCGTGTGCATATGCTTAAGCTCCTTGTGGTTTATAATGGTTTCTTTTGGGAGGCAGGATTATGCTGACAATGTGAATTTTCTTTTCCTGCTTGCTTGTTGCCAGCAGTCACTTAGCTAAGGCTGGTTAGAGGAGTGGATGCTGCAAAGTCAGGATTTCCTTGTGAGATTCTGAAGGCTCCTGAGATTTAGTGAGCTCCTTCCTTAAAGCAGCATGTGTATATGTGTGATGTAACACTAGTCCAGTGCTATTCAATAGAACTTTCTATGACGATGGAAATTTACTATGCCCACACTGTTCAGTGCTGTAGCCACTGGCCACCTGTGACTAGTGAACACCTGAAAGGTGGCTAGTGTGAGTGAAGAACTACATTGGAAGTTTAATTTTAAATAACCACATATGGCTAATGCCTACTGTATTGGATAGTGTGGCTCTTGTCAATTGGAGAGCAAATTCTTGGCATCTGACCTTCACACTCCTACATAAGAGATAACCTTTCACATTTAACATAAGCATAGATGTGCTTGGGAGACAAATGCATTTATTTATTTACTTACTATTTTATTTTTCTTAAGTTCTGGGATACATGTTCAGAACATGCAGGTTTGTTACATAGGTATACATGTGCCATGGTGGTTTGCTGCCCCTATCAACCCGTCATCTAGATTTTAAGCCTTACATGCATTAGTTATTTGTCCTAATGCTCTGCCTCTCCTTGCTCCCACCCCCTGACAGGCCCTGGTGTGTGATGCTCCCCTGCCTGAGAACACAAATGCATTTATACCTGGATGGGGAGGGAACATGCCCTTGGTGGTGGTGTCTATCTCTTTTAAGTGTCAATTGTGAAAAAAGTAGGAATAATTATGGCCCCCCACTGTACGGAATATACAGTGTTGCATGGTGATTAGGGAGGAAAGAGGTAACAAACAACATTCTGGGATGCACTAGTAATTTTTCTTGAGGGTAACTAGTTGGTGACATAATCTAACCTATTAAATAGAATGGAAATCTGAAAGTGTGGGAAAACTATGTGTAAAGATGCAAGGACCACTAAGTAAATTTCAGTTTATTGAACCAAGTATTTCTCAAATGTCTGTAACTCCAGAACTCATATCTGTGTGTGCATGTGTAATATCTGCTCGCAACTACAGATCTAGTGTTCCACGGAGCACATGTTGGAAAAGGCTATAAAATGGGTGGGTGCTGTTCCTTCTGCAAAGCGTATTCCCAATCACTCCATGAAACAGTCTTTCTGCTGCTTTCTTTTTTCTTTTTATTCCTTCCTATGTGGCCAATATTATGTGAAGAGCAACTTGGGGGCTTGTGGACAGATGTTATGCCATAGGAATCAGAGCCATTGCTGGTACCACTTACTTGTGCCTTCAGGACCTGTTTGAGCTATTTAATATAGGCAATGTCCATTTGATGATGCAGGGCTGCCGGGCACACCTAGTTCTATGGCTCAGTGAGTCGTATAGCACTTGGTTCATGATGGGTATTTCAGGTAACTTGGTATTTTAACAGACGTTGGTGTTCCAAATTGAAGGATTTCTAATGTTAATTTTTTTCTCTTAAAAAATAAATGGAAAAGGAGCAAGTGATGCTTTTTAAATGCATACCAAAGATCCCTGCAGTCATTCTCTCTAGTTTGTAACCATTTTATTATTTTACAGCATATTCAACTAAACAGAGAATAGTATTTCATAGCCAGCCTTTCTATAATTATCCACCATACCTTCCTTTTAATCTGTGCACTTGGTTTATCTTCATACGTACAGAGCAGTTCCTTTTTCAAACTCGCTCAGCCAAGCAAGATAAGGGACTATTAATTATAGAGAAATATATCCTTTTAAGAATCAAAATGTTCTCTGCATAATTTTTTTTTTCAGAAAATCGATAACAACTACAAAGTAAGCCAAATTTACTTTTACTTTTGCCAAATTATTTATCAGAATCTCAAAGGTCATGCTAGGCTAAGAAATGTGAAAATGAACTTAATTTCTTCTTAAAATATTTTGGCTAACCCCTAAAATAAACATATAAAAGTCCTTGAACCAAAGGAAATTTTACAAGTAAATTTTTTTTTGTTTAGTTGAAGCTAAGATTATACATAGCAGAATATTCTCAGATTTTTCTATTGTATATACTTATAACTCATTATGCTGATTGCCAGAACTCCCATAACAGGTTAGCCAATTTGAATCTTGGTACTGGAGGCAGCACTTTTTATTTATTTACCACCAGTCTTGAACCTAGACACCTTGTGTGATTTAGAATTTTTCTGAAAAATTAAATACATTGTGTCTGCCACATTCTAGGGGAATTTGCATCATGTAAATTGACAACCGCCTAACATATTAATGAAATATTTCTTTATGAAAAATGTGAAATAATGAATATCTGTAGCATATAAAAAAAGATTAATTTCAAGGCTGTCTGTCAAGTGACTTGTAGGCTGTGTTTACTGCTCCCACAGGGTACTGCCACATTAGCTGTTAACTAGAAATGTCCCCATCATTTATTAGTATTCTGGGCATTGTGCTTTTGTTTATGGGAACTGGAACTTCTCTGAGGGACTGTGATGACTGCTTTGCTGTTATCTTACCATTCATGGTTAATATGATTTAAAATACTTTTAGAGCACATAAGGCATCACATCTTATTTATGTGATGATAGTTCTTTAGTGCTGAAAACCAAGCTTTAAAATCAGTAGCTTTGGAATAGAAGTTAGAGGTGATGAAATGCTATGAACAATTTCCCATAACTGTTATGATATGCTATGCAGATTTTTGAGAACTCTGAAAAATATCAGAGATAATATGGTAAAATTAAAATGAGACATTAAAGCAAAACAAATGCACATTTGTTATAAATTATTCATTCTAGGTAGACATTTCCCACCATGCTCTCAATATTAAATTAAGCTTGGGTTATCAAAGTTAGGCTTTGATTAGGCTTTTAAATTAGATTAAAATTAAGCTTGAATTATCAAAGTTTTGAAATATGCCAAGTCTTCAGCAACTTCGTCCCGGCGTAAAATGCTATTGCCCCAAACCAAAATAATTTCATATTTTAATTTAAAAGTTAGGAAGTTGCAGGTTTGGGGATAGAAAAGTGTGGAGGGAAAGAGGATGCTTAGAACAAACCAGTATCTAATATGCTTCTGTTTTCTTTGCCTTCACAACTATCCTGACTATTTGTTTTTCCAATTCTAACAGTTTCTTCGATTAAATAAAATTGACTTTGGGAATAGGGCAGGAGACAAGAAGAAGAGAGAGCCACTGAAGACAGGAAATAAGACTACCAACAGAGAGTACTTTTTGCATCAGAGAGATAGATACAGAATATTAAAATAATAAGATAGTTCTCTTTATACTCTTTCATCTTTTCGACTTTTCTACTCTGAGACCTAACTATCCCACTAGCACACCTCCCACCAGGGAGGTCCCCATCTAGCAAGACGGTAAATGTCAAGCCCCCTAAATATGCTACTATTGACATATTTTCAAAGATGGTGTTTTCTTCCCACAGCATATTCTGGACCATATTCATTAGGGGCTAACACTGAGGTCCTGCCTGACTACTGTAGCTCTTGCAAGACACGTGGGCCACTAAGAAATTTTGCAGATAAGTAATGAACATGGTGATTTTAATTCCGGGATTAATAATATGCCCTATGAATGATATAGAAGTGTTGAAATAAATTATGGATTATATGTTGGCTACCTTGGAGAGCTCAGTTGATTTAACTATGTATAGTAGCAGGGTTTCTTGGAAATTTTCTATAAATGTTTCTCAATTTGTATCAGTGCATTGCTTAGTTCAAATTCCCCCAAAAGATGAGTCTTTAGGGAAACTCAAACTAATGAGAAAATGGGAAGGGGAAGGAAGAAAAGCCAAAAACAAATTTTTGAGTGCATGTTAATGAATGGGTTATTGCTGTGTTCACCTAGAGTTCAATACTGTGAGTAAAACTTTGAGTTCCATGGAACACCCCGGACCTGTCCCCCGGGAGGACAGGAAGATTGTGACATTTATCCACCAGTGTTCATCCCCTACTGTTTGAGGATTGCCCTGTGGTCTTAACTCTTGTACACTAGTACTTCCAAGTCCTAGAGGGTCAAGAAACAACCTTCGATCCTTTAGAAAAGAGACTGGCCTTTGAGGTGGGAAATTAGCTTGCTATGTACTGTATACCTCAGCTCCAGGTGAACTGAGGTGGGCTGAGGGAATGGAGAAAGGCAGCAACATCATGTGCTACATGAATAACACTAATATTGAGTGAACAAAAAAATGTTAGAACCTTAATAAGTGGAGTTTGTTCACATACACATTACTAAAAATAGTCTCATCCATTTTCGCTGCATAGGTTTTTCTTTAGACTGACTGTTTCCTCTGCCAACATTGCCTCAAGCATAGGTAATGATTTCCCAAAGCATTTCTCAATATTTTCTAAGTGTGTTGGCCTTAGAATTCTTCCAAATTCTTAGAATTTTGTCTTCTTCAGGACAAAAGTTTCCAAAACACATGTGATATCAAATCATAAAAATATAAAATAGCAACAGTTATTACTACAGTGACAATACAGTGAATTTGTAAAGTTCTTTAAAAGAAACAACAGGCGACAAAGTCAGTTTTATGAGGCCAGTAACTCCCTTAGACATGCATGTATTAAGCAAATCTAAGTCTTCCAGAATATGTTTATTTTTAGCATCTGGAGTACTGAAGATTGACAATGTTATGTGCTGTGTGCTAATTCATGAATCAAAATTTGCATTGTTAATGTAGAGTATGGCAGTGAATAGAAAGTTGGAATATTTATTATTTTAATGCAATACTCTGTTTATATGACAAAGACTGTTTCTGAGTTTGGCATTGTTTAATGGAAAAGTAATCTTTGTGAAATCATTTGGCTGCTAAATATTTGGAATTATTTATGATGGATAATAGCACAAATTAACCATTTGAATTTTGTTCTGTTTTTATTTTCCTTTCAATTGAAATGAGGAGAAAAAGTACATTCTTGGTTATCTTCTCTGGTATAAGGAATAATCAATGGAGATA
Organism: Homo sapiens; assembly: GCF_000001405.40. Classification (NCBI taxonomy): domain Eukaryota; kingdom Metazoa; phylum Chordata; class Mammalia; order Primates; family Hominidae; genus Homo; species Homo sapiens. The sequence goes on along the minus strand of NC_000004.12, from coordinate 158,341,757 downwards.
GTTAAAAGCTTCTCTCACATTCATTCCATCTCCATAGTGGGGCCCTAATACACTGCACCTAAATCTCTCTCTTTCCACATTATTGTTTCTGAAGCTGTTATTTGGCCATATTTTCTTTCTCTGTTTTCCCATTACTATTCATGTATATATATGACTGTGTGTGTATACATATGTGGGTGTGTGTGTATATATATATATGTATCTATTATCTGATCATTGCCATAGTAAATCCTTAAACTGTTTTTTTATCATATCAACATCAAATTTAAGAAGATAAATATCATATCAAGGCTTAACTCCCTTGCCATGCTTATGTGATCTATGTGACTCACCTCACTGATTCAATATTAATTGCCACTGTTACCCAAGCTGTGTCTTACATAAAATTGTGATTATCCTCTTCTCATACCTTTCCCCAAACAGGAATATGCCTCCTTGTCTTTGTTCTCTTATATTCTGCTTCTGACATCTAAAGGAAGCAATTTCTTCTCCTAAGTTTCAGCTTATGTTCTGTATTTTCATTGACACTTTCTAATAGCAGGCCACACAGATTTCTCTTCCTTTAATTCCCTTCTTGTTTATTGTGCATTGTGTACCCTCTATAGGAAGAATCTTATTCTTTTTCTATTTGCTAACGGTTGAAGCAAAAAATTTCAGAACGACGAGCTTCAAATTATGATATGATAATAACCATTGGGGGCACTTCATAAAAATGCAGATTTGAGAGTCCCCTCAGATAATTCTGACAATGGTGGTCGTGGACTATGCTCTAAGATACACTGTTTTAGTTTTTCCTTCATGTAAAACTATAATGTACTCATTTTTAAGACTAAATAAATTATTAAATTCCCTTTCCTTCCTCCCTTAATTGATTGATTAGTTGACAAAGACCTATCTTAACCATTGCTGGGGAAATAACTAAGCCTTGATACTGAGGTGCTTTTAGAATCTCGTAGACACTGATAAGGAGTAAAAATGATTTGCCATATAAATTTAGATGCCACTTTGGATTATAGAAAATGATGTCATATTAGAGTTAACTATACCCACTGTCAAATACTTTAAACAGATTTGTGTTTCTCTCCTGTAATATGTTATCACTGTCTCTAGATGACAGTAAAGATTTCCAGTTCCAGCTGGGAGTAAATTCTTTAAAGTAAGATGGTGCTCGTCTTGTTGGCCCAAGATTCCATTTTATAAAAACAGCTCTTCAGTAAGACAGCTAAAACTAGTTGAAGGAAAACAATAAAATTTTATGGTAAAGTGTATTAGTTTATTTCCACACTGCTGATAAAGACATACCCGAGACTGGGCAATTTACAAAAGAAAGAGGTTTAATGGACTTACAGTTCCATGTGGTTGGGGATACCTCACAATCATGACAGAAGGCAAGGAGGAGCAAGTCATGTCTTACATGGATGTCAGCAAGCAAAGCAAGAGGGCTCATGCAGGGAAACCCCCCTTTTTAAAACTATCAAATCTCTTGGGACTTATTCACTATCATGAGAACAGCATGGGAAAGGTTTGCCCCCATGATTCAATTACCTCCCACTGGGTCCCTCCCACAACATGTGGGAATTCAAAATGAGATCTGGGTGGGGACACAGCCAAACCATATCATAAAGTCTTTAAAATTAAAAGAACAAAAAGATAAAATAAACTCTTTATAAAATTAAATTGATTTTCACTTAATAGACTCAAAATAAAACTTGACTATTTGTTTAATGGCTTCTTTTTGTCTGTTTATTTCTGCTTTATATTATGAAACTTTTGTTAAAATGTACTACAGCATATAAAACTACATATTTTAGATGATCTGTTCTTCAGGTCTATCTTTACACCTTAATCCTAATGTTAACCCTTTTTGTCAGCAAGTCATGAGAGGCATAAAACCACCTTGTAGTCTTTTTTCTTTTATCGGGTTTCCAATTTGGAATTCAAAGCTTAAAGTTTTTATACTAAATTAAAACACATTTGATATACATTTTTTCCAACTTCCTCTGTCCTCTGCTAGTAAAAAGTAGTACCATAGGTCATGACTTAAGCTTTGTGACATGAATCAGATAATCCTATAATAAGCAATTATTGGATTATTTATAAAGTAGGAACTATGTAGGATAAAGGAAAAGGAATGGGTGAGAATGTGAATAGTTTATCAGAATAGAAAAAGGGAGAATTAACAATGAGATTATTTAAAGAAATACTGATTCTATACCTGCTCCTCCAGAGAAACAAGTTAAGATCGGAAATGGAACAAGATCAATAGGGAATAAAAAACATAAACCTATTTAGCAGTGATACCAAAGATAAAAAAAAATTGATTTGAGAATTTGCCAAGATTGTCTAAGGAAATCTTATCTAATTAGTACAAAGTCATGTAAAAGCATAAATGGTACTATTGTTAATGTGTATTAGTAATTGGAATAATTTTATCAGAGTGCTGTACATTGTGTGATTTTATTAAAAGTTGAAGATAGGGTTAGATTTCTTTTATGATAGTTTTATATTGGTTCAATTCACCAAAAAATAAGATTACTCTTGGATTCTAGGCACTGCATTGGCACTGGAAATATAAAACATTGCTGAGGAAAATTAAGGAAAACCTTAATAATTGAAGAGATATACCAAGTTCATGGATCAGAAACTTAATACTGTTAATACGTAATTTCTCCCCACAAGTGACCTAGAAATTCAAGGCAATTTCAATCAAAATCCAAGCAGGCATTTTTGTAGATATTGACATTCTGATTCTAAAATTTACATTGAAATGCAAAAGACCTATAATGGCTCAAACATGCTGGAAAAAATAAATGTTGGAAGACATACATGATCTGACTTTAAGACTTGTCATAAATTTGTAGTAACCAAGACACTGTAGTAATAGTGTAGAAATAGCTACATTAATGAAACCTAGAGTTCAGAAATAGGCTCACACATAAATAGTTAAGTTTTGACAAAGATGCCAAGGCAGTTTCAGAGGAGAAAAAATAGTCTTTTCAACAAACGGTGCCAGAATAATTGAATATTTGTGTGCAAATGAATAAACTTTGATCCATACCTGGCACAATATACAAAAATTAAAATGGATCATAAACCTAAGTATAAAACCTAAATCTGTAAAATTTTAAGGAAGAAATTTTGTGATCCTGGATTTCTTAGATATGACATCAAAGATGGTGACCAAATATTTCTTAGATACAATACCAAGAGCGTCACCTATAAACAAATAAATTAGACTTCATCAAAACTAATAACTTCTGATCTTCAAAAGATAACTCTTGATAGAATGAAGAGTAAGCCAAAGACTGCAAAAATATTTGCAAAACACATATCTGATAAAATACTTCTACTCAGAATATATAAAAAGTATTCTGGCTTGGCACGGTTGCTCACACCTGTAATCCTAGCACTTTGGGAGGCTGAGGCAGATGGAACACCTGAGGTTAGGAGTTGGAGACCAGCCTGACCAACATGGCGAAACTCTGTCTCTACTAAAAATACAAAATTAGCCAAGCGTGGTGGTGCATGCCTCTAAATCCCAGCTACTCAGGAGGCTGAGGCAGGAGAATTGCTTGAACCCGGGATGGGGAGGTTGCAGTGAGCTGAGATCGTGCATTGCACTCCAGCCTGGGCAACAAGTGTGAAACTCTGTCTCAAAGAAAAAAAAAGTGTACCATGCTTGAAAATAAGAAAATAAGCACTCCAATAAAAATAGGCAAAGGATTTAATAGACACTTCATCAAAGATTTATGGATGACAAGTAAGCATATGAAAAAATACTCAACATCATGTAAATTAAAACCACCTTAAGATAACCCATCTACCAGAATTGCTATAATAAAGAAGCTGGTATTGTGTGTTGGTGAGGATGTGGAACAACCAAACTCCTGGTGGGAATGGAAAATGGTACAACTGTGTAGGAGAACAGTTTGGCAGTTCCTTACAAGTTAACATATACCTCCTTAAACCCAGCCTTTCCATTCCTAGGAAATGGAAATTCCATTCCATTTCCATTCCTAGGAAATTCCAGCCTTTTCCATTTACCCAAGAGTAATGAGCAATATCATAGCAGCTTATTTATAATAGCCCAAAACTAAATGTTCATCAACAGGTGAATGAATAAACAAATTGAGGTGTGTCCATACAATAGAATAATACTCAACAATAGAAAGGAAAGAACTACTGGTACATGCAACAAGTGGATGAATCTCAAGATCATTATTCTAAGTGAAAAAACTCAGACAAAACAAAATACATATTGTATGATTCTACTAATATAAAATTCTAGTAAGTACAAACTAATCTGTCACAGAAAAGCAGATCATTGGTTGCCTGAGGATAAAGGAGAGACCAGTGGGATGGAACAAGAGGGAGGGATTACCACTGGGGCACTAGAAAACTGGGGAGTGATGGATATATTCTTTATGTTAATTGTGGAGATGGCTTCTCAGGTGTATACATATGTTAAAACATATCCAACTGTGCAGATTAAATAACTTAATAAAGCCGTTTTAAAGCAAAGAAAGAATAGAATTTTCTCTGATGTAAATAAATATAGTGTTTCCTAAATAATAAGTGAGTAAATTACAGTTATATATTTTATGGAATAAAAGTCTGTTAAAGGAAACTTCCCCCACTTTTTGTGTAAATGTTAGATTGTCACCAAATTTTGTTTCTAATTACAAAAAATATTTAGTCCCAGTTTTAAAATGCTTTATATTATATTATATAAAATATATATATTATTTACAAAGAAAAGAATCTTCCCTTTGCATTTTGGAGCATAACAAGTGATTTGTGAGGGGAAAAGGAGTCTGGGTAGGGCTTTTCTTCTCTGGGTGTTCAATAAAACTGGCCAAATCTGATAGAAAAGATTCAAAGATGTGTTCTATTATGAAAACCAGAATCTAGACAATATGTAGCTATGACAGTTTTTGAGTTTCTCTTCTAACTTAAAGAAATATACAGACTGTTCACTGGGAACACTCTGGAAGATTTTGTCTCATAAAAGTACCTTGTCATAGGAGTCTGGTCAAGTCCTAATCCAATTCTGGCTCAGAGAGAGAAAGAGAAAGAGAGAGGCTTTCACGAAGATTTTATATGCTTTAAAATTTAAAATGTCCCTTTCCATAACAACATCCAAATATAAACATCGGAGGTAGAACTGGGGTTGGGAAATACTTCTGAGAAGAGAACAGCAAAGCTAAAGTCATTGTGTCACAATCAGCTTTCTGTAACATCTCAGTTGTGTAGACCCCATGTTATCCAATATCCACAGAATGGAGCAAAACATTTTACAGACAAAAGAGGCATGGGCTGGATACTCTAAAACAACTATCTTGAAAATTTGAAAAAAAAGAGGAAATCTAATGCAAATATGTTTGGCATTCTAGCCAAGGCGGCAGGGAGGAACAAGCCAGTCCATGTCTTAAACTTATGATTCATATCAGGATTCCTAAAAAAATATAAATATATTATCACTCAATAATTAAACTAATCAGTGGTGGAAATAAGCTAGTTTATCTGCTATATTATACTTATGTGAAATATTTTCCTCATTTTTAATGTTCTATGCCATACCATTTGATTGGCAGATGGCTGTTTTCGTATAGTATGGGTGATAAGAGCTCTCCCTTAGCTCTCTGACAAATAATTATCTAGGATGAGGTGCATGAGAGAATCTGTACTGAATACTAGAGACTAAGCAAAGGAAAACGATGCAGGAAAGAGAGAGAAAATAACACTCAGATAATGACTCTAATGGCATTGGTGTATGTAATGGATGGTTTAGCAGGTACTTAAAGCATTTTGCAAAAAAAAGGTCCCCAAAAGAATAATATGGTAATTAGAAAGAAACTATAAATATCTCCATACATGTATGTTTTGTTTGGTTTTAAAATTTCTCTATATATTTGCTTCATGTCACTTTTATTTTTAACTGTATGTTGTATGAAATAATAATCTTTCAACTGTTTATGTTCTCTAATGTTCTTAATCTGCTAGTTAGAAGCTTGCATTTCAGGAGCTAATAAAAGAGGGGGAAAATGCTGAGAAGTGTATAAAAGAATTAGCTTGGCCTAGCACGGTGGCTCACGCCTGTAATCCCCAACTTTGGGAGGCCGAGGCGGGCAGATCACAAGGTCAGGACATCGAGACCATCCTGGCCAACATGTTGAAACCCCGTCTCTACTAAAAACACAAAAATTAGCTGGGTGTGGTGGTGCACACCTGTAATCCCAGCTACTCGGGAGGCTGAGGCACGAGAATCGCTTGAACCCAGGAGGCGGAGGTTGCAGTGAGCTGAGATTGCGCCACTGCGCTCCAGTCTGGCGACAGAGGAAGACTCCATCTCAAAAAAAAAAAAAAAAAAAAGGTGGGGGGGTGGTGGGGGGAAAATTGAACCTAAAGCAATAAAGTTGTCTAAAATGGGCAATAGAAAGGGGGAAAAGACAAAAAGTATATGGTTAATAGAACCTAAAGCAGTAGTTAGTGTTGGGACTTAGTAGAAGTCATTGGGAATTCTTGGCTCTTTAGTAGTTGATGACCTCAATATTTCCACTCTCATTCAAATCTTATGCTTGATTTTAATTTAATTTAACTGAACTTTATTTTTTTTTACCAGATAATATTTTTCCTTTAAAGAGGCAAATATGCACAATGAGCACAACGGGAATACAATACAGTAAAAAGTAAGACTTCTTTATTCTTAGACCTATGTTCCCTGCTGCTCAAGCAAACACTGGAAGCTCTTTCTTTGTGTAGCCTGAGAACTTTTACCTTATTATGGTTGACTCTAAGTATGTTGGCTGTAAGCAGATTTCCTTCTGATTGTTTTTATAAAGAATATAAATTAAATCACTTTGGTCATGATGACTCCATGATATGTATACACACTTTATTTTTGTTTCATAACAGGTGATGGAGACAATAAAAATTAAGTTAGGCAAAATGTTTTGGGTTGAGTAACAGTTCATTTTTATGTAGACTATATCCAGCCATAAATGTGAGCATTCTAGAATGAAAGCTGTTTTTTTTCTTTGAAGCAAATTGAGAAAAAAATTTTTTTAAGATCCTTGTCCAACACTGCATTTTTGGAGTTATCTTTTTGTCAGTTGCCCATATGCAAAGCAAAGTCAGTATGTGTGTGCCACATGTGCTTTTTATAGAACCCTTGGTGTCATGACACTTTATTGGCAAATCATGAACTTCTTAAGAATTGAAACCTGAAAGATTTGTAAATCCACTGAAATTTTTATGCTCAATTAAATTAAACAATTCCTGAGTATCTGGGCCCAGTCCCTGAACTCCTTCTTTGGCTTCTAATATTATCCACATCATCATGACTCCCAAATTTACACCTTATTCTCAAAGTTTCCAGAATCTTTTACATCTAACTATATAACATCTCTAGTTAGATGTCTAATGAGCATTTTACAACAAATGTGCAAAAATGACTCTTGATCCCCCATCCCCTCAAATTCTCCTTTCAATTTTCCCCATTTCAATTTGTGGCAACTTATTTAACTGGATACTTACACCACAAGACATAGACTCAACCTTGACTCCTTTTTCTTTTTCCTCATATCAAAAAGTCAACCCAGAAACAAACGCAGCCTTCAAAACTGATTCCAAATCTGACCGCTTCTCACCATTTGCGGTGCAGCATTCTAGTTGTCATCCCTACTGTCTTTCATTTACATTATTGCAACAGCTTAACTGGTTTTCCTGCTTCCACCCTTGATCTCACAGGTTGCTCTTCACACAGCAGCTCCTGTTGTGCCCCCTGCCTAGAACTTCCAAGACCTCCCATTCATTTCAGGTAGCTTATAAAGAACAATCAGGTCTGGCTTCCCACACACTTTATGGCCTCTTTCTTCATCTTTTTGCTTTTTCACACTGGCCTCCTTGCTGTTTTTTGAACACACTAAGCACATTTCTGCTAAGGACTGTTGCACTTGTTTCCTCTGCCTAGAATGTTCCCCTGCAGATATCTACATAGATTGCTGCCTCATTTCTCTGAAATATCTGCTCAAATGTCACTTTTTCACGGAACCTGCCCTGAGCACTCTATATAAAATGTCAACGCCTCCTCGCTGTCCTTCTCTATCTTCCACCTGCTGCTTGATTTTCAACAGAGCACTACCACCTGGTATGATTTTTAAATCTATTTGTCTTCTGCCTCTTCCCATTAGAATGTAAGGTACCTGAGACCAAAGCAGGGTCTTTGGATCATGCATCTTTCTGTATAAATGTCTGGAAGCATAAATCACCCACTTTGCTTGACCAGAAGCAGTAGTCTTGGGTTCAGCTAGCCAGTTATACTCATGGACTTAACTGGACTTGTGGCATCAGACTCATGCAGCTTTACAGGACATGGGTAGGAGATGATGGAAGGACAGCATCAGGTGTGTCATCAGCAGGAGTCCAGACAGCAGTCCAGGATTTTCTTCTCTAGCCCTCCAAGTAATAGCCCATGTTTAAAGAAGATCACATTGGTGGGTGAAGATACCACCCTTACCTAGAAGGTCCATTGCCCCATAATATTGTATTTATTCCCTGGTGGTGTCTACTAGCAATCCACATGACACGTACACCCATTATAAGATCAATATCCTCAGGGAAACCCGAAAGCTATGGCTTCCCACCAGGTCTTTAAGGTTCACTCTCTGTCCTCCTAGTGCTGATATTGTTTCCAGTCAGGCATCATTTTTTGCCATAAGTAACGTTGACTAGTAACAAAGTCAGCATTTCACATTTCCAGGGAAACAATGTTAGAAGGTTAACTCAAGGTCATTTTCTGATGGAAAGAGAGAAAGGATTTTGAAAACTTTTTTATTGTACTGCAATACGTAGTATGTACCAAACACACATTTGCTGCATGAATGAATGAATGGCTGAATGAATGAATGGCTGAATGAATGAATAAGCATGATACCAGAGGGGGAGCCTTCAAGGCATGGTTAAGAAAATTAAAAGTCAAACTATGGCATGGGAAAAAATATTTGCAAATTATATATCTGATAAAGGGCCTTGTTTAGAAGATATAAACAACTTGCACAGCTCATTAATAAGCCAAAAAAAATTTTAAAATGGGTAAGAGATTTGAAAAGAGATTTTATCAAAGCAGATATACAAATGGCAAAAAAAAAAAAACACATGAAAAGATGATCAGTATCATTAGCTCTTAGGAATATGCAAATTTATTTTTATATTGTACTTTTTTTCCAACTTTTAGATTCAAGGGGTACATGTGCAAGTTTGTTACGTGGGTAAATTGTATGTTGAGGAGATTTAGTGTACAGATAATGAAATTCAAATTTAAACCACAATGAGATGCTTCCACATACCCACTAAAATGGCAAAAATTAAATAGCTGGAAACTCTAAGTTTTAGCAAGTATATGAGAAAATGGAAACTCTCGTATATTGCTGGTGGGAATGCAAAATAGTACAGCCACTTTACAACATATTTTGGCAGTTTCTTATAAACTACATTTACTATATGACCAAAAAGCCCACTCCTGGGTATTTACTTAAGTAACATGTGCATACAAACACTTGTATGCAAATAGTCATAGCAGCTTTATTTGTAATTTTTATATTAGCTCCAAATTGGAAACTAGCCATGTCTACCCAGTGGTGAATGGATAAACAAATGCAATAAATCCATATAAATGGAATACTACTCAGCAATGAAAAAGGACAAAATATTGATACATCCAATAACCTACATGATCTCAAAAATGTTATGCTAAGTAAAAGATGCCAGACAAATACACTATGTATTCTATGATTTCATTTATATGACATTTTGGAAAAGGCACCACTGTAGTGACAGAAAGCATATCAGTGGTTACCAGGGTTTGGGTGGTTGCACAGTTTGAATATTAAGGGGCTTAGGGGAACTTCTTGTGGTGATGGAAATTCATTGTATGTACCACTATAAAGCAGACATTAACAATTCATGGTGAGTAAGACAATAATGAGCATGTTCCCGTAAGTAGGCCATGATTTGTTTTGCAAATAATATTATAAAGTAAAATAGGCTGGGCGCGGTGGCTCACGCCTGTAATCCCAGCACTTTGGGAGGCCGAGGTGGGCGGATCATGGGGTCAGGAGATCGAGACCATCCTGGCTAACACAGTGAAACCCCGTCTCTACTAAAAAAAAAATACAAAAATTAGCCGGGCATGGTGGCAGGCACCTGTAGTCCCAGCTACTCGGGAGGCTGAGGCAGGAGAATGACGTGAACCCAGGAGGCGGAGCTTGCAGTGAGCCGAGATCGCGCCACTGCACTCCAGCCTGGGGACAGAGCGAGACCCCGTCTCAAAAACAAACAAACAAAAATTAAAATATACTTAGTTTTATATAAATATGCAAACAATAGTATAGGAATAGAGGCTGTTCTTGGGAAAAATTCTTAACTGCAGATCATAGGAATTTTTCCAGAATGAATTAATTTTGTTCAACAATTGCTTTCTCTGTTTACTATTCAACTACTTTTCGTTGTTTAAATATATGAGCTTTTGTATGGTGTAAGAAAAGGAAATAAGATGAGCTAGATTTTTTGTGCTTCTATTTTCTGATCACCAAATAATAGCCCCCCTTTCTTCAAAGAAGAAACACTCTTATTTTTTTCTATATATTATAAAATAAGAATTTTACACAATTCTCTTTAATTGTTAAATATTTCTGAGTACAGTTTATGTTATTTGTGGGTCCTAAGAGTATATAAGTAATTTAAATGTAATGACATACTTTAGAAAGGGAGGCATTCAAATATGTATTCAAACATCGCAATGGTATTAAGATATTCTGCATCCATAATTTTATTTTTATTTTATTTATTATGTCTGACATTTGTTTTCTCAGAAAGCAGATGCAGTGAAAAAGTTTTATTCTTTCCATCTTGAGCCTATGGTTTTCTTACTTAAAATCAAATATTTACTGTATAATACTACTACTCTGTACTATATTAAATATGTTAGTTTGCTTCAGAGAAAATAAAAGTAAAATCTGATGCATTATAAAAACACACAAACTTTTTCATCTAAATAATTACACTATTTCTAAATTACTAAGTTTATAAGTATTCTCTTAAATTTCCATAACATTAAGAAAATTTTATTGAGGCATAACATAATAGATAAAAGCATACTAATCATAAGTGCACAGATGGGTGGATTTTCAGAAACTAACCATACATGTAACCAGCACCAAGATAAAAAATGAATAACACTACCTGTACCCCAGAAATTCTGTGGAAACCCCTCCAAGTAATTACTTCCTTCCAGAAGGAAACCACTATCTTGTCTTCTGTCTTCTTACATCACAGATTAGTTTTGCATGGTTTTGAACTTTATACACATGGAATCATATAGCAGATATAGTATGCACTCTTTTTTTTATACCTTTCTTATGGTACTGTTGCACTCTTTTGTGTAATGCTTTTTTCATTCAACATTATGTTTGTGAAATTTGTTCTTGTGTATAGCTGTAGTTTATTTTTTCCTATTGTGTTTATATTCCATTATGGAAAAATAGCACAATTTATTTTTTATTCTGCTGTTGATGGCCACTTGAGTAGTTTTTAGTTTGGGGAAATTATAAGTAGCACTACTAAGAACATTCTTGTCCATATCTTTTGGTGCATAAATGCATGAAATGCTGTTGGGTACATGCGGAATTGCTAAGTCATAAGGCAGGTGTATGTTCAGTTTTAGTAACTACTGCCAAAGAGTTCTCAAAGTGGTTGGATCAGTGTACATTCCTACCAGCAGCATATAGGAATTCTGACTGTTTCATAGACTTACCAATAATTATTTTCTGCCTTAAAAAATTTTATACATTCTAGGCCGCGTGTGGTGGGACACACCTGTAATCCCAGCACTTTGGGAGGGTGAGGCAGGTGAATTGCTTGAGTCCAGGAGTTTAAGATCAGCCTGGGCAACAGAGTGAGACCACATTTCTGCAAAAAATACAAAAATTGACCAAGTGTGGTGGCACGTGCCTGTAGTCACAGCTACTTGGGAGGCTGAGGTGGCAGAATTGCTTGAGCCTGGTAGGTTGAGGTTACAGTGAGCCACGATCAAGCCACTGCACTCTAGCCTAGGTGACAGAGTAAGACCCTGTCTCAAGAAAAAAATCCATCCTAATAGATGGGTTTTAATGAATTGTTGTTTTAATATATATATTTTCCTGAGTCTAATAAAGTTGATTACATATTTTATGTGTTTATTGGCTATTTGAATATCCTCATTCATAAAATACCAGTTCAGGTTTTTTGTTCATGTTATTTTGGGGTTTCTTTCCTTATCTTCTTTTTCCAACTTACTAATTTTAGAAATTCTGAATGAGTCCTTTGTTGTATATACGTACTAGAAATATCTTCTTCTACCTTCCCTAAGGTTTTATATATCAAATAATTTTTTAAAAAAACTTTCTCAGTTGTCAGATTACCACTTTATGGTTAAATAGCTCATTACTTAACAGTTATTAGTTCTCAACTCTGATATTGTAATGCAAAAGCATCCATAGACAATATGCCAAGAAATGGATGTGGCTAGATTCATCCTGTAGCAGGCCAGATTTATCCAACAGGCCAAGGCAAGGAGGGAGAGAAAGAGGAGTAAGATGGTAGATATAATCTCAAATATTTCAGTATTATATTAACTCAAATGGACCAAATGTTCCAATGAAAATTATTTCTCTGTTCTAGGCAAAACACACTAGAACCAAGATTGTTAGATTGTATTAAAATAAAACTAACAAGTAATACACCTTAAATACAAGGCATAGAAAAATTGAAAGTAAAAAATGGGAAGTCTTTCTGTGAAAACACCAATAAAAAATGGAAGTAAAAAAATGGAAAGTCATTCTATGCAAACACCAACAGAAAGAAAGCTTACAGAGTTATACTAATAACAGATAATGTAAACTTTAAGGCAAGGATTATTACTAAAAATAAAGGGAAATATTTCAAATGATGAAAGATACAATTCACCAGAAATGTATAACACTCCTAAATTCGTATACGTAGTGTCCAAATATGTAGAACAAAATTGACGGACTCAAAAGAAGAAATTGCCAAGACCATGATCATAGAAGAATTTAATATACCTGTCTCAGTAACTGATACAACAGAGAAAACAATCAGCAGACACACAGAAATTTAGAACACAGCTAGCTTACTTTGCTATGTGCATGTATGTATGTGTGTATAAAACATGCTGCTGGAACATAACCTTCAGCAATTGTATTATACATATTATATTCAAGTTTACATGGAATACAACAACATTATGTATAGCTGGACAGCAAAGTAAGCCGCAACAACTTCGCAAATGTTAAATCATACAAAGTATATGCTATCGTCATAGTAAAATTGTTAGAAATAAATAACAAAAATACAATGAGAAAAAATCCCTGAATGATAGAAGATTTTACGTTTCTAAGTAATCCACATGTCAAAGCAAAAATCATGATTAAAACTATAATATGAAACTATCACATAAAAACTTGTGGAATTCAGCTAAAGCAGTGCTCAGAGGAAAACTTATAGTTTTAAATGCATATATTGCAAGAGAAGAAAGTCTGGTAATTTATTATGGAGGTATTCATCTCAAAAAATTAGAATAAAAATGGCAAATTAAACTAAAAGATTCTAGAATAAAGGAAAATTTGAGAACAAAAATTAAAGAAATTGAAAACAAAAATACACCAGGAAAGTTAGTACTAATGAAGTGGCTACATTGTCTGGAGTAAATACCTGGGGTTTGTCGTCTTGTGCCAGGAAAATTTAGGACATAAACACACAGGAGGAGTTTAGGAGCAGAAGTTTAATAGGCAAAAGAAAGAGAAAGGAAAACAGCTCTCTCTCTAGTGAGAGAGGGAGACTGCCAAGATTAAAGGTGGGCTGGTGGCGGCTGTGCTGGACTTTATCTTCAGCCTTGAGGAGGCAGTGTCTGATTTACATAGGGCTTACAGATTGGTTCGATCAGGTATGACATTTACATATTGCACAGGGAAGGCTGGCTACCCCACCCTAACTTTATTATGCAAATGGGTTTCCAGTTGACCTGGGCCAACTTGTCTGCTCCTTACAATACACGTGGCTGACAAAGAGAAGGGAAGGTGGAGCTGCCTTCTTGAACGTGAGTGGCACAACTGCCAGCATCTATGTCTGCAGCTCAATTTTACAGGCAGCTCTTTGTTAGAACAGACGATAATTTGGGGCTGCTTTCATTAAATGGAAAACCTTACCCAGGACTTTCTTACCCTCACTATCTGCCTAATTTCTTCTTAACTCCTGTATCACTAATAATATTTATAAATATCTTGCAAGACTGATAAAAGAAAAAGAGAAGGTAAATATTATCAACATCATGATTCTACATACATTAAAATGATAAGAGGATATTATGTACAACTTTATTGCAATACCTTTGAAAATTTAGGTGAAATGTATAATCTGATATAGGAGAAAACAGGAAATCTGAATAAGTCTATTTTCTGTTAAAGAAATTTAGTCTATAATAAAACAACAGCAAAAACAACAATAGAGAAAAGTCCAGCCCCAGAAGAACTCAATAATAAAGTCTTAACAAACATTTAAGGAAGACTCATTAACACCTTAAACACAATTTCCCCAAAAGTAGGAAAAAAGGAAAACATCCAATTCATTTTATGAGGCCAGTGTAACATTGATATCAAACTCTGTATAGGAGATTTCAAAAAAGAAAAATTGAAATCTAGTTTGTCTCATATATATATATAAATGCAGAAATCCTCAAGAAAATAACACAACAAATTTAGGTGTATTCTGGGAATGCAATGTTGCTTTAATATATGAAAAATGAAGTAATTCACCGCATTAGTGGCAAAAAGTAGAGAAAAACTACAATAATCTTGATAGACGCAGAGAAAGCACTTCATAAAATCCAATATCCATTTTTTGACTCAAAAAATAAGTCCTCCGAAACTAGTATTCACTGGGAACTTCTTTAATGTAGGAAAAAACCTACAAGAAATAACACACTTTATGGTAAAATAATAAAAGCTTTCCTCCTATGATTGAGAAGGAGAAAACAATGCTGAATACCACCATTTCTATGCAACACATTACTGGAAGTCCTACCCATTGCCAGCCTTAGCAACTGGACTATCTTCAGGACCTAGCAATAGCTCTGGATCTCTGACGTTGCTATTTCTGCATCTTTCAGGAACAGCATTCTCTTCCCTACTTTAGGGCTTCTGCTTATACTGACATTGGCCTGTATCATATGCTGGCACTAACTCACTCTCTCCATGTATTTCACAATCAAACTCCATTGAAAAGGAGAGTTGTACCATCATGTTGGAAAACTATTGGAAATTATCTTGAAAGGTGGAACATTTGTATACCACACAACCCAGTGATTTCACTCCTAGGCAGACCATGAAGAAAATTTTGTACCTTTGTATCAGGAGCCATTAGAAGAAAGCCTGTGGCAGCACAGATCATGTTATTGCTTTTTTTCCCTACTATAAAAATAATGGTATTTAACAGTAGAATGTAATAAGAAATTGTGGAGGATTAAAACAATAAAAGATACAGTTGTGAAAATATAGTAGCATATAACTACTTAGATAAATTGTGGATGCTTAATTTTGAATGCATACATATTTTATGACAACAATTTTTTATTTTTTACTATATTTTATTTTTCTGCCAAGGCTCTGTCATCCAGACAACAATTGTTTAAATTAAAAGAATGATAAACACAAAATTTACAGTAGTGATCTGTGCTGAGCGGGGCAGGAAGCAGGGCAACAGGAAGAGAAATTATGAATAGAGGTAAATAAATAACATTTTATTTCTTGGTTGAGTGATAGCTTCATGGATGTTCATTATATTATTGCTCTTAATGTACATATATTATGTATATGTATCCTTTACATATACCAAGTTTTATACCAAAAGACCAGGTCTTTTATTATAGATGATAATAAAACCGGGAAAACAAGATTTGCCGTGGTGAGTGACATTGAGGCCAAAGCAACTTCATGTTGCATACTAATCCACCATATTGACGTCTGATTAATCTCAGTTTTGTGAAAGCCTCTAAGATACCTACTTTATCTATCATTGCTTGTGCAAGAGCACCTACTTACTGTAAATCCCAACTTTAGGTCAAAACAACCTTTGATGTTATTGTATTTCAATTGTCCTACCTGTTCCTTCCAAGTCGCCCTTTCTCTATGGTATATAAGCCCTGGGTCTGGGGGTGCAATGGCACAGGGATACATCATCTTGTCTTGCTGTTACCTGAGACAGACATGGCTTCTGTTCATAAGTCTTTATTAAATGTTTCTAAGAAACTGGATTTGTTAGCCTTTTTCTTAGGCCTCTCAGCTTCCTTGGACTTGGGGCAGGTTAGCATAGACTGGCTGCCCACTGAGGAACCAGTGGTGATTCCCTTGTTGTACAAGGCAGAGGCAACAACATTGCACAGCTAATCAGGTGCTTATTGTAGCTAATAGATGAAGGTTATCTAAAATGCTCTTAATTGCTAGATATGGTAGCTCACACTTGTAATCTCAGCACTTTGGGAGACAGAGGTGAGAGGACCACTTGAGGCCAGGAGTTCAAGACCAGCCAGGACAACACAGTGAGACCCAGTCTAAATTTGTTTTTTTTGTTTTTTAAACTTTAGCTGGGCATGGTGGCATGTGCTTGCAGTCCCAGCTGCTCTGGAGGTTGAGGTGGGAGGACTGCTTGAGCCCAAAATATCGAGGCTGCTGTGAGCTGTGATTGTACCACTGCAGTCCAGCCTGGGTGACAGAGCAAGACCCTGTCTCAAAAAATAAAAAAACAAAAAACCCTTCTTACTGGCTGCTTCTTACTTTTGCTGTTGGTACAAAGGCACATATTAAAACATAATAAAAAATAAAAAACCAGGAAAAAAAAGACTTGATTGAGCTCTCTATCATCAATTACCTCATAGGCCATGCATGGGCCACTCTATGGATGGGCTTCCTTTGCATCAGACATCCAACCCTGCTCTGGTCAAGTGTGACCTGGTCACATGTACTGAACTCAGAAGCCTGTGGATGGGGTAGGCTCCTGTGGCTTCCCTAGGAGTGTGAGTACAACCAGCTAGCAGCTTGTTGGGTCCATCTAGTACAAGGAGTGAGCTCATCTAGCAAACAAAAAGATACTGAGTTCTAAACAGACTGCCCTTTTCACCAGAGGGCAATTTGAATCTCTCAGTTATAATATTTCTTGCATTTTACAGCTTCCACTTACTTTCACAACAATTCTTGTAAATATGAAAGTTTTCTGGCCTTAAAATTTTATAGTATCTGCGTGCTAGGGTTCATTGATGTAATTGTTTTTTTTCTTCAGACCATTCAGAATAGTTTAATATACAGCTGTAACTGGTCTTGGTCAAAATTCTACAACTTTGTCTTTAAGATAAGATGGCTTATATGTGATGAAATAAGCTTGAGTCTAAAGATTCATTTATTTAAAATTTAATAGTTGGAGTTTACTTTTGTAAAAAAAATGTAAGAGAATTATTTGGCATTGTGCTTAGCAAATTATCTATTGTGTTACTAATTTTACATTGATTAGAGAAACACCTTCAAAATAAATAAAGGAAGAAAATAATTCATTTTTATTATGTGTATATTCCAATTTTCTTTGTTATTGTACGTATTGAGTATATGTATTTATATTTTTAAGATAGGGTCTTACTCTGTCACCCAAGCTGGAGTGCAGTGACTTGATCATAGCTCACTGCAACCTTGAACTCCTGGGCTCAAGCAATCCTCCTGCCTCAGACTCCTGAGTATCTTGGACTATAGGCATGTACCACCATGCCCCAGTAATTTTTTAGTTTATATGTTTTTTGCAGAGATGGGGTCTCCCAATGTTGCCCTGGCTGGTCTCGAACTACTGGCCTCAAGTGATCCTTACACCTTGGCCTCCCAAAGTGCTGGGATTACAAGCATAAACCACCACACCCAGCCTGTATTGCATATTTTACATTTGCAGGTTAGTAAAAACATTGCAGCTATTCAAGGAAAAAGCAGGTGGCTCAAATGAATAAATACTTATTTGTTTCTGAAAGTTTATATACTCCTGATATTATAATTTAGAATAAAGAAAAATGCACACAAATGTTAAAAGTGTCTTGGATAGGGCTGGGCGTGGTGGCTTACACCTGTCATCCCAGCACTTTAGGAGGCTGAGGCGGGTGGATCACCTGAGGTCGGAAGTTTGAGACCAGCCTGACCAACATGAAGAAACCCCGTCTCTAATAAAAATACAAAATTAGCCCCGCGTGGTGGCATATGCCTATAATCCCAGCTGCTTGGGAGGCTGAGGCAGGAGAATCGCTTGAACCCATGAGGCGGAGGTTGCAGTGAGCCAAGATCTTGCCATTGCACTCCAGCCTGGGTGACAGAGCGAAACTCTATCTCAAAAAAAAAAAAAAAAAAAAAAGGAAAAAGAAAAAAGTCTTGGATAGAATTTTAAAATTTCAAGCTTTGGTGGCTTTTAACTGGTAACTAGAATAAGCTATATTTATCTCTTGAAAAAAAATTTTGGTTTTACTGGATGATAAGTATTTTGCAATGCTGCACATGACTAAAACTCTGCAGTATGGATCATCACAAAAGATTTAATCACTTTACATCTTTACTGAAGATGTGACTTTCATATTTTCATCTGTAAAAGGGTTATAGTCTACCTTAAGACACTCACAATATATAAATATGAGGCTAAGCTATGACTGCTTTTGCAAAAAGTTAACTATTTCATCTCATGCATGTAGTGTAGCTTTAGTTTAGAATTCTGTCATTGGTGAAGCAAACTCTAAGCTACGTCACACAAACTCTGAAGGGTACAACCTGACTCAGTATGGGGATGATAGAGACATTGTGGATCTCCATAGCGTCTCCTCAAGGATGCCTTAGGCTGTCCTGATGTGTTTGTATGCTAAATAATAATATTGATTTCTGTTATGTCACAGTTCTGTGTTTAGGGTCAAGACACAGTTATGGTTTCAAGATACAGTATGGCAAAATAAGAAAAAATTGCAGCAAAGCTTCACCTGTCACTCTCTATTGCTCCTGTGATTTTGTGAAATAGCTAGGACATAAAGATCTTTGATTCTGAGACTAGACCAGCACTGACAATAATATTTGTATCATCAAAGTTTATACATATTTAGATTTTTAAAAGGATTGATTTAACTTTCTTGGTTCTACTACTAAGGTAAATCATTCTAGGCTGGGATCTATTAGCAACACTATGATCAGTCTAGCCACATTTATCTGTGACATTGTCCCTTGTGGTAATGACAACAGTTTGATTAGCTCCAGGGATCCCTTTTATCTCCCAGAAACCAAATCTGGAGATGAGTTTGGGCGCTGCATGGTATTATGCTATCTAAACACACATGCATGTAAATGGACTCATACTTCTTAGAACCAGACTGAAGCAATTTGCTAGGAATTATTCACCAGCTATTAAATATGTCAACAAAGCAAAGCAAATAATAAATTAAAGGGATTCCAAAGTCTGGTGGCTCTTGATAAAGTGAACCAAGTTGCTTAAGGTTTTTTATGCTAAAATGTTTATATATTATGAAAAGGATTACTTAGTGATGGTATCATAAAGGGATGGGGAAAACTACGAGAGCTGTAAAAGTTAATAAAGTCACCTTGAATGAAATCTCAGGCAAAATAAACCCACAGACCTCTAATGAACTATGATCAAATAGCAGAGTCAATAGTTGTGTGTATCCTGGGGCGTATTTAACAGTAGCGGGGGAAAAGACATAAGAATTTTCTTTCAGTAGCTTACATTTCAATATTAATGAAAGACTCAGTGAGGAAGTCGTGTCTGTATTCTTCTTTTTAGTACTTAACAAATAACACCATGAAAAATCATCTTCATTGGAGGGACTCACTATTTGATAAGTACAGATGCTCCCTGACTTACAATGGTTTGAAAATTTTTCAACTTTACAATGGTGCAAAACCATTGCAACCTTGATGTAATGTACAATATTCAACAAATTACAAGAGACAGTCAGTACCTTATTATAAAACAGGCTTTGTGTTAGATGATTTTGCCCAACTGTAGGCTGATGTAAGTGTTCTGAGCACATGAGGTAGGCTAGGCTAAGCTATGACTTTCAGTAGGTTAGGTGTATAAAATGCATTTTTGACATACAATACTTTAAACTTAATGATGGGTATATAGCAATATAACCCTGTCATAAGGTGAGGAGCATGTCCTACAAAAAAAAGAGATCAGGCATGACTTCCTCATCATTCATTCAATTGCTTTTCCCTAGCTTCAGTTACCTGTTCATGAAAGCAACTGGTTTGTTTGAGAACAGAGAACAAAGGCTTTTGTGGAATTGAATTCATAAATTAATTGAATCAAACAATATGCCCCAAATAAGTGACGGCAGCCTTGGTAAAAGCATGATTGAATTTATATCGATTGCTTCATATGTAGTTAAAGTCCAGTGGAGGAGGAGCAAGAGCTGTACAGACACTGCCACCTCCAGCACTGCAACCTTTGTGATAGGGACAGGAGGCAGAGAAATTCTAGGCAGAAAAGGGTAGCATCCCTGCTGAGGGCCCCACCCTCAAGCCTGGAACCACTGCCCAAAGTGAGAATTTTGCATCCCCATTTTCCTTTTCCTGCTTGAATGTTCCTTTCCAAAACCACCCCTGGCCCACCCCACCCTTTATCATGTACCCGTAAAAACCCGAGGCTCCACTGGCAGAGAGCAGAGAAGGTGTATTAGTCTGTTTTCATGCTGCTGATAAAGACATACTAGAGACTGGGCAATTTACAAAAGAAAGAGGTTTAATGGACTTACAGTTGCCTGTGGCTGGGGAGGCCTCACAATCATGGCAGAAGGCAAGGAGGAGCAAGTCATATCTTACATGGATGGCAGTGGGTAAAGAGAGAGAGAGAGCTTGTGCAGGGAACTTCCATTTTTAAAACCATAGGATCTTGTGAGACTTATTCACCGTCACAAGAACAGCACAGGAAAGACCTGCCCTCATAATTCAGTTATCTCTCACTGGGTCCCTCCCACAACATGTGGGAATTATGGGAGCTACAAGATGAGATTTGGGTGGGGACACAGAGCCAAACCTTATCAGAAGGGGAGAAGAGAAGAAGGAGCTGAATGTCAGAGAGAAGCAGCTTAACTTCAGAGGGACAGCTTCATGGCAGGACTTTGTAGAAGAGTCCAGATGGAGATGGCCAGACTTCAGGGGAAGAATACCTTCCTGCTCCATCCCCTTTTCAGCTCCCCTTCCCAGCTCCCCTTCCCACTCAGAGCCACTTCCATCAGCAATAAAGTCCCCCACATTTACTATCCTACTATTTGTTCATGTGACCTGATTTTTCCTGGATGCTGGATAAGAGCTCAGGATACAGAGGCCATCACACTGACCCTCTGTCCTTGCAAAAAGACAGAGGGTTCACTGAACTATTAAACACTTAAGCTGTGTGCAGATGTCAAAGTTAAAAAAGTGCTGCCTGTAACACTACTTCTGGGGCTTTGGGGGTCTTGGGTATGCCCCTCTAGATGCTGCTGCAGGGCCCGCATGGAGTTCCTGCTGGCACCCAGAAGCACTTGCCCCAGCTTCTGCGCCCACTCAGCTGTGCTCCTCCTCCTGTGACGGGTAGAGCACAGCAGATCTGAGTGAGTGAAGCCAGCCAAAGTGGCCAGCCAGCTCGTGTCCCCATTCCAGTTCCCACCCATGAAGAGGTCGGAGAAAATTTCCCGTTTCAGTTGTTTAGTAATTCTAAAGAATGAAACAGCACAAAATGAATGTTGACCGAGAAGCAGGTGCATAACACATTTTTCAACATTCTATGATGTAGCTAAAAATGTTTCTTTTTTTCCCTCCTGAGACAAGGTCTTGCTCTGTCCCCAGGCCAAAGTGCAGTGGTATGATCATAGCTCACTGTAACCTTGAACTCCTGTGCTCATATAGTCCTCCCACTTTGGCCTCTTGAGTAGCTGGGACTACAGGCACATGCCACCATGCCCAGCTAATTTTTACTTTTGTCTTTGGTAGAGATGGGGGTCTCACCGTGTTGCCCAACCTGGTCTCAAACTCCTGACCTCAAGTGATCCTCCTGCCTTAGCTTCCCAAATTGCTGGGACTACAGGTGTGAACCACCTCATTTTTATTAATGAAGAATTTGAGGCATACAAAACCGAAGTAATTTGCCAAAGGTTATACCTCTGGTCAGTGACAAAGCTGGAATTTGAACCTGGGTCTGTCTTCAGTCTATGTATATTATTCTTTACTAAGAATGCCCACCAGCAGCCCCTTTGGAGATCTGAAAAATCCACATGCCTGGTAATATCCTTTATGAGCTGGGGCAAGAAGACAATTGTTAACACTTATATATAGACTATAGATTATATATTAGTAAGGTAACAATATTAAATTTCCTGGTTTTAGTAATTGTACTGTGGTTATATAAGATAATCTACTTCTTTCCTAGGAAATATACATTTAAATATATCTCTCCATATCTAGATACTCTGTATCTATATATACATGTAGAGATAGAGAGGGAAAATAATACATGAGGTAAAATATAAACAATTGGTGACTCTGGGTGTGGCGCATTGTATTTCGTACAAATGCTGACAATAATATATCGCATCTCATAGCTCTTTCACTAAATAAGGGGTTTATTTATTCTGTCCTTGAATGTGGGTGGGCATGTCTGTGGCACAAATTATGCTATGTGACTTCCTAGGGTGATAATAAAAGGCAGTATAGCTTCTGCCTGCTTCTCTAACATGCTCACTCTTGGAACCCAGCCACTATGCTCAGAGGAAGCTCAAGCAGCCCTATAGGAACTTTTCTTGGAGAGGTCCACATGGGAAGGAACTGAGGTCCACAGCTCTCAGCACTGGAGAACTGAGTCGATGACCAGCACTAATCTGCTAGCAATAGGAGGAGCTGTCTCAGGGTTAGGTACTCCAAGCCCCAGTTAAGCTACTATACCCGCAGATGCTGCATGAAGCAGAGGTGAGCCTTCCTTCTGAGACATACCCAAGTTGCAGATAGGTGACTAAGAAATAACTGTTGTTATTTTAAGTCACTAACTTTTGGGTGTTTATTATGCAGCAATAGAAAACCACAACTCTGAATAAAATTAACATGGCGGTTCTTTGTAATATTCATTCATGCAGCTTTTTTGTAAGTTTAAGATTATGTCAAAATGAAAAGTTTAAAAAAGTCATGCCCAGAACCTGTCTCCAGAAATCTTAGTGCATGTGGTTATGTATATTTTGCTTGTTTTGTTTTGTTTTTTTGAGATGGAGTTTCGGTCTTGTCACCCAGGCTGGAGTGCAATGGCACGATCTTGGCTCACTGTAGCCTCCACCTCCCAGGTTCAAGCAATTCTCCTGCCTCAGCCTCCCAAGTAGCTGGGATTATAGGGCCCACCACCACACCCAGCCAATTTTTGTATTTTTAGTAGAGGCGGGGTTTCACTATGTTGTCCAGGCTGGTCTCGAACTCCTGACCTCAGGTGATTTGCCCCCCTTCAGCTTCCCAAAGTGCTGGGATTACAGGGGTGAGCCCCCGTGCCCAACCGGGAACGTGTATTTTAAATCAACAAACCAAACCAAGAGTTCTCAGGAGATTCTGATATATACCTTCAGTTACAAATCACCAGTCTAACTGAAAAAAAGCAAATTGATGACTGTTTTAAAAATTATGTGTTTTTAATATTATGTCAAATGAAGTTATTCTAAAGTATTGTAAAAAAGTTAATAAGTTAAAAAGAATATATAGATGGTTGAATATTTTCTTAATTATTACCTAAAGCCAATTTTTAAAATGTGATATTCCTTAAATTAAAGTTTGAAGTCGTTCTACTTGGCTTTTTAGTTTCTTTCTAGACTAGGCCTTTTCTTGCCTGACTGCCATGTTTAATAGATATTAACTATCATATACTGTTTTTTGATTAAAGTTTTCCCGTGTTTCCATTATGTGCAGATTCAACTTCAAGTCTTTTTCAGTAATTTTATGGCCCTCCCTCCTCTATATGGTTTCTTCCTACCTTTTCAGTTTCATTTCTTGCCACTTATTCTTGTGAATTTAATGCTTCATTTCTACTAAACTACCTATATTCCAGAATACACTATGCTATCTCCACACTCCTGTGTCCTCTCTCTCTATATATGTCCTGCCAACTTTTCAATTTCCAATTAATGTTGCAAGTCTTAATCCAAATACCATCTTCTATGTGTAGCTGTTCAGAAGTTTATGCAGCCCTTTGAACTCATCTCCATTATAGCAATTATAATATAAATTTAATACTCCTCACATGTTTACTGAGTGCATATTGCATGTCTGCCAGTATTTTAGGCACTGGGGATGGGGAATTAAATAAAACATATCAACAATTTCTGCCCTTGAGGAGCCTAATTGTATTGCAATTGTTAACGTACCCTCTGTCTCCCCACTGGGGGGTATACAACTTGAGAGCAGGGTCTCTGTCTTCATTATTTTTGTATCGCCTGCACCAAGCGGTGTGTGGCCCACAGCAGAAACAGGATGGTTTTTCATTATTTAATGAATAACCTTATGATAGTATCCAAAGGAAAATCCTTGTTTCAAGTTTTCCCTGTAATATGAAGTAATTAAATCGTCCAATGATCTTGTGTCCTAAAGCAATCATTACATTTTTTCTTTCTTTCTTAGCATTTTTATTATTTTATCACTTCTCCTGAGTAACTCAGGCATCACGCTGTTATTTCTAGGAAGAAATATAACTTCTAAGCAGAGATGGTCCCAGGAAAATTGTGAGGAAGATTTTATTTTGCCTGCCTTCAAACTCTCCTCTATCCCAGGCAAGCCCCCTTTCAAAGGCTGTATCTCTTTTCCTCCATAACCAAACTTCCTTTCAGGGAAGGCTCTGATATCATCACATCAGATAATTATTGACACCTCAGTAAGAATATGTGAATATATGAAATTATATTAACTTTTCCACTAGAATTTGTTTTGACCCTAGTGGACAAATGGAAAGCTATGATTCTTTTAAGAGAACTTCAACTACTAGATATACATTCTTGGTGATTAGAATTCTCCCTACCTCCCTGAAATCAGGTAAATGCTCAGTGCATATGCTTATGACTTGTGATTTGTTTTTAGTGGTTACTCTGGGAAATTTCAAATATGAGTTGGTGGTACTTAAATAAGGAACTGAAAACGTATGCACCATTCCAACCATGAAACACACAGTCATACACACAAGGAGATTAGAGGTTTGGACAGAGTCAGTTTGGAGCCATTTGAGAAAAGAGGCTGGGCAGTAGCCATGGAAATAGTTACTATAAATGCTCACTTTCTAGGAAGACATACCCAGATTTGATTTGCTGAAATGATTCTGAATACCTTTCAAGCAGAAAGAGTCTTTCTTTGGACAAAGCCATTGTAAGTTTATTGTTTCAAAATTTTAGACTGTAATGTTTCTATCCAGGACAGAATTACTTGAAGAAAATGGTCATAAAGTCCTTTCAGTTCTCTCATTTACTAATGCAGTTTAGCCATCAAATCTACTGAACTGTAGGTTACAGACAAAAACCATTTTAGAGCTTCTATCATATAAAACAATAGATATGAAAATCCTGCCTGTGGAGCTCTTGATACTATTGTATTTCATTTTTGTGTTGGGAATTTTTTATCTTTTGGGTTTTCTGTGTTTTATTATAAACAAGTACACTGACTTCAAATATTGAAAAGTATGTAACCACACATTTTTTTCTGGGCTTAGTGGATGCAGTCATGCTGAGAAAGTTGAGATGATGCCTGGAATTGATTCACTCAGTGCAACGGTCAGATATTCCTTGTTATTACAAGGAGGGGATTATTTCCTTATCCTGTGACTTTAAAAAGAATTGTAAATAAGCATTTAATATTCAATTATTCATTCAACTATTACGTATTGAGCACATACTGTGTACCTAGTAGACACTGAGTTAGCCTCTGGATATTCAGTGGTAAACAAAAGTCTTTTCCCTCATGGAGCTTATGTAAAAAAAGAAGCATGTATTATAAAAACTCTCACAAATAAACACATAACATAAAAGCTGTGAAAAAATACAAGCATAAGACATGATTCTAGTGGAAGATTCTTATAATGAGATTGTATGAATACATAAAGGAAACCTCTTGCTTAAAATCCCCAAACGACTTCTTGTTACATCTTAAATCAAGTTCAAAGCACTTACCAACACGTACAAGGTTCTCAATGGTTTTTGTTGCCTCTGTCTGTCCAGTCTCGATTCCCTACGACTTTCTCCCTTGCTTCACACCCTACTCACATTGTCTTCTTTCTATTCCTCCATAGTTTAAGCTTGTTTCTGCTTTAGGGCCTATGA